>NC_000015.10:33882934-34185964 GCF_000001405.40 Homo sapiens | reverse complement strand
TCTCAGGAAACCAACCAGCAGGACTCTCAGACAGTATCATGGAACTAAAACGTACCAGATCATAGCATCTGGACAATGAGACACCAGACCCCTTATCTGTCATGATTGCCCAAGTGGCCGCCTGCTTCCTGTTGACCAACTCTTCTTTCTTACCCCTCCCTAATTCCTGTTTTCCTGCATGTAGTTACATTTCTTCCCTGCTATATAAACCCCTGATTTTAGTTGGTCAGGGAGATGGATTTGAGGCCGATCTTCCATTTCCTGAGCTGCAGCACCTGATTAGAGCCTTCTTCCCTGCATTGTCTCAGTGATTGGCTTTCTGTGTGCCAAGCATCAGGACCTAGACCAAACCCCTGCTGTTCTGGTAACAGTATTTTGAGTGTGATGGTATTCATTGTTCACTGGAGGTTATATATCTATAGGTATACATTTATATTAACTAATCTAATAATCATTGATTTACAATTTACATTGCATACGTAAATATACGAAATGCAGTTGCTGCCCAAGAGAAGTTTTGCAGTCTATTTGGCAAGAGGAGACACACCTGGATTAGTTAGTGCCCAGTCATATCTTACCTTTAGGCCTTCAATTATTTGTAGATTGTTAAGTCTTAAACTGTGCAGTATTCACTAAGTACAAAAAGAGATAGTGAAGGAAGAAATCAACGAAGACAAGGATCTAGAGTCCTTTAGAGGCCAGCACAGTGGTGCATGCCTGTAATCCCAGCACTTTGGGAGGCCAAGGCAAGCAGATCTCTTCAGCCCAGGAGTTTGAGATCAGTCTGGGCAACATGGTGAAACCCCGTCTCTACAAAAAATACAAAAATTAGCTGGGCATGGTGGCAGGCACCTGTAGTCCCAGCTACTTGGGAGGGTGAGGTGGCAGGATCACTTGAGCTTGGGAAGTCAAGGCTGCAGTGAGCTGTGATCATACCATGGCACTCCAGCCTAGGCACAGAGCGAGACCCTGTCTCAAGTGTTTCAAAGAGGAAGATTTGAACTCAAGTCATCAAGAGAGGCTATGATGAAGTAGAAAGGAAGGAAGGAGAAGTTTTAGAAGAAACATTTTGTTTTAATAAAAATGAAACATGGCCAGTCACAGTGGCTCATGCCTGTAATCCCAGCACTTTGGGAGGCCGAGGTGGGCGGATCACGAGGTCAGGAGATCGAGACCATCCTGGCTAACAAGGTGAAACCCCATCTCTACTAAAAGTAGAAAAAAATTAGCCGGGCATGGTGGCGGGCGCCTGTAGTCCCAGCTACTCGGGAGGCTGAGGCAGGAGAATGGCGTGAACCCAGGAGGCGGAGCTTGCAGTAAGCCGAGATCGCCACTGCACTCTCCAGCCTGGGTGACAGAGCGAGACTCTGTCTCAAAAAAAAAAAAAAGAAACATTAGGAGAGACAGGAAGTATTAATACCAAAAGCTATGTTTAAGGATACTTACAATGAGTTTAGGAGTTCCTTTTTTTTTTTTTTTGAGATGGAATCTCACTCTGTTGCCCAGGCTGAAGTGCAGTGGCGCAATCTCGGTTCACTGTAGCGATCTCAGCTCACTGTAGCATTGGCCTCCCAGGTTCAAGTGATTCTGCTGTCTGACTTTCCCGAGTGGCTGAGACCACAGGTGCGCACCACCACGCCCAGCTAATTTTTTTTTTTTGAGACAGAGTCTCGCTCTGTCGTCCAGGCTGGACTGCAGTGGCGCGATCTCGGCTCACTGCAAGCTCAGCCTCTCGGGTTCACGCCATTCTCCTGCCTCAGCCTCCCGAGTAGCTGGGACTACAGGCGCCCGCCACCACGCCTGGCTAATTCTTTTGTATTTTTTCAGTAGAGACGGGGTTTCACCGGGTTAGCCAGGATGGTCTCGATCTCCTGACCTCGTAATCCACCCGCCTCGGCCTCCCAAAGTGCTGGGATTACAGGCGTGAGCCACTGCGCCCGGCAGTTTTTTGTGTTTTTAGTAGAGATGGGGTTTCACCATGTTGGCCAGGCTAGTCTTGAACTCCTGACCTCAGCTGATCCACCTGCCTCGGCCTCCCAGAGTGCTGAAATTAAGGCATGAGCCACCGCACCCAGCCGAGTTTAGGAGTTTCTACCTTTTCCCCTCTGCTTCTTGTAAAAGATTTAATGTGGTAGTTTCTTAAGTTTTTGCCCTCTTCTCATAAATGGAATCACTTGATCTCTGCATGGCATTCTAATGTTAGTACTCTGCCAAACTTTGCCTACCACTTTGAAATCACTTTGAACATCAAAATATTCTCTCAGGTTTTAAGAATTTGGTAATTAACTTATTTATTCCCCTTTCTCTTTATTCTAGTTTCCTCCTCTATTAAAAAATAATCGTATTTTATTGTCTGCAGGTTTTTCTTTCTTTTGGAGTGAGGCAAGGTAAATACATAAATGTCTTTAATAGATTTAAAAAAGTGAGATTCAGCTGTTTCCAAGGTTATAGAGCTAGTTAAGTGGGAAAGCTGGGAATTTGAACATGGATCTGTTTGACCTAATCTTTTTAGCTGCACCAGCCTTTAAAAATTCGGATGAGTCTTTAATTTTTTACCCAGATTGTAAGTTGTGATACCTACCTGCATAGTAAGTAGAAAGCTTTCCAGAGAGCTGGGAGGGGCAGGAGGAGCCTGGAGGCCTTTGCAAATTAAGTTTTAACTCCCATTGGCCTGACAGCACTTACCCCACATCATTGCATACAAAGGGTACTGAGGGCATCCCCAGTCTGCAGGGTCAGACCCAGCCCACACAGCTGAGAGGAGCAAACAAAACCGGTAGAGCTGGCCTTGGTAGTCGCCAGTCAAAACGAAAATTCCAGATACTTTGAGGAATGTTTCTGGCACCTCCAGGATTGAAGAGTAACCAGTTTCCTGGAGACAAAAGAATGGATGTGGGCCAAGGGGCGCCATATTTCTCAGCTCTGTCAAGCAAATGCCAGGTATCCAAGGAGTCTAGTGAAAAGCCATGGATAGCTGTGTGCCCCAATTTATTTTTAAGTCAGATTATTGAGGTATCCTTTCCGTGAGTTTTGGCAGTTGTGTAATTACCACCACAATCAAAATACAGAACATGTCCCTCTCCTCAAAATGTTTCCTCTTATCCTTTTTAGTCAGCTTCCTTCCCTGTCTCTGGCAATCACTGATATTTTTCTTATCCATATTTATTTTCTAGAATGTCATGAAAATGAAGTTATGTAATATGTAGCCTTTCGAATCTGGCTTCTTTCACTTAGTATAATGCATTTGAGACTTATCCAGGTTGTCATGTTTATTAGTAGTTCATTCTTTTTTATTGCTGAGTAGTTAGTCATTTGTATAGAAAAAAATCATGAATAAACCAGTCTAGGATGGTAAACATTTACCTCAGGTGGGGTGAACATATATCCCAATATTCGTGGGACTGATCTGATTTATGCCTATTGTCCCAGCATAATTTTTAATAGTAACTCCTTTCACTCTCAAAAGTGTCCTAGTTTGGATGATAAATTCTATGGTCACTCTAAATGAGGGCATACTGAGATGTGATTATATTTCATTTGCTTTACAATGCTGTCAAATTTGCCTTCCAGAACACCGTAATTGTATATGTTTATATTTCTTATAAGTATTATTGGTGATAATAGCAGTAATAACTTACGTGTAATCTCATTTTGATTTTCACAATATTCTCATTTTGCATTTGAGAAAACAGATTTAGAATAGAATAAATGATCTGCCAAAAATCATGAGCTAGAAAGTGATGAAAACTGTATCATCTGTTTATACATTCAGCCCTTAATCTCTCATATTAATTGGGAGGCATTACAGTGTATTCGTTAAGAATATAGGCAATGGATACAGAACACCTGGGTTCCAGTGCAGACTCTTACTTGTTTTCGTTGTTTAATCTCGGGCAAATTATTTAATCTTTTTATGCCTTTATTTTCTTACCTATAGAAAGAGGATAATATGTCTTCAGTGCCTACACCTGGCATATGGTAAATTTTTGATAAAGTCTATCTGTTATTTTTAATGATACTGTTAACACTATCGTAGTGGAATCTTTCCCCAGCAAAACCCTTTCTCCTCCCCATCCATATATATATATATATATGGATATATATATATGGACTATATATATGTGTATATATATGGATATATATGGACATGTATATATGTATATATATGGATATATATATGGACATATATATGTGTATATATATGGATATATATATGGACATATATATGTGTATATATGGACATATATATGTCCATATATATGGATATATATATGGACATATATATGTGTATATATATGGATATATATATGGACATATATATGTGTATATATATGGACATATATATGTGTATATATATGGACATATATATGTGTATATATATGTATATATATGGATATATATATGGACATATATATGTATATGCTGGAATGTTTTGTGTTTTCTCCCTTCTAATTTAAAAAATTAATTATTAATTTTTAATAGTAATGTCTCTAATTATGAAGACCTTCAGTATTTAAGAGGTGAAAGATTAATACGATCTGAAGAGAAACGAGAGTATGTCTTCGATATTTAGATAAATAGTTTAGTCTTGGTGTAGCAAATCAGTTCCAAAAACTATGTTTCTTGGAAATCTACATTTTTCAAATTTTTTATGTATCTTCTAAAATAAAAATAAGATAGGATGATGGCTAAGTCTGGGAATCATGGATTAAAATTGTGCCAACTTCTTAGGGCCTTTTTAATATATTTAAATTCCAGGAAATAGTTTAACGTGCAGCATATCCAAATGTACTTGAACACCATACAGCATCCATTAAAATCTACAGCACTACTTTGGAAATTCTGTAGTAGTATTTTACCATGAACACTATAGGTAACACTTGTATAGGATGATTTGCAAGGACCAGGAGAAGACTGGTGGCAGGAAAATCAAATAATTGTTATGGTGATTTAGGCTTGAAGTTATGGGGCTATAGTTCTGACAGTGGAAGAAGGAAGATCTGAATGGATCTGTGAAATATTTTGAAGGAAGGTTTTTTGTTTGTTTTGCTTTGGTTTGGTTTTTTTTGGAGACGGGTCTCACTATGTTGCCTAGGCTGGTATCGAACTCCTGGGCTCAAGTGACCCTCCCGCCTCAGCCTCCCAAAGTGCTGGGATTACAGGTGTGAGCCACTGTGCCCTGCCTGAAAGAAGATTTGAGAAAACTTGGTGATTTGTTAGAAGGAAGGAGAAAGGAGTCAAAATAACTCCCATGTTTCCAGTCTGAGAGAATTTTGCCAGTCATTTCAAATGTGATAGCTAGGAAGGGCAGCAAGTTGGTTTGACATTGAAGAGATTTAGATGTGTTGACTTGGACCTAGCAGTGGCTGACCGAGGAGCCAAATACAAAGAAATTAAAGAAGACCTGGGTCGAGAGAAATAACTGAAGCCATGAAAGCATATTTCTTCAATTTCAGTAGAGAGAGGAGCTGCTGGAGGAAAAGGAACCAGAAAAATGGTAAGGGAACAAGGAGAGTCAGGACAACTGTGTCGTATGAACAGAAAGAGTCAGGGAAGGGCCCTGAAGTGACGAAAGAGCTAAATGGTGATGAAGAATGAGCAATGTCTTTAGAGTTGGCTTGGCTGACTTTGATGAGCATCATCAGTGCTATAAAGGCTCCTATATAGGTTTAATTCAAGACGCATTTTTTTTTTCAGATGAGAGAGCAAAATAAAAGCAAGATTACAAAGAGTTAAAGAGAAAATGGAAGCTAAAAAGCACTCATTGTAGAAATTTGGCAGGAAAGGGAAGCAGAGAAAGAGTATAGGAGTTGATCACGGAAATCTGATCATGTTTGAAAGCAGAAGGGAGGAATAAGTTCAAAGGGAGAAATCAAAGATTTTTAAAAAGGGTTTGTGGGAGCAAAGTCCAAATTGAGGTGAGAAAGCAAGAACTGAGAAAATTAGATGAAGCTGTCCTAATTTTGGAAAAGTTAAAATAGATTCTTCTTATGAAATATTACCTCCATGTATTGGCATTTCCACCTTTTTTGCTTGTTTACTATAAGGGAGTTATACGATTAAGCCATGTTTTATAAGATAGTGATCTCATTAAGTTAAAATATTTATTTCTTCAGATTATAAAAATAATTCGTGTTTGTTGTAGAAAATAGAAAAACATGTTAAGTGATGGTGGGGGGGAGCACCCATAATCCCACCAACAATAAATAATTTCTGTTAATGTTTTGATAGACCTTTTTTGATTGGATAGATCTTACCTATATCTCTTTTGAAAAACCTGGATCTTACTATGCATTTAGTTTTCTATTCTGCTTTTTAAAATACTGTTGCTTGCCAGGTGGGATGTTGTGTGCCTATAGTCTTGGCTATTCTGGAGGCTGAAGTGGGAGAATCTCTTGAGTCCGGGAGTTTGAGGCCAGCCTGGGCAACCTATGAGACTTTATCTCTTAAAAAACAAACAAAAAAAAATACCATTGCTATGGTTTCAATGTGCGCTCCAGAGTTCACGTGTTGGAAACTTAATCCCCTATGTGACAGTGTTGAGAGGTGGGACTGTTAAGAGATGATTAGGTCATGAGGGCTCTGTCATGAATAGATTAATATTTTTATCATAGGAGCAGGTTCATTATTGTTAAAGTGGGTTTGTTATAAAAGTAACTTTGGCCCTTTTGCTTTCTGTTTTGCCCACTTACCCTTCTACCTTCCACCATGGGATGAGGAAGCAAAAAGGCCCTTGCTAGATATGGGCCCCTCAGTCTTGGACTTCCAAGCCTCTAGAACTAAACAAAATAAACCTCTGTTCTTTATAAATTACCCAGTCTCAGCTATTCTGTTGTAGTAGCACAAAACGAGCTAAGACAACCATTATTTTTGGACTTGGCTTCACTTCACAAAACAGCCTTTGAAAATAGTCTTTTTAATATTCCATTGTAAGCACCAGTCCCATTGAGATCAGCCTTGGCTTTCTTAGATCCATTCTTATCACCTTCTTTTTTTAACCTGATCTGTATTGCATTTTGAAACATAACTACAGATAATACTGTGGTTATGGAAATACTGCACATATTGAGAGTCTGGCAACTGAATTTAGGAGGAAAGGAGGAAGGAATCAGTACGTACAGGCCCTAAAGATTATCCCAGAAAAATCTCATGTTTACCTTCTCTTCTTCTCTCCTTCAGTGAAATCCTTTTTTTTTTTTTTTTTTTTTTGAGACAGAGTCTTGCTCTGTCGCCCAGGCTGGAGTGCAGTGGCACGATCTCAGCTCACTGCAAGCTCCGCCTCCTGGGTTCATGCCATTCTCCTGCCTCAGCCTCCCAAGTAGCTGGGACTACAAGTGCCCACCACCACACCTGGCTAATTTTTGTATTTTTAGTAGAGACAGGGTTTCACCGGGTTAGCCAGGATGGTCTCGATCTCCTGACCTCGTGATCTGCCCTCCTTGGCCTCCCAAAGTGCTGAGATTACAGGTGAGAGCCACCACGCCCGGCCCATTGAAATTCTTGAAGAAAAAAGTTCATGTTCACCCTTCCCTTTCATTTTTTACATGGTAGCTGCCTCATGGGAAAACTTGTGATAAGGCCCCATGAATCTCCTGGTGGGCCTTAGAAAAGAGAGGAAAAGGTTACCCATGTTAGATGAAGGAAGGATGGTAGATAGCTTATAGCTTATGTTCACCTGTCCACCTGTTGTTATCTCCTCAGAAAAATTAGTACTGTCATCTTATTTGGCTTCAATACGCTGTTTAAAGTTGGTTATTCGGATTGAAAATGTTTATTCCAGTTGAGAACAAATTGAATTCAATTAACGAAAATAGAAATGTGGTTGAATGGCATGTATTCTACGTCCTGTGATCTGCTATTAACTGTCTTTGGGTTAGTTACTTGACATCTCTGGGTTAAAAAAAATAGACTAAAGCTTTTACGTTCTAAAACCCTTTTATTTCTTATTTATGTATTGTATTATAGTGGTTATAAACTGTTTTCACCTTCAAGATTCTTGAGAGATAACTACACATACCCTTTGCCATAGTGGGAATGACTGTGTAGTAGTAACTGGAGGAGAAAGTTTCTTTGTACACAACTATGCTTTGATTTTCAAGAGGAGGAATGAAATTGCCTCGTAAAATTACAGAGTTAAATACAATGTAAGTGATAAATATATTGTAGTATATTAATGGAAAAAGAAAGCTTAACTTGATCTTGAGCTATAACTTAAGGTGTTACAAACAAAAGTCTAGATGTGTTCCATTCCTGTATGATGAGTTTTTCTCATTATTTTAAGTAGATGTGGAGTATGTGAACACTTCGAGCTGTTTAATCCTTTTTTTTTTTAAGACAGAGTTTTGCTCTTGTCACCCAGGCTGGAGTACAGTGGCTCGCTGCAACCTCTGCCTCGCGGGCTCAAGTGATTCTCCTGCCTCAGCCTCCCAAGTAGCTGGGATTACAGGCGTGTACCACCATGCTCAGCTAGTTTTATATTTTTAGTAGAGAGTGGATTTCACTATGTTGGTCAGGCTCATCTCAAACTCCTGACCTCAAATGATCCACCCACCTCGGCCGCCCAAAGTGCTGGGATTACATGTGTGAGCCACCGCTCCCAGCCTAGAGCTGTTTAATCCTTTGATTTGGCAGCCATTGTAGTAGATTATATAGAAAGATCCCTTTTCATTTTTCTGGTAGGTGACAGCTACTATGTAAAGAGAATTTATCCCTCCAATTCCTTCTACATGCTTCTGTTTTTCTACCTTCTTAGGACAATACACTAAGGGTATTAGCAAACACTGTATTGTCTTTAAGAAAATATGCACTATATCCAATGTTCAGGATAGTTATATACAGTTAGTGTATTGGCCTCTTCTCAATCTTTTATTCTCTTAAGACCTTATTTCTTTTGTTCCTTTTTTTCATTAAAAGGCAATGATAATTGCCAGTTTCTATAATCACTGTCTTCAACCCTTAATACCATTTCAGATTCTTCACTTTTTTGTGTATTATCAAATAGCACTTCAAAAGCGCATAGAGGCCTGACCATTGCTTTAAAGTAGTTTTAGTTACATTGTCAAATGCTCTTGGTGGAAAAGGGATAATCCTGTATTGTTGCCCCAACAAAGGTGCTGTCAAATATATGAGACATGAAACAAAATGGAATTTGTAGTGTATAAATCCTTTGCAATGAGACTTTACCATTACAATTATGATTTCCTTCACTCCCTTTAAAGCTTTATTGAAGTATAATTTATATACCATAAAATTCACCTGTCTTAAATGTACATACCAAAATGTACAATTTACTGATTGTAAGTATATTGTAAGTGTACACAGAATTGTGCAGTTGTCAACCCCAGTATAATTATAGAACATTTCCATCATCCCAAAAAGAAACCTTGTGCCTATATATACAATTATTCCCACTCCCATCCTAGCCTAAGACAACCACGAGTCTGCTTTCTATCTCTATAAATTTTATTTTTATAGACATTTTCATTTAAATTGAATCATATAATATGTGGTCTTTCATGTTTGGCTTCTTTCACTTAACATAGTATTCAAACATGTTGTATATGTATTGGTACTACTTTTTTTTTTTGAGATGAAGTTTCACTCTTCTTACCCAGGCTGGAGTGCAATGGCGTGATCTGGGCTCACTGCAAACTCCGCCTCCCGGGTTCAAGTAATTATCCTGCCTCAGCCTCCCAAGTAGCTAGGATTACAGGCGCCTGCCACCACGCCCAGCTTATTTTTTTTCTGTTTTTAGTTGAGACGGGGTTTCACCATGTTGGCCAGGCTGGTTTCGAACTCCTGACCTCAGGTGACCTGCCCACCTCCGCCTCCCAAAGTGTTGGTATTACAGGCGTGAGCCACCACGCCTGGCCACTTCATTCCTTTTTGATGCTGAATAAAATTCCATACAGATACACCACATTTCGTTTATTCATTCAGCAGTTGATGGACATTTGGGTTGTTTTTTGCTTTTTGGCTATTGTGAATAAGGTTATAACATTTGCATACATATCTTTGTCAGGACATATGTTTTTGTTTCTTCTGCATTTTTATGTAGGAGTAGAGTTGCTGGATCATATGATAAATCTGTATTTAGTATTTTAAGAAACTGCCATTTTCTCACCCAGGCTGGAGTGCAATGGCGTGATCTGGGCTCACTGCAACCTCCGCCTCCCGGGTTCAAGTAATATTTGGAAAATACATTTTCCAAAGTTTGAATGTATTTTTACATTCCCGTAGTAATGCGTGAGGGATCCAGTTCTTCCACATCTTTCTCAACATTGTTATTGTCTGTCTTTTTTAGTATAGCCATTCTAATGGTTACGAAGTTTTATTTCATTGCTTGTGCAACAGGTTTGCAAGTAGTTTCGACTTGCATTTTATAATGACTAATGGTGTCAAGTCCTTCATTCTTAAAAAGTTTTAGAAAACTGTTTTAGCCTCTGAAGAAATAAACATGTCTCCCATATGAAAGGGTGCAGACTATGTACGTTGTCATCTAGAGAAAAAAATGATTTTATAGATTCTTTAAAAACACATACAGGTTGAGTATTCCAAATCTAAAAATCCAAATCTGAAATGGTCCAAAATCCAAGGCTTTTTGAGCACTGAAATTTTTTGAGCACTCAAACGGAATGCTTATTGAAGCATTTGGGATTTGGGATTTGGGGTGTGTAACCAGTAAGTATATAATGGACATATTTCAAAATCTGAAAAAATAAAAGATCCAAAACACTTCTGCTTCCAAGCATTTCATGATTTCAGGTAAGGGATACTCAACCTGTATGTACATATATATTATATATGCGTGTGTGTGTGTGTGTGTGTGTGTGTGTGTGTGTGTGTGTGTGTTGCTTATTTTACATTTGTATTATTTTTATTGTAATGGAATCTTAGTATGTTGCCCTGGCTGGTCTTGAACTCCTGCACTCAGGCAATCCTCCTGCCTCGTCAGCCTACCACAGTGCTGGGATTACAGGCATGAGCCACCAACCTGGCCTGCTTTTTAAAAGTTAATATTTGTGGCCAGTCGCAGTGGCTCATACCTGTAATCCCGGCACTTTGGGAGGCTGAGGTGGGTGGATCACTTGGGGTCAGGAGTTCAAGACCAGCCTAGCTAACGTGGCGAAACCCCATCTCGACTAAAAATAGAAAAATTAGCTGGGTGTGATGGCAGGCACCTATAGTCCCATCCAGGCAGGAGAATCGCTTGAATGCGAGAGGCGGAGGTTGCAGTAAGCTGAGATCGCACCACTCACTCCAACCTGGGCGACAAAGCGAATTAAGAAAAAAAAAAAAGTTAGTATTTGCATGATACTTTTTTCCCCCCTTCCTTTTACTTTCTGCATGCCTACATCATTATTTTTGAAGTGAGTTTCTTGTGGACAACGTATAATTAGGTCATGTTTCTGAATTTACTCCATCAATCTCTGGCTTTTAATTAACTAAATGACTTTTAGACCATTTACATATAATACAGTTATCAGTATGTCAGAGCTTAAGTCTATCAGTTTATTTTTTGTTTTCTGTTCTCTCTGTTCTTTGGTTTCCCTGGTTTTATTTGTTGGTTTGTTATTTTGTTTTGTTTGCCTTTCTCCAGGTTACGTAAACACGTTTCTCATTCCATTTTGATTTCCCTATAGTGTTTTTGAGTATAATTCTTGATAATTCAGTGATAGCTCTAGTTATTACATTATACATATCACAGTCTACTTATGTGGTCATTTTACCAGTTTGAGTGAAATGTAGAAATCTTACCTCTTTTTATGTCCCTTTAACCTCCACCACTTATCCTATAAAAGTCTTAGTTTCTTTACCTGTATTTTGAACAACATCAGATAGTGTTATAATTTTTACTTCAACAATTAAACATAATTTGGAAAACTCAAGAATGAAAGTCTATTGCATTTTCTTATATTTTTGCTCACCATTTTCTGTCTCCCTGGTGTTCCTAGATGCCTTCTTTCATCATTTGTTTGTTTGTTTGTTCATTTGTTTTGTTTGGCTAAAGAGAACTTCCTGTAGTCATTCTTTTAGGGTAGATCTGCTGGTAACAAATTCTCTTAATTTTCTTTCATCTGAGATTGTCAGTTTTCTTTTCATTCCTGAAGGATATTTTTACTGAACATAGGATTCTGGGTTGACACTTCTTTTCTTATAGCACTTGAAAAATGTGCCATTCCTTCTAACTATTCCCCAGTTGTCTCCATCTCCTCTCTAATGAACACCAAGTAGTTATTATAAATTAATTTCATTTTTGTGGATACTTTTTTCCTTATGTGCTCCGATGTATACCAGTTTTCCTCTACTTCTGGTGCACAGCCTTCATCTTGGGACCTTCTTTCATAATCATCCTGGGAAATACCTTCCATATATCCTGTTGGATTTCCATTTCTTATCTTTCTTTTTTTTGGTTTATCCTTCTCTTATTGCTTACTGTGAAGAAATTTTTGGGAACTCTGTGTATCTGAAGATACGTTTCTCTTACCCTCACACTTGATAATTTGGCTGGATATAAAATTTTAGGTTGCCTGAGAATTTTGAAGGCTTTACTCTGTATCTGTCATTTTTACATGACCAAGTTTGGATTTTAGGATTTATTTTTTATTTGTTTGTATATTTTCACCTTCTCTAGCTTCCCTACTACTGTGAAATGTAGCAATGATGTACCTTGTAGGTCTGTTTTCATCCATTATGATACACTTTCCATCTAGAAATTTATGTCCTTCAACCTTGTACAGTTTTCTTAAATTATCTCTTTGTTTGATTTCTCTTTTACTGTCTTGTACTCTTTCTAAAATTCTTTTTATTTGGATGTTGGTCCCTCTAAACCAGTCTTCTGGTTTTTTTTTTCTTCCTATGTTCTGGGAGATAGCTTCAGGTTTCTCTTCCAACTTCTGTTGAGTTTTTTACTATCTTTATTATGTCCTATTTTTAATTTTTAAGAGTATTTTTGTTGGGTTTTTTGTCCCATTTTTGTTTTATAGATGCAATTCTTTAAAATATTTTTTAGAAGTAGGTTTATCAAAGTACAATTTACATACAATAAAAATTCACCCTTTTTAGTGTATAGCTCTATTAGTTTTGATAATTAGGTAACTACCACCTTAGTTGACATACAGTTCTTTGGAAACAGACCACCATTGATGTTAGTATTTTAGAGAGAAGCGTGTGTGTGTGTGTGTGTGTGTGTGTGTGTGTGTGTCTGTGTCTGTGTGTCTATGTGTCTGTGTGTCTGTGTGTTACAAGATTAGTCAGAATTCCTAAGAAAGTATCCTCTGTACTCTTCCCTGGAGTGTATAAGCCTGGTTGCAAGCCTCTGTGAGGCAAGAAGCAGAAAGATTAGCGGTCTCAACATTTAGTATGTAAACTTTCACTTGATCATCCCCCTTTTTAGAATATGTTCCTAGGCTGGGTGCAGTGGCTTACACCTGTAATCCCAACACTTGGATAGGCCAAGGTGGGTGGATCACTTGAAGTCAGGAGTTTGAGACCAGCCTGGCCAATATGGTGAAACCCCATCTCTACTAAAAATACAGAAATTAGCCAGGCATGGTGACGGGAGCCCGTAATCCCAGGTACTCAGGAGGCTGAGGCAGGAGAATCACTTGAGCCTGGGAGGCAGAGGTTGCAGTGAGCCGAGATCGTGCCACTGGACTTCAGCCTGGGCAATAGAGTGAGACTCCATCTCAAAAAAAAAAAAAAAAAAGAATATGTTCCTCCCAAGGACTCTGTTTTACGTTTTCTAGAGAATAAAACTCGTTTTTTTACTGGAATGAGAAAGAGGATCTAGTGAGCCAACTGTGTCTTAAATGGATATTCAATCTATCTACTTGTTCTTAGGGTTACCTTTATCTCCACTTCTTTTATTTCTTTATTTATTTTTTATTCTTTAAGTGCCAGGGTACATGTGCACAACATGCAGGTTTGTTACATAGGTATACATGTGCCATGTTGGTTTGCTGCACCTGTCAGCTTGTCATTTACATTAGGTATTTCTAATGCTGTCCCTCCCCCACCCCCCACCCCATGACAGGCCCTGGTGTGTGATGTTCCCCGCCCTGTGTCCAAGTGTTCTCATTGTTCAGTTCCCACCTGTGAGTGAGAACATATGGTGTTTGGTTTTCTGCCCTTGTGATAGTTTGCTGAAAATGATCGTTTCCAGCTTCATTCATATCCCTGTTAAGGACGTGAACTCATCCTTTTTTATGGCTGCGTAGTATTCCATGATATATATGTGCCACATTTTCTTAATCCAGTTTATCATTGATGGACATTTGCGTTGGTTCCAAGTCTTTGCTACTGTGAATAGTGCTGCAATAAACATACATGTTCATGTGTCTTTATAGTAGCATGATTTATAATCCTTTGGGTATATACCCAGTAATGGGATCACTGGGCCAAATGGTATTTCTAGTTCTAGATCCTTGAGGAATCACCACACTGTCTTCCACAATGGTTGAACCAATTTACATTCCCACCAACAGTGTAAAAGTGTTCTTGTTTCTCCACATCCTCTCCAGCATCTGTTGTTGCCTGACTTTTTAATGATCACCATTCTAACTGGCATGAGACGGTATCTCATTGTGGTTTTGATTTGCATTTCTCTGATGACCAGTGATGATGAGCATTTTTTCATATGTCTGTTGGCTGCATAAATGTCTTCTTTTGAGATGTGTCTGTTCATATCCTTTGCCCACGTTTTGATTGGGTTGTTTGTTTTTTTCTTGACAATTTGTTTAAGTTCTTTGTAGATTTTGGATATTAGCCCTTTGTCAGATGGGTAGATTGCAAAAATTTTCTCCCGTTCTATAGGCTGCCTGTTCACTCTGATGGTAGTTTCTTTTGCTGTGCAGAAGCTCTTTAGTTTAATTAGATCCCATTTGTCTATTTTGGCTTTTGTTGCCATTGCTTTTGGTGTTTTAGTCATGAAGTCCTTGCCGATGTCTGTGTCCTGAATGGTATTGTCTAGGTTTTCTTCTAGGGTTTTTATGATTTGGCATCTAAGATTTAAGTCTTTAATCCATCTTGAATTAATTGTTGTATAAGGTGTAAGGAAGGGATCCAGTTTCAGCTTTCTACATATGGCTAGCCAGTTTTCCCAGCACCGTTTATGAAATAGGGAATCCTTTCCCCATTGCTTGTTGTCAGGTTTGTCAAAGATCAGATGGTTGTAGATGTGTGGTGTTATTTCTGAGGTCTCTGTTCTGTTCCATTGGTCTATATATCTGTTTTGGTACCAGTACCATGCTGTTTTCGTTACTGTAGCCTTGTAGTATAGTTTGAAGTCAGGTAGCATGATGCCTCCAGCTTTGTTCTTTTTGCTTAGGATTGTCTTGGCAATGCAGGCTCTTTTTTGGTTCCATATGAACTTTAAAGTAGTTTTTTCCAATTCTTCCAAGAAAGTCATTGGTAGCTTGATGGGGATGACGTTGAATCTATAAATTACCTTGGGCAGTATGGCCATTTTCACGATATTGATTCTTCCTATCCATGAGCATGGAATGTTCTTCCATTTGTTTGTGTCCTCTTTCATTTCATTGAGCAGTGGTTTGTAGTTCTCCTTGAAGAGGTCCTTCACATCCCTTGTAAGTTGGATTCCTAGGTATTTTATTCTCTTTGTAGCAATTGTGAATGGGAGTTCACTCATGATTTGGCTCTGTTTGTCTGTTATTGGTATATAGGAATGCTTTTGATTTTTGCACATTGATTTTGTGTCCTGAGACTTTGCTGAAGTTGCCTATCAGCTTAAGGAGATTTTGGGCTGAGATGATGGGGTTTTCTAAATATACAATCATGTCATCTGCAAACAGGGACAATTTGACTTCCTCTTTTCCTAATTGAATACCCTTTATTTCTTTCTCTTGCCTGATTGCCCTGGCCAGAACTTCCAACACTGTGTTGAATAGGAGTGGTGAGAGAGGGCATCCGTGTCTTGTGCCAGTTTTCAAAGGGAATGCTTCCAGTTTTTGCCCATTCAGTATGAGATTGGCTGTGGGATTGTCATAAATAGCTCTTATTATTTTGAGATATGATTCTTCAGTACCTAGTTTATTGAGAGTTTTTAGCATGAAGGGCTGTTGAATGTTGTCAAAGGCCTTTTCTGCATCTATTGAGATAATCATGTGGTTTTTGTTGTTGGTTCTGTTTATGCGATGGATTACGTTTACTGATTTGCATCTGTTGAACCAGCCTTGCATCCCAGGGATGAAGCCGACTTGATCGTGGTGGATAAGGTTTTGATGTGCTGCTGGATTCGGTTTGCCAGTATTTTATTGAAGATTTTCGCATCAGTGTTCATCAGGGATATTGGTCTAAAATTCTCTTTTTTTGTTGTGTCTCTGCCAGGCTTTGGTATCAGGATGATGCTGGCCTCATAAAATGAGTTAGGGAGGATTCCCTCTTTTTCTATTGATGGAATAGTTTCAGAAGGAATGGTACCAGCTCCTCTTTGTGCTTCTGGTAGAATTCGGCTGTGAATCTGTTTGGTCCTGGACTTTTTTTGGTTGGTAGGCTATTAATTATTGCCTCAATTTCAGAGCCTGTTATTGGTCTATTCAGCAATTGAACTTCTTCCTGGTTTAGTCTTGGGAGGGTGTACGTATCCAGGAATTTATCCATTTCTTCTAGATTTTCTAGTTTATTTACATAGAGGTGTTTATAGTATTCTCTGATGGCAGTTTGTATTTCTGGGGCATCAGTGGTGATATCCCCTTTATCAATTTTTATTGCATCTATTTGATTCTTCTCTGTTTTCTTCTTTATTAGTCTTGCTAGCAGTCTATCAATTTTGCTGATCTTTTCAAAAAACCAGCTCCTGGATTCATTGATTTTTTTTGAAGGGTTTTTGTGTCTCTATCTCCTTCAGTTCTGCTCTGATCTTAGTTATTTCTTGCCTTCTGCTACCTTTTGAATTTGTTTGCTCTTGCTTCTCTAGTTCTTTTGATTGTGATTTTAGCATGTCGATTGTAGATCTTTCCTGCTTTCTCTTGGGGGCATTTAATGCCATAAATTTCCGGCTACACACTGCTTTAAATGTGTCCCAGAGATTCTGGTTCGTTGTGTCTTTGTTCTCATTGGTTTCAAAAAACATCTTTATTTCTGCCTTCTTTCATTATTTACCCAGTAGTCATTCAGGAGCAGGTTGTTCAGTTTCCAAGTAGTTGTATGGTTTTGAGTGAGTTTCTTAATCCTGAGGTCTAATTTGATTGCACTGTGGTCTGAGAGGCAGTTTGCTGTGATTTCTGTTCTTTTACATTTCCTGAGGAGTGCTTTACTTCCAACTATGTGGTCAATTTTGGAATAAGTGCGATGTGGTGCTGAGAAGAATGTATATTCTGTTGATTTGGGGTGAAGAGTTCTGTAGATGTCTGTTAGGTCAGCTTGGTGCAGAGCTGAGTTCAAATCCTGGGCATCCTTGTTAACCTTCTGTCTCACTGATCTGTCTAATATTGACAGTGGAGTGTTGAAGTTTCCCATTGTTATTGTGTGGGAGTCTAAGTCTCTTTGTAGGTCTCCAAGGACTTGCTTTATGAATCTGGGTGGTCCTGTATTGGGTGCATATATATTTAAGATAGTTAGCTCTTCTTGTTGAATTGATTCCTTTACCATTATATAATGGTCTTCTTTGTCTCTTTTGATCTTTGTTGGCTTAAAGTCTGTTTATAAGAGACCAGGACTGCAAACCCTGCTTTTTTTTTGCTTTCCATTTACTTGGAAGATCTTCCTCCATCCCTTTATTTTGAACCTGTGTGTATCTTTGCACGTGAGATGGGTCTCCTGAATACAGCACACCGATAGGTCTTGACTCTTTATCCAATTTGCCAGTCTGTATCTTTTAATTGGGGCATTTAGCCCATTTACATTTAAGGTTAATGCTGTTATGTATGAATTTGATCCTGTCATTATGATGCTAGCTAGTTATTTCACCTGTTAATTGATGCAGTTTCTTCATAGCATCGATGGTCTTTACAATTTGGCATATTTTTGCAGTGGCTGGTACTGGTTGTTCGTAACCATGTTTAGTGCTTCCTTCAGGAGCTCTTGTAAGGCAGGCTTGGTGGTGACAAAATCTCTTGGTATTTGCTTGTCTGTAAAGGATTTTATTTCTCCTTCACTTATGAAGCTTAGTTTGGCTGGATATGAAATTCTGGGTTGAAAATTCTTTTCTTTCAGAATGTTGAATATTGGCCCCCACTCTCTTCTGGCTTGTAGGGTTTCTGCCGAGAAATGCGCTGTTAGTCTTCCCTTTGTGGGTAACCTGACCTTTCTCTCTGGCTGCCCTTAACATTTTTCCCTTCATTTCAACCTTAGTGAGTCTGACAATTAAGTGTCTTGGGGTTGCTCTTCTTGAGGAGTATCTTTGTGGTGTTCTCTGTATTTCCTGAATTTGAACGTTGGCCTGCCTTGCTAGGTTGGGGAAGTTCTACTGAATAATACCCTGAAGAGTGTTTTCTGACTGGTTGCATTCTCCCCGTCACTTTCAGGTACACAATCAAACATAGATTTGGTCTTTTCACATAGTCCCATGTTTCTTGGAGGCTTTGTTCGTTTCTTTTCACTCTTTTTTCTCTAATCTTGTCTTCTTGCTGTATTTCATTAATTTGATCTTCATTCACTTATATCCTTTCTTCCACTTGATCAAATCAGCTATTAAAGCTTGTGTATGCTTTATGAAGTTCTCGTACTGTGATTTTCAGCTCCATGATGTCATTTAAGTTCTTCTCTACACTGGTTATTCTAGTTAACCATTTGTCTAACCTTTTTTCAAGGTTTTTGGCTTCCTTGCAACAAGTGAGAACATGCTCCTTTAGCTTGGAGAAGTTTGTTATTACCGACCTTCTGAAGCCTAATTCTGTCAACCTGTCAAACTCATTCTCCATCCAGTTTTGTTCTCTTGCTGGTGAGGAGTTGTGTTCCTTTGGTGGAGAAGAGGTGTTCTGATTTTTTGAATTTTCAGCCTTTCTGCTCTGGTTTCTCCCCATCTTTGTGGTTTTATCTACCTTTGGTGTTTGATGTTGGTGACTTACGGATGGGGTTTTGGTGTGGATGTCCTTTTTGTTGATGTTGATGCTATTCCTTTCTGTTTGTTAGTTTTCCTTCTAATAGACAGGCCCCTCAGCTGCAGGTCTGTTGGAGTTTACTGGAGGTCCACTCCACACCCTGTTTGCCTGGGTATCACCAGCAGAGGCTGCAGAACAGCAAATATTGCTGCCTGATCCTTCCTCTGGAAGCTTCATTCCAGAGGGGAACCCACCTGTATGAGGTGTCAGTCGGCCTCTACTAGGAGGTGTCTCCCAGTTAGGCTACACAGGGGTCAAGGACCCACTTGAGGAGGCAGTCTGTCCATTCTCAGAGCTCAAACGTCGTGTTGGGAGAACCACTGCTCTCTTCAGAGCTATCAGACTGGGAAGTTTAAGTCTGCAGAAGTTTCTGCTGCCTTTTGTTCAGCTATGCCCTGACCCCAGAGGTGGAGTGTTAGAGGCAGCAAGCCTTGCAGAGCTGCAGTGGGCTCTGCCCAGTTCGAGCTTCCCCCAGCCACTTTGTTTACCTACTCAAGCCTCAGCAGTGGCGGACGCCCCTCCCCCTGCCAGGCTGCTGCTTCGCAGGTCTATCTCAGACTGCTGCGCTGGCAGTAAGCAAGGCTCCGTGGGCGTGGGACCTGCCGAGCCAGGCATAGGATAGAATCTCCTGGTCTGCCATTTGCTAAGACCATTGGAAAAGTGCAGTATCTGGGCTAGAGTGTCCCGTTTTTCCAGGTAGAGTCTGTCATGTATTCCCTTGGCTAGGAAAGGGAAATCTCCTGACCCCTAGCGCTTCCCGGGTGAGGTGACACCCTGCCCTGCTTCAGCTCGCCCTCTGTAGGCTGCATCCACTGTCCAGCCAGTCCCAGTGAGATGAACCAGGTACCTCAGTTGGAAATGCAGAAATCACCCGTCTTCTGTGTTGATCACCCTGGGAGCTGCAGACCGGAGCTGTTCCTATTATAATGGCCATCTTGGAATGGACTTGCCATCTCTACTTCTTGATGTCCTTGGTATTGCCAGTTCCTGAACGTTTAGGGGATTCTGCATTTTGCTTTCCTCATTGCCAATTTAGGATCTGGCTTTCTCACATCTGCTGAGTCAGTTACCACTTTTATTTATTTATTTATTACTAATTATTATTTTTTCGAGACAGAGTCTTGCTCTGTCACCCAGGCTGGAGTGCAGTGGCATGATCTTGGCTCACTGCAACCTCAGCCTCCCGGGTTCAAGCGATTCTCCTGCCTCACCTCCCAGGTAGCTGGGATTACAGGTCCCACCACCACGCCCTGCTAATGTTTGTATTTTTGTAGAGACAGGGTTTCACCATGTTTGACAGGCTAGTCTTGAACTCCTGACCTCAGGTGATCCGCCTGCCTCAGCCTCCGAACTTGCTGGGATTACAGGCATGAGCCACCACACCTGATCAAGTTACCACTTTTAGCTTTGCATTTTCCAAAATGTTATTGCCATCACCTGAACTTCTCCTGTCTTTGTCCTCATGGGTTTTATGTCTTTACAAACCTTTTATTGTCATTTAATCAGGTTTCAAGGAAGGGTAGAGGTAATTGCATGTGTTCAATCCATTCTTTTAAACTAAAAGTCCCCTTTTTTGAAAAAAAAAATCTCACATTGTAGCATTGTGGACAAGACCCTTTGTGATCTAACTTCTATCTCTAGCCTCATTTAAGTCGCCCCCAATGTAAGCTCCAGCCACAAGTGTCTACTTAAGAGATTGCCAAACAAACCGTGTTGCTTCACGCCTTTCAGTTCTGCACATGCTAGTTTGTCAGTGTGCTGATTTGTCTGAGTAACCTTCTGTCAGAGTACTTATTGTATTATTGCAGTTATTTATTTACTTTTCAAAAAATCTCACTCTAGAGGTTTCTTAACCTGGGATACAGGTGGAAGGGTTGTCCATTAATTAGCTGTAAGAAATCTTTCGCTGAAATTATTTGTAAAATTTCATGTGTATGTTCATATTTTTGGAGAATTGAGAATATGCCTCAAAAATACTTGTGGAGCTTTTTAAAAATATAATTGCTTTGGGCTCCACTGCAGAGAGAGACAGTATTATACTGAGTTACAGTCTCTTAAGTTAGAGCCCACAAAAATCCATTTTCAAAAAGTTTCCTAAATGATTCTTTAAAACAGGATCTCTGAGCACCATCTACATTAACGCCAGGGCCTGGCTTATAGTGAATGCTTAGTAGATGTTTAAAGAAAGAATAAGGGAGCAACTTACATTCAGGGCATGACCTAAAATAAATTTCCAACGTGAAACCAGAGTGCAAGTGAGAAAATCACAAATTTCTTCTGTTATATAAATTAAGTCATAGCATTTGTTTCCATCAACATGCCCTCTTTAGACCCTCTTTAGATATAATTAGTAAAATAGGAGGGCATTGATTTTTTTTTTTTTCAAAGGTAGAGGAGAGCTTTGGAGAGCTGTCTGCAAAAATGAAAGAAGAATTTAAGGATTAGGCATAGGACAAGTCAGTTGTATGTAGTCCAATTTTGGTTCCTCTCATTGCTTAGGGTTGTTTTGACCCAGTGATTTAGTTGCACAGTTTTAGGTTTCTGTACATTTGGATGTCATAGATACCACCACCTTATACACCTTATTTCATAACCTGTGTGTTTATTAAATGGCTAGTGACATGGAAAATGGGGAGATTGATGTGTTGCTTTGGCACAAAAAAATACATACAATATTATTGTCACTGGTTCCAATTAAAGAATGAGGACAGGCTGGGCACAGTGGCCCATGCCTGTAATCCCAGCATTTAGGGAGGCTGAGGCGGATGGATCACCTGAGGTCAGGAGTATGAGATCAGCCTGAACAACATGGTGAAACCCCGTCTCTACTGAAAAAATATAAAATTAGTCGGGCATGGTGGCACAAGCCTATAATCCCAGCTACTTGGGAGACTGAGGCAGGAGAATTGCTTCAACCCAGGAGGCGGAGGTTGCAATGAGCCAAGATCGTGCCATCGCACTCCAGCCTGGGCAACAGAGCAAAACTCCATCTCAAAAAAAAAAAAAAGAATGAGGACAGAAAGATCCTTAATTTCCTGGAATGCCTTGCCTTGTGCTTCCTCTATGTTTAAGGTTTTTAAAAATGTGTAAATTAAAATGATGTCCTCTGCCTTTTTTATATAGCATTGTGCTACTGTTGTATGTTTGTGTGTGTGTTAAAAATGATCAGACTCTTTTTGCTGTTTTAATTTTCTATTTTATTTTATTGTCTAGGTACTTAAGAGATTATGGCATCAGAAACCCACAATGTTAAAAAACGGAACTTTTGTAATAAGATTGAGGATCATTTCATTGATCTTCCTAGAAAAAAGATCTCTAATTTCACTAATAAGAACATGAAGGAGGTAAGTCTATGGTTTCTAGAAAACAGATAAGACAATTTAAACGGTTAGGTCTCTAGATATCTCTGGTTGAATTGTTTAAACAATGGGAGGATAATAATTCTGCTTAATCTCCCAGAATTAAGTTGAATTGGTGAAATATAACCAATGTATTTCTTTTTTTTTCTTTGTTAGGTCTTAACCATTTTATTTCTATAAGCTCTAAAAGGTTTTTAATCGGGCTGGGCATGGTGGCTTATGCCTGTAATTCCAGCACTTTGGGAGGCCGAGGTGGGTGGATCACCTGAGGTCAGGAGTTCAAGACTAGCCTGGCCAACATGGTGAAACCCTGTGTCTACTAAAAATACAAAAATTATCTGGGCATGGTGGTGGGTGCCTGTAATCCCAGCCACTTGGGAGGCTGAGGGAGGAGAATCACTTGAACCCGGGCGGTGGAAGTTGCAGTGAGCTGAGATCGCGCCATTGCATTCTAGCCTGGGTGACAAGAGCAAAACTCCATATCAAAAAAAAAAAAAAAGTTTTTAGTCAGTATGCTGTTTCAATATGATATAATTTAAATATTTTAGTTAAAGAGGAATTCCAGAGGTGCTTTGTGTTCACTATTGTAAGGTTCATTAGCACTGGTATACTTTCTTTTAAACCACATTTAGGCCAGGCATGGTGGCTCATGCCTATAATCCCAGCACTTTCGGAGGCTGAGGCAGGAGGATTGCTTGAACCCAGGAGTTCAAGCCCAGCCTGGACAACATAGTGAGACTCCATCTCTACCAAAAAAACTTTTTTCAACTAGCCAGGCATGGTGGCATGCACCTGTGGTCCTAGCTACTGGGGAGGCTGAGGTAGGAGGATCACTTGAGCCCAGGGCGTTAAGGCTACAGTGAGCTGTGTTCATACCACTGCACTTCAGCCTGGGTGACAGTGCGAGATCCTATCTCTAAAACAACAACAGCAACAAGAAAAGAGATTAAAATTTAACTCACTTGTTAAGCATCCTGTAAGTTACAATATAATTTGCAACTAGAAGTGTGGAAAATAGGGAGCTGGATGTTGTATTATTCCGTTTTCATGCTGCTGATAAAGACATACCTGAGACTGGGTAATCTCTAAAGAAAAAGAGATTTAATGGACTCACAGTTCCATGTGGCTAGAAAGGCCTCACAATCATGTCGGAAGGCAAAAGGCACATTTTACATACGTGGCAGCAGACGAGAGAATGAGAACCAATTGAAAGGGGTTTCCCCTTATAAAACCATCAGATCTCGTGAGACTTATTCACTACCACAAAAACAGTATTGGGGAAACCGCCCCCATGATGCAATTATCTCCCACTGAGTCCCTCCCACAACACTTGGCAATTATGGGAGCTATAATTCAAGATGAGATTTGGGTGGGGACACAGCAAAACCATATCAGATATGTTGCTTTACCAAAAATAACTACATATGATGTTGTTGTATGTTGATTCAGACTACAGAATTAGAACAGAGAAAACATTAATCTGAAAAACTTATCTGTTGAATTTTAGATTTGTTGATATCAATCACAAAATTTACATAACTATTAATGAACTTAAATATGCCTCAATTATTAAGTACATTGAGTTCTGAGTTCCTCTTCAAAGAACCAGTATGTCAGTATGTTCAGCTTCCTTATATTTTGTTCTCCATTTTAAAGTTTAACTTCCTCATTCTTTATGCCTCCTTGCCCCTAGTTTCCAGTAAACAACCCCCTTCTAGCCTTTATACTCACATATTTAGAGTTCTTAGTCATCCTTAGTCACCTGCTCTGTCCTCAGTCATCTTAGTCACCTGCTCTGTAACCATCCTTCCCGCTGAAACTGCTCTCCCACCACTCCAGCTCATACCCCTGCTCTCTTTAAAATAGCCTATCAGAATTAGCTTAGACTGTGCGGTCCAACCCTAGCCAATAGGGGAACAACATAGCAGTAGGGACTAGCTGCGTTAGGGATAAGAACTCCTTCCTCCCCCTTGTCCAGTGTGCTTTTGCAACCACTCCAGGCGTGATTGGCACCCTTCTGCAGAAGTAAATTGCCTTGCTGAGAAAGCCTTTTGCCAGAGTGCTGATTCTTCTTTGCGGCATTGAGCATTTGTTTCTAACAAATTTGGGGGCCAGTCCGGGATTCCCATTCTCCTCTGGGCAAGGGTCCCTGGTCCTCTCCCATGAGGAGGCACGCCCTGCAGCCTCATTGCGGTGGCCTTGTGTAAGGAATCGAGGCCCACCCAGTGTGATGAATAAACCCGGACTCTCAGCAACGCAGGAAGAAACAGACCAACAACTTGGGGGAAAAAAAATAATCACATACCAGGTAACCCTGTGCATAGACCAAGGTAAGAAACGTCACAAGAGTGACAAAGTATTTCCTTGGTGGTCGGGGTATCTTGGAGGTTGAAAGTGTGTGAATGAGATGCACAACTGAGTGCAAAGCGAGTGTTGAGTCCGGATTTGTGGTTTCGTAGTCACCTCATACAGCTTAGGGCAGCCCTCCTGTAAAGGAGTCTGGGTTGGAGTTTATACCAACCTGCCAATCCCAAGAGGGATCTGACATTCCCATTAGGGAAGCAGCCAGAGAAGGATAAAGCGAAAGTAGAAGAATGTGAGAAGCCTCCAGCAGGGGGGTGTTGAGCCTCTAGGAAAGGAAGGCATGAAATCTCCAGTAGGGGGGATTGAGCCTCACACAAACCTCCAGTAGTCGGGAAGGCAAAAAATTTCCAGTAGGGGAAATTGAGCCTCACCCCAAAAGTCAAGAAATCTCCAGTAGGGGAGATTGAGCCTTACCCCAAAACCATCAAGATGGGAAATACCCCAAGTAAGGTAAGGGATTAAAAAGTATAAAGCTAGCAACAATAATATTCCCCCTGATAGTCCCCTAGGCCTAATGTTGAAATGTTAGAAGAATAATGAAAAGACTTTAGAGAAATGATAATAAAAAGAATTCAAGAGTCTAAACCCCGCATCCAAAACATTACAAAAGCTTTCAATAACAAGGAAAAGATGAAAGACCTGTAAAATTCCTAAAAAGACTCAAAGAGCAAATGAGAAAATATGCAGGTCTAGAATTAGAAGACCCCCCCAGATGAAGGATGTTAAAGCTTCATTTTGTAACTAATAGTTGGCCAGATATTAACAAGAAATTACAAAAGATAGAGAACTGGGAAGGCAGATCTATAGAAGAGCTTCTAAGAGAAGCCCAAAAAGTATATGTAAGAAGAGATGAAGAGAAAAGCAGAAGGCAAAAATTCTGCTGTCCACCATACAACAAAGTATCCATGGGGCCAGAACCTGTAAGGAAGCTAGACCCCCGCTCTCCAGGCAATATGAAGGGTACAAAAGAGTAAAGCCAGGAGGCTCAAAGGTAGAAAAGAAAAAAGGACAGAACGAATGTTTCAAATGTGGAAAATTAGGTCACTTTAAAAGAAAATGTCCCGAATGAGAAAAGGAAGAAAAAGTCATGCCACTTAGAGCTTTTGAGGAAGACTAGGGAAGTCAGGGGCTATATCTTTTTTTATCTTGAGTCCCACCAACAGCCCTTGATAAATTTACAAGTGGGACCTAAATTTGAGCTTATTACCTTTTTAATCAACTCAGGAGCAGCTCGCTCCTCAGTTTGTTACTTTCCATCTAGTGTAACTTGTTCACAAGAAGAACTTTTTATCTCAAGGGTAAAAGGAGAAGGGTTTAGAGCAAAACTCTTAGAGGAGACACAAGTGAAATATAAAAACTGATCAGCTAGTATCAAATTTATTAATTCCGGATGCAGGGACAAATCTATTAAGAGAATTAATTCTAAAATTAGGCTTAGGCCTCCAAATCAATCATGGAAAATTCCTCCCCTTCCTAAACTTGCTCACCACCACAGACAAAGAACACATTCATCCCAAGGTATGGTCAAAAGATGGGAATCAAGGAAGGTTACAGATTCCTCCAATTCATGTTAAAATTAAAAAACCCTAGGGAAATGTAAAGAGAAAGCAACACCCTATTCCTTTAAAAGCCAGGGTAAATTTAAAACCTATAATTGAAGGTCTTCTCCATGATGAGCTTCTTGAACCCTGTATGTCTCCCTATAACACTCCAATACTGCCTGTAAAGAAGCCAGACAGGTCATACCAGTTAGTGTAAGACCTTAGAGCTATTAATCAGATAGTCCAAACCACCCACCCTGTTGTTACTAGTAACTGTCCCCATCCTAGCTTTACCTTCCCCTAGAACTGCCTTTTCATCTCTTTGTCAATGTAAACAAAACAGTAGCCTTAGGAGTACTCACTCAAAAACACGGGGGCCACCGGCAGCCCATAGCCTTTTTGTCAAAAATTCTTGACCCTGTAATCTGAGGGTGGCCTAAATGTATTCAATCTGTAGCAGCAACAGCCCTATTAACAGAAAAAAAAGAAAAAATTAACTTTTAGAAGGAACTTCATTGTCAGTACACCTCACCAAGTCAAAACTATCCTTAATCAGAAGGCAGAAAGGTGGCTTATTGAATCAATAATTTTAAAATACGAAGCTATCCTGTTAGAGAGCGTTGATTTAACACTAACCACTGATAATTCGCTTAACCCAGCAGGTTTCCTGACTGAGAATCCAAATTTAAAGAGACCTGAGCATGAGTGTTCAGATTTAATTGTCATACTAAAGTCAGACCTGATTTAAGAAAGACCCCTTTCAAATGGGGCAGCACTTATTTATAGATGGCTCTTCCTGGGTAATTGAAGGAAAAAGACATAATGGGTACTCAGTAGTCAATGGGGAACTCCTTGCAGAAGTAGAGTCAGGAATACTACTCAGTAATTGGTCTGCCCAAACATGTAAATTGTTTGCATTAAATCAAGCCTTTAAAGCATCTGCAGAGCCAAGAAAGGACTATTTATATTGATTTCAAAGATGCCTTCTGGGTAGCTCACACCTTTGAAAAAAAAAAAATTGGAGCAAACAAGGTCTTCAAAGGCCAAGACCTGGTCCACAAGAATTAATCACTCAAGTATTAGATAACCTCCAGTTGCCAGAAGAAATAGCTGTTGTCCATGTCCCAGGACATCAAAGAGATATCTCTTTTGAAAGCTGGGGGAACAACCTTGCAGATCAAATAGCCAAACAAGCTGCCATTTCCTCTGAAATGCCTGTTTTTCACTTAACCCCTTGCCTTCTTCCCCCAACTGCAGTTCCCATCTTCTTTCCCACTGAAAAAGAGAAATTAATAAAAATAGGGGCCAAAGAAAATTCAGAAGAGAAATGGGTGTTACCAGACCAAAGAAAAATGTTATCCAATTCCCTTATGAGAGACCTCTCTCATCTGCATCAAGAGACTCATTGGGGACCTCAAGCTATGTGTGATGCAGTCCTTTGGGTTTATGGATGTGTAGCAATTTACACTTTGACATGACAGGTTACAGATAGTTGCCTAGTATTTAGGATGACTAATAAGCAGACCCTCAGAAAACCACCTCTTAGGGGAAGGTATCTGGAATTAAGACTGTTCCAAAGTATCCAAGTTGATTACGCCAAGATGCCCCAAATTGGTTGTCTAAAATATTTATTAGTAATAGTAGATCACCTTACTCATTGGGTAGAAGCTATTTCCTTTCAAGTGCAACTGCTAATAATGTAGTCAAAACATTAGTTGAAAATATTATACCCAGGTTTGGATTAATAGGAAACATTGATTCAGATAATGGAACTCATTTCATTGCACATGTCATTAAGAAATTAGCCCAGGTACTGGATATAACATGGGAAATCATACTCCCTGGCACCCACCTTCATCAGGAAGAGTGGGGAAAAAAATGAACCAAACTCTAAAAAGCCACTTAAGCAAATTAGTCTTAGAGACTCGGTTGCCATGGACTAGATGCCTTCCCATTGCCCTGTTGAGAATCCGAACTGCTCCTCAGAGAGATGTTGGCTTATCCCCTTATGAAATGTTGTGTAAGTTGCTCTATTTGCACTCCGCTGCTGACATTCCCATGTTCGAAACAAAAGATCAGTTTCTCAGAAATTATATACTTAAGTTTATCTTCCACTTTCTCTTGCCTCAGAACTAAAGGTCTTTTAGCACAGGCACCACCCCTAGAGTTTCCAGTACACCAACATCAGCCTAGGGACCACATCCTTGTCAAAAGTTGGAGGGAAGGAAAACTTGAACCAGCTTAGGAAGGACCCTGCCTAGTGCTTCTAACCATTGAGACCACAGTTCAAACAGCAGAAATGGGATGGACTCATCACACCCAGGTCAAAAGAGCACCACCTCCTCCAGAATCATGGGCAGCTATTCTAGGGCTTACTCTAACCAAGCTAAAGCTAAAACGGGTTTGATCCTCTTATGTTGCATCTCTTCTTTTCCCCATCTATTGCTAGTCCTCTTGTTATTAATGTAACTAGGTCGAGTTCACCCCAAACTATTACCTTTGATGCTTGCCTTGTGATGCCCTGTGGAGATGTGCCAAGCCAGAGGCAACTCTCCACTTCAGAAAAGTATCTTTGTCCTTCCTAGCTCTTCTCAGACTGGAATTCTGTTAACTGGGATAAGTTAGCTTGGGAAGAGTTTGACGGAGATTCCAGTATAAACTGAGAGTCTTGCCTTCCCAATACAAAGCTTTTATGCTGTAGTTGGTCCAACATTCTGTGGACCACTAAAGAGCAAGAATAGATTGCCCCAAGCAGTAGTTGTAATTTCCTAAAGCTATACATTCATTTTACTAAAGGAACAGCTTCCCCTAACTGTCAGCTAAATCAGTACAATCCAGTACAGGCTATTATCTCAAACCCTCTAAGTTCTTCCCCTTCTCTAAGCCAATTTCCTTCTTTAAGCCAGTTTTATAATATGGGGGCTGAGGTTTCAGGAGCAGACCCTATCAGATCCTTTGAAATATTCTTCATTGCTCCCCCACCGCCTACACCTTCCCCTAAGCCTTCTTCCAGAACCTCCCACAACAAAACTGTTGTTCTTCCTCCATCTAATGACAAGACGAAGGTAGCTATTGTAGAAGTCAAAGTCCTAAAAGAAACTTTAGCAATTGAGACGGGATATCAAAATGCCAATGCCTGGTTAGAATAGATAAAATATTTCATCCGCACTTTAAACAAAAGCAATTGTTATGCTCGTGCGCATGGCAGGCCAGAGGGCCAGATTGTCCCCTTTCCACTATGATGGTCCTCCAGTCAACCAGGCATGGGCTGTATGGTAGCTCTTTTTCCAGGATTCCACAGCCTGGGGTAACAAGTCGTGCCAAGCTCTTTCTCTGCTATATCCCGAAGTTCAAGACCCCACAGGTTAGCCCCCGAGGGCCATCCAGCTTCTGTCTCCCGACACTGAGTTCATTTTGTGTCTCTCACGACAAAGAGGAAACTTAGCATCCCTTAGAGACCTAAAAGGATGCGGTGAGCTTAAGACTTTCCAAGAGCTCACCAACCAGTCAGCCCTTATACACCCCCGAGCAGATGTATGGTGATATTGTGGTAGACCTTTGCTGGACACTCTGCCTAGTAACTGGAGTGTCACTTGCGCCCTAGTGCAGTTGGCTATCCCTTTCACCCTGGCATTTCATCAACCAGAGAAAGAAAAAAACACAATGTCATAAAGCAAGGGAAGCCCCTTATGGGTCTTTCGACTCCCACATTTATTTAGATGCAATTAGAGTCCCACGAGGAGTACCAAATAAATTTAAGACCTGAGATCAAATAGCTGCTGGATTTGAGTCAATATTTTGGTGGGTGACAATTAATAAAAACGTAGATTAGATAAATTCCACCTATTACAACCAACAGCGGTTTATTAACTATACTAGAGATGCTGTTAAAGGAATAGCTGAGCAATTAGGGCTTACTAGCCAGATGGCTTGGGAAAATAGAATGGCCTTAGACATGATTTTAGCAGAAAAAGGGGAAGTTTGCATCATGATTAAAACTCAGTGTTGTACCTTCATCCCAAACAATACCGCCCCTGATGAAAGTATAACAAAGGCATTGCAAGGTCTAACTGCTCTGTCCAATGAGTTAGCAAAAAACTCAGGAGTAAATGACCCCTTCACAGGGTGGCTAGAAAAATGGTTTGGTAAATGGAAAGGGATCACAGCCACCATCCTTACTTCTCTTGCAATTGTAGCAGTAGTGCTTATCCTTGTTGGATGCTGCATCATACCTCGCATCCGTGGGCTAGTCCAAAGACATACAGAAACAGCCCTTACTAAAACTTCTCTCAGTTCCCCTCCACCATATTCTGACAAGCTCTTTCTTTTAGAAAACCAAGCAGAACAGCTATGCCAAGACATGTTAAAGAAATTTGAAGAGGAAGACCTGTAAAATTCAAAAGGGGGATATTGTTAAGTACAGTGAGTTCTGAGTTCCTCTGGGAACCAGTATGTCAGTATGTTCAGCTTTCTTATACTTTGTTCTCCATTTTAAAGTTTAACTTCCTCATTCTTTACACCTCCTTGCCCTAGTTTCAGTAAACAACCCCCTTCTAGCCTTTATACTCACATATTTAGAGTCCTTAGTCATCCTTAGTCACCTGCTCTGTCCTTAGTCATCCTTAGTCACCTGCACTGTAACCATCCTTCCTGCCTAAACTGCTCACCCCGCCACTCTGCCTCATACCCAGATAGCCTATCAGAATTAGTTTAGACTGTGCGGTCCAACCCTAGCCAATAGGGGAATGACACAGTAGTAGGGACTAGCTGCATTAGGGATAAGAACCCCTTCTCCTCCCATGCCCGGTATGCTCTTGCGACCACTCCAGGCACGATTGGCACCCTTCTGCAGAAGTAAATTGCCTTGCTGAGAAAGCTTTTTGCCGGAGTGCTGATTCTTCTTTGCGGCACCAAGCATTTGTTTCTAACATCAACTATCTACTTTCATTTTTCAGGTTAAGAAATCTCCAAAACAGTTGGCTGCTTACATAAATAGGTAAGAGTTTCTTTAAAGTTTGTGGGGAACAACAAATATGAAAGCTGGGTAAGGATGACAATAAGGGAAAAATAAGCATTCTTTTATCATAATAATAATTAACTTATTGTCAAACAGCTTCTTTATGCCAGTATCTGCACTAATAAACACATCAATATTGTCTCTGCTCCTTACAACAGTCCTACTCTATAGCCTACTCTATAGATAACATTAACCCTAACAGTTGATGAGAAAACTTAAGATCAGATAAGTTAAATGATTTGTTCAGAATCATATAGCTAGAAAAGTGGTAAGAATGACATTCATTCTCAGATCTGCCTAACTTCTAAAGGCACTTTCTACAAAACGACTGGTTTTCAAAGTGTGATTTGAGGACCTGCGGGTCCCTAAAGACCATTCATGGAATTTGTGAAGTCAGAATTACTTCCATAGCAATACTAAGACATTGACTGTCTTCATTTTCATTCTCTTGTTTGAGGGTACAATATAATTTTTCAAGAAGCTATATGCCATTTGATATCACAGTAGATTGAATGGAGAAGCAGAAATGAGAACCCAGCTGTCTTTTGTTAAACCAGATATTAGAGATATATAAAAATGTAAAACAGTACCATTCTTCTCACTTTTTAAAAAATTATTTTAGAAAATATGGGTTTTGGGTAAGATATTCCATGTTAATATGTAATTAGTCTTTTTTTGAATGAATTAACAAATGATTTAAATTTTGTTTTAGTTTTTACACAGTAAATATCAATAGATACTATTCACATAAAAATTATTTTGGCCATGGCTCACACCTGTATTCCCAGCACTTTAGGAGGCCAAGGTGGGTGGATCATGAGGTCAAGAGATCAAGATCATCCTTGCCAACAGGGTGAAACCCTGTCTCTACTAAAAATACAAAAGTTAGTTCAGCATGGTGGCGCGCGACTGTAGTCCCAGCTACTCAGGAGGCTGAGGCAAGAGAATCACTTGAACCTGGGAGGTGGAGGTTGCAGTGAGCTGAGATTGTGCCACTGCACACTAGCCTGGCAACAGAGAGAGACTGCATCTCAAAAAAAAAAAAAATTTTTGAGTCATTAATTATTTTTAAGAGAGCAAAGCATCGTGACACTAAAACGTTTGAGAACCACTGTATTAAACGATGAGGCTTGCTCTATCGTGTTCTTACTCAAATAAATCAATATACTTCAGCTTAATTAAATTTTAAAATATTCACACTTGCAGTCTTATTTGCCACTTTGTTAGAAAAAGATCAGGTTTCTAGAAAATGTTGTGGTCTTCTTACTCCCAGAATGGCCTTTAATATTTCATTTTTAAAAGCATTCTGGTTATTATGTCTGTCTTCATTTTTATTTGGCATAAAATGTCATCCTTTACATTGTCTTCCAGATAATTTGTAATTTCCCTTTTACTTTTCTCTTCAACTCAGAATTAAGATTTTTAAAATTCTATTTATTTCTAATTTTAGTGGATTACAATCACCAAATATAGCCTATTAATTCTCTGTTTAAAAACTTTTAAAGGATTTCATATGGTTCTTTTTCATTTAAGAAAATAAATTCTTTTTACAGAACAGTTGGACAAACTGTGAAAAGCCCAGATAAACTTCGTAAAGTGATCTATCGCAGAAAGAAAGTTCATCATCCCTTTCCAAATCCTTGTTACAGAAAAAAACAGTCCCCTGGAAGTGGGGGCTGTGACATGGCAAATAAAGAAAATGAACTGGCTTGTGCAGGCCACCTGCCTGAAAAATTACACCATGATAGTCGAACATATTTGGTTAACTCCAGTGATTCTGGTTCTTCACAGACAGAAAGCCCATCATCAAAATATAGTGGGTTTTTTTCTGAGGTAAGTCTTTTCTCTAACTCATATCTAGTTTAACTTTGTTCCTGTTATAATCTTGATTTTTTTCTTTGCCATATTCCACTAGCAGAATAATTTGTCACCTATTGAATGTAGACTTATTTGAGTCATAGTAACTCCCTGAGACAATTTTCTAGATTAACCAAATTTGAATTAATAATTTATTCCATTTCTCTAAGATGGGATGAAATGCTTAGCAGGCTGCTAAAACTATCCAGAATGACAAGTTAGCCAGTAGAGATTTAAAGGAAGGGAAAAGGAGAAATCTTGCCTAAAAAAGTGGAGCACTAGGCCGGACACAGTGGCTCACGCCTGGAGCCCGAGGTGGGTGGATCACGAGGTTAGGCGTTTGAGACCAGCCTGGCCAACATGGTGAAACCCTGCCTCTACTAAAAATACAAAAATTAGCCGGGCATGGTGGGGGGCGCCTGTAATCCCAGCTACTCAGAAGGAGGCTGAGACAGGAGAATCGCTTGAACCCGGGAGGCAGAAGTTGCAGTGAGTTGAGATCACACCATTGCACTCCAGCCTGGGCAACAGAGCGACTCCGTCTCAAAAAAATAAAAATAAAAAGGACAACATCTGCAGGCAGATCACCTGAGGTCGGGAGTTCGAGGCCAGCCTGGGCAACATGGTGAAACACCCTGTCTCTACAAAAGTACAAAAATGAGCCGGGCATGATGGTGGGTGCCTGTAATCCCAGCTGCTTGGGAGGCTGAGGCAGAAGAATCACTTGAACCTGGGAGGCAGAGGTTGCAGTGAGCCGCGATCATTCCATTGCACTCCAGCCTGGGCAAGAGAGCAAGACTCCATCTCAAAAAAAAAAAAAAAAGTGGACCACCGAAGCCAGTTATCCAGACACATTTTGCCGGGCTCTCAATATTGCCTGGTTAAAGCATAGTTCAGGCAAACCTGCTGTGGTTTGCTGCTCTTCTGGCTCAAGCAAAACTGGTTAACAGACTCAAAAGCGTTTTTGAGAGTGATAGAAATATTCTAAAACTGGGCCTGGCCAACATGGCGAAACCTCATCTCTACTAGAAATACAAAAATTAGCTAGGCATGGTGGCACACTTTGGGAGGCCAAGGCAGGTGGTCAGGAGTTCAAGACTCGCCTGGCCAACATGGCAAAACCCCATCTTTACCAAAAATACAAAAATTACCCAGGCGTGGTGGTGCACGCCTGTAATGCCAGCTACTTGGGAGGCTGACGCTCAAGAATTGCTTGAACCCGGGAGGCAAAGGTTGCAGTGAGCCAAGATCTTGTCACTGCACTCCAGCCTGGGTTACAGAGTGAGATTCTGTCTCAAAAAAAAAAAAAAAAAAAAAAAAAAAAAAAAAGTAGGCAAAGGACACAATAGACACTTTTCAAAAGAAGACATACATGTAGGTGACAAGCATATGAAAAAATGCTCAGCCTAAATGCTAAACCTAAAATCACTCATCATTAGAGAAATGCAAATCAAAACCACAACAGGATATCATCTCATACCAGTTAGAATGGCTATTATTAAAAAGTCAAAAAATAATAGATTCTGGCAAGGTTGTGGAAAAAGAACACTTATACAATGCTGGTGACAATGTAATTTAGTTTCAGCCATTGTGAAAGCAGTGCGACAATTTTTCAAAGAACTTAAAACAATCTTATTATTGGATATATACCCAAAGGAATATAAAACATGCTACCATAAAGACACATGTATGCGTATGTTCATCACAGCACTGTTCACAATAGCAAAGACAAGGAATCAATCGAAATGCCCATCAATGGTAAACTGGATAAAGAAAATATGGTGCATATACACCATGGAATACTATATGCAGCCATAAAAAGAACAAGATCATGTCATTTGCAATCACGAGTGAACCTGGAGGCCATTATCCTAAGCGAACTAATACAGGAACAGAAAACCAAATGCTTCATGTTCTCAGTTGGAGTGGGAGCTAAACACTGTGCTAGTGCATATGGACACAAAGATGGGAACAACAGACATGAGGCCTACCTTAGGGTAGAGGGTGAGAAGAGAGTTAGGATCAAAAAACTACTTATCAGTTACTATGCTTATTACCTGTGTGATGAAATAATCTGTACACCAAACCCCCACAACATGCAAACTACCTATATAACAAACCTGCACATGTGCCCCTGAACATAAAATAAGTTTGTTTTGTTTTGTGTTTTGAAACAGGGTCTCTCGCTCTATCACCCAGGCTGGGGTGCAGTGGTGCAATCTTGGCTCACTGCAACCTTCACCTCCCAGGTTCAAGCAATCCTCCCACCTCAGTCTCCAGAGTAACTGGGACTACAGGCATGTGCCACCACACCCAGCTGATTTTTGTATTTCCTATAGCGACAGGGTTTTGCCATGCTCCCCAGGTTGGTCTCGAACTACTGAGCTGAAGCGATCAACCTGCCTCAGCCCCAGCCCAAAGTGCTGGGATTACAGGTGTGAGCCACTGTGCCTGGCCAGAATAAAAGTTCTTTTTAAAAAGTTTCAGTTGTGCATTTTAAAAACTACCCCAGTGAGACATCTTTCTCAAGAACCTCTTTTTACTTTACATTCTCATTTTCACTACTTTTCACTAAACCTTACATTTAACTAATAGGTTTAATGATTATTCTTGTTTCATACCTGTTTTCTTGATTGACCAGTACCTGCTCTAAAAACCTAAATCTGAAAGTGATACCATAACATCTTAGCCAAGTTAAAATACATATAACCATTGACCTAGCTGTTCCAATTGTAAAATTAATTTTAACAAAAGTGTCTGTACAAGTGCACATATTTACATATATCAGGATGTCCACTCATCAGTTTTGATAGGTAAAAACCAGAATCTAAATAAATTATGGTATGTAAAGACTAGAGAATATGCTATTGTTTTTTGTTGTTGTTTTTAAGAGATGAGGTCTCACTGTCTCACTGTCTTTCCCAGGCTGGACTCAAACTCCTGAGCTCAAGTGGTTCTCCCACCTCAGGTTCCCAAGTAGCTGGGACTGTAGGCACACAGCACTATGCCAGGCTATGCTGTTGTTCTTTAAAAGTAAAGTTGGGCTTGGTGTGGCGGCTCATGCCTGTAATCCCAGCACTTGGGAGGCCAAGGCAGGCGGATCATGTGAGGTCAGGAGTTGGAGACCAGCTTGGCCAACATGGCAAAACCCCATCTCTACTAAAAATAGGAAAATTAGTTGGGTGTTGTGTTGGGTGCCTGTAATCCCAGCTACTCGGGGAGGGTGAGGCAGGAGAATTACTTGAGCTTGGGAGGCGGAGGTTGCAGTGAGCTGAGATTGCACCACTGCACTCCAGCCTAGGCAACAGAGCAAGACCCTGTCTCCAAAAAAAAAAAAGCTTGATCTGTGTTTTGACATTGAAAAATGTTCATATAGGTAAAAAAGCAAGGTTTTGAACAATATAGGTAATTAATTTTTCAGAGTGTTTATATGTGTACTTAATTTGTCTTTGTCTAGAAAATGGTCTGGAAAGATACATATCAGTCTGTTAACTGTGATTATTTCTGCGGAGTGATATTGGATGTTTTTGTGGGCAGGCAGAGAGTTTTTACTTTTTATCTTACATAGTTCTGTGTTAAACACATTAGAACAGGAAAATGACACTTCATTACTTAACAATAAATAGATAAATTTAAATGATACTACAACACTTGTCAAAAACTGAGTTTTTGTGATTCTCCTGCCATTCAGTTGGTAATGACTAGCCTACATGTTTACATTTTTCTTTTATCCATGTTATAAATTAAGTCCTAGTTTATAGGTCAGCTAAAAATAATTTTATAAATTATTGGGTTTTAAAAGAAAAATGGTAGCTAGTGAAAAGTATAAATGGGTCTTAAATTTGTTCAGATCATTTGTTTACTGTGGTCAACTGCAGTATTCCTTTTTGTGGGCTAGTAAAAGGAGTTACTTTTGCATGATTTTTAACTATGTCTACCAGAACGATTTAATAAAAAAATAGTTTCATACCCTGTTTCAGTGTGCTTTTTAACAAATCAGATTATTGCCTTTCAGGTTTCTCAGGACCATGAAACAATGGCCCAAGTTTTGTTCAGCAGGAATATGAGATTGAATGTAGCTTTAACTTTCTGGAGAAAGAGAAGTATAAGTGAACTTGTAGCTTATTTGTTGAGGTAAGTGTGACCTTTTATCCTCTTTGTTCAATCACTTTTTTTCTGAGACAAGTTCTTGCTTTGTCATCCAAGTTGGAGTACAGTGGCACAATCATGGCTCACTGCAGCCTCAACCTGCTGAGTTCAAGCAGCCCTCCCACCTCAGCCTCCTGAGTAGCTGAGAGTACAGGTGCACATCACCACACCTGGCTATTTTTTAAAAAAATTTTTTGGAAGACATGAGGTCTTATGTTTCCCGGGCTGGTCTCGAACTCCTGAGCTCAGGTGAACCTTCTTCATTATTCTAAACTGCCTATATGTAGCTTCAGTAGAGACAGTATGGCTTAAATTACATTCCTCACCCATCTAAGAGTAACCAAAATACAGAAAACAATGTTTTATCAGATTGAACAAAGCTGTTACCTTTCCTGACTGTCATTCTTACCTATAAAACTAAGAGATAACGATATGGGAAAACTAACCTTCTAAAAATCCCTTTTGAGGCCAGGTGTGGCAGTTCTTGCCTATAATCCCAGCATTTGGGAAGGTTGAGGTGAGAGAGTCCCTTGAGCCCAGGAGTGAGAGACTGAGCAACATAGCAAGACTCCATCTCTACAAAAAATAAAAATAATAAGCCAGGCACAGTGGTACGTGCTTGTGGTCCCAGATACTTGGGAAGATCACTTTGAACCCAGGAGTTGGAGGTTGCAGTAAGCTGTGATTATGCAACTACATTCCAGCCTGGGCAACCGAATGAGACCCGTTTCTTAAAAAAAAAATTACTAAAAATAAAAAGTAAACATCCCTTTTGAGTGGGAATTTGAAGCATTACTTTCCTCATTGTATTCAAGTCTCTCAGATGTTACCTTAGGGAAGCCTTCTTTGACCAACTTATTTTAAAATACCTATTTCTCCACTCCCTATCTCGCTTTCCTGTTTTATTTTTCTCCATAGCACTTATATCAACCTGCTCTATATGTCTTATGTCTTGTTATTTGTTTATTGCCTGTCTCTGTCCCACCCCCCAACCCCCACAGTTGCTCACACACTGGAATACAAGCCCTGTGTCTTTGTTCATTGCTGTATCCACAGACATGACTCATTGTAGATACTGACATTGTTAAATGAATGAATTTCTCAAAAGCGGTGTGAATAATCATAATATGAAAGTAAATAAGGAAATCAGCTCTCTAAGGCAATGCTATTCTTTTTATACTCTCAGGATAGAAGATCTTGGCGTTGTGGTAGATTGCCTTCCTGTGCTCACCAATTGGTAAAAACAATATTTTTCAGAAAAAAAATAAGATTAAAGGAGGTCAAATTATGGCCCATCCATATTTTTATAACTTGGTATTTATTTTAGTTTACAGGAAGAAAAACAATATATCTCACTTGGCTGCTGTGTTGACTTGTTGCCTCTAGTAAAGTCACTACTTAAAAGCAAATTTGAAGAGTAAGTGCTAATCTGAATCTTGATTCATTTTTCTTTTTCAGCATCCTTGATTTTGTGCTTTGTGAGTACATAGTAGATTGGGCTCCATGAGACATGCAAGGTTTCTGTTTTCAAGAAGCTAATAGTACAATTAGGAAAAGAATATGAAATGACTAAAGGACAATTATAAAAGCATCTCTAAACAAATTACATGAAATATACTTTTGTGTAATAGATCATGAAGGTAACAATTTTTTAAAAGGGAAGGGACCAATGTGTGTGTGTGTTTTTTGGGAGGGAAAGTATCATCTTTTATAAGAAGGGTTCTTAGATGAAAACACTTGAATTTTGTAACAAAATGTCATTTCAGATATGTTATAGTTGGTTTAAACTGGCTTCAAGCAGTCATTAAAAGGTGGTGGTCAGAACTATCATCCAAAACAGAAATTATAAATGATGGGTGAGTATACCTTTAAAGATAAACTCATGCTGAAATTTTCTTCAGGAAAGCAGCTTGATTAAACTAGGTAATAATTTTATCCCATTATCATCAGTGTATGGTATTTATTCTTTTTATATTCAGAGAGATACTAACTTAAGAGACTGTTCATTTGTGAAAACCACACCTGGAAATTGAATTCCAGAGCCTACTAACCTCCTGTATCTCTTCTTCTGGCACAACCCTACCCTTCATTTTAGAAGAAAAACACAATAGTGGTTTAATTCTCATATTCATTATGAGTAAGGGAGGAAAAAGAGATGCCCACAGTGTAATAAGGAATGGAGGCACCCTGCGGGGTCCTTTACCTAGACATTAACCTGAGAGTCCGGTGTTGATGTTTACAGTTCTAAAAACTGTATTATTACTGCCTTGATGTGAAAATTCGTGGGTATTCTACCAGAGTATAGCCAGATTATCATGAAACCACAGAAAAATATCTCCCAACAGTTTCCTTAAAGTCCATAATTTTGGGCCAGGCACGGTGGCTGATGCCTGTCTGTAATCCCAGCACTTTGGGAGGCCAAGAAGGGCAAATCACTTGAGCTCACAAGTTTGAGACAGCCTGGGCAACATGATGACATCCCGTCTCTACAAAAAATACAAAAATTAGCCAGGCATGGTGGTGTGCGCCTGTAGTCCCAGCTACTCAGGCTGAGGCAGGAGGATCGCTTGAGCCCAGGAGGTGGAGGTTGCAGTAAGCCGAGATGGCACCACTGCACTCCAGCCTGGGCAATAGAGCCAGCCCTTGTCTCAAAAAAAAAAAAAAAAAAAGCCACAATTTATTTTGTAGGCTCTCAAAATTTTCTACTTCACACCAAGGAATGTCCAAATGTTCCAAACGCCTGGTCATTTTCTTACCTGCTTTGACAACTAAATAACCTTTAATTTTCTTTTTTTTTTTAATTGAAATCAAGTAAGAAATTTTATTAATTTTGGAATTGAAAAAACATCCTTTGTTGTTTCCAAGAATTAATTAAATAGGAGGCATTTGGCGGTATTATGTGGATAAACCTTTAATTTTCATGACTGACATGTATTATTCTAAAAGTTATTTGATTTTTTTTTAATTTCTCTCCACGTTCCCAAATGTTTTATTTCAAATAGCATCATTTTCTCCTGAAAAATACCTGAAAAATTTTAGAACAGTTTTTATTATGCATATTTATGATGAAAGTTTGTATCTTAATGTATTTGCTTTCTCATTTTTCTTCCTTTTTTTTCTTTTAGAAATATTCAAATTTTAAAACAACAATTAAGTGGATTATGGGAACAGGAAAACCATCTTACTTTGGTTCCAGGATATACTGGTAATATAGCTAAGGTAATCTATATTTAAGCTTATAAATTAAACATTAAAAATTAGAAATAATATTTTACATTTATAAATTAATTTTCAAGTCTCTAGGCAAAATAATATGGTACTGTTCTAATGTCTAAAGTCAATTTCATATTTTCAAATGCTTCAGGTCCTCTGCGTGTAACTGTGACCTTGGCAGCAAGCACAGGAATTGGCCATTGAACATGTTTCATGTACAGCCCCTGAAATGCTATGCTAGAGGATATTTACAGAGGGTTTTAATCAGAGAAAAGTATTTGAAAAAATTTTGAGAATCCAATAAGGACAGCATCAGAAAACAAGACGAGGAACTCAGGAAACAAGGGATAAGAAACATAATTAAATGGTTTTGGAGATTAAGTTTTACTTTTGCTAATGTTATGCTTTTTGAGAAGGTAAACTATTTAAATCACAGTGAATTTGACTTTGGTCTTTATTGATTTGTCTCGTAAAGGAAAAAGTAAAAATTGCTAGTTTGAATTTTAATATTTAAACTCCAGAAAACATTGGTAGTTAGGCCGGGCACAGTGGCTTACGCCTGTAATCCTAGCACTTAGGGAGGCCAAGGCAAGCAGATCACCTGAGGTCAGGAGTTCGAGACCAGCCTGGTTGGTGAAACCCCGTTTCTACTAAAAATACAAAAAATTACCTGGGTGTGATGGCACGTGCCTGTAATCCCAGCTACTCGGGAGGCTGAGGCAGGAGAATCACTTGAACCTGGGAGGCGGAGGTTGTGGTGAGCTGAGATCGTGCCATTGCACTCCAGTTTGGGCAACAGAGTGAAACTCCGTCTCAAAAAAAAAAAAGAAAGAAAAAACATTAGTAGTTAAAAATTAATTGAAGAAAAAATTGTCATTAAGAAATACTTTTACTTTATTACCGGGCATACTGCTATCATAAATGGGCATTAGCCAGGAATATAAAAAGCATTCTTTGGTTTTAAAAATATATATATATATATATTTCTAAATAAGAGGATTTATGTCATGGACTTAGTTATAACATTTTTCTCGGAGACAAAACAACTTCTTAGAATTCAGGGGGAAAAAAATACAATGCTAAGGGAAACAGAGGCTTGGGCAAACCTAGGTAGCCTTGAGGGATAATCTGGCTTCTACTCCAAGATAAGTTCAGCTCTTACAGGAGACAGAAGCTTTCAGGGAATTAATGTAGCTGAGGGAAGAAAAGCAAATGGGAGTGATACCAACAGTGACCAACCAGAAGCTTATCTCCTGTCAAAGTGACAGCCACAGAGGAGCTCTGGCCATTGCTATGGAAGACCATGGCCCCTCTCCCAAAAAAAAAAATTTCTCAGATACCTTCAAAAAAAAGAAGCAAAATGATATATCAACCAAGTTTGTTACCACTGTGTGGGATTTTACTCTATAGAATTCTTTTTTTTTTTTTTTTTTTTTTGAGATGGAATCTCGCTCTGTCGCCCAGGCTGGAGTGTGGTGGCGCAATCTCGGCTCACTACAAGCTCCACCTCCCAGGTTCACGCCATTCTCCTGCCTCAGCCTCCCGATTAGCTGGGACTACAGGCGCCCACCACCATGCCTGGCAATTTTTTTTTTTTTTTTTTTTTTTTTGTATTTTTAGTAGAGACAGGGTTTCACCATGTTAGCCAGGATGGTCTTGATCTCTTGACCTCATGATCCACCTGCCTTGGCCTCCCAAAGTGCTGGGATTACAGGCGTGAGCCACTGCGCCTGGCCTATAGAATTCTTAATGATGAAAATCTTATGAACATATCAATCTCCTAGAAAGTTTTTGTTGTTGTTTTAGGTTTTTAGAGCATACATGACGTATTACCTTGCTCTAAAGGGTTGTTGCATTCTGTATAGAAGAACTAAAAAATGATTGTTCCTTATGACTGAAATTTGCTTTCAATCAGAATTTTTTTTGTTGTTTTTGTTTTGAGACTGAATCTCGCTCTGTCGTCCAGGCTGGAGTGCAGTGGCACAAGCTCAGCTCACTGCAACCTCTGCCTCCTGGGTTCAAGTGATTCTCCTGCCTCAGCCTCCCGAGTAGCTGGGATTACACACATGCCTGGCTAATTTTTGTATTTTTAGTGGAGACGGGATTTCACCACGTTGGCCAGGCTGGTTTCGAACTCCTGACCTCAAGTGACCCACCCACCTCCCCCTCCCAAAGTAATGGGATTACAGGCGGGAGCCACCACACCCGGCCACAATCAGTTTTTTACAAAGGGAAAAGCTTTATTGTGAATATGACTTTAAGGTACCATTTATTATTGGGGACAATATTGAGTGATTAAAAGTTCAATGCGAAGTTCCTTATGATGAGACTTTCTTACAAAATTAAACCATCAATTAATTTGTAATTTTTTGAGTATAGAAATTGAAAGAAGAGGGCCGGGCAAGGTGGCTCATGCCTGTAATCCCAGTACTTTGGGAGGCCAAGGTGGGCAGATCACGAGCTCAGGAGATCGAGACCATCCCGGCCAACATGGTGAAACCCCATCTCTACTAAAACACAAAAAATTAGCCGGGCGTGGTGGTGCACACCTGTAGTCCCAGCTACTTGGGAGGCTGAGGCTGGAGAATCACTTGAACCCTGGAGGTGGAGGTTGCAGAGAGCCAAGATCACGCCACTGCACTTCAGCCTGGTGACAGAGCAAGACTCTGTCTCAAAAAAAAGAGAAAGAAATTGAAAGAGGCTATTGTCAAGCTGGGCTCAAGTGAATATAGCACTGATAGTAAACAGCACTGATAGAATTTCTGTGAATGTTAGCTATGAAAGCAGAGTTGTTTGAGCATAGGAACCAACACATTCATTTAGCACTTAGCAAATATATATTGAGCACATACTATGTGCCAGGCCCTGTGCTGAACAAATGCAGATAAAAGCACTGAACAAGGCACGTCTTTTACCCTCAAAAGGTCACAAAAGGAAACTAAGGCAAATTAAGCAACAACAAAAAAAAATGGATTGTTTATGTTTGTATTTACTGTACTGTCTAATGAAATGTTTTTGTTTTATCTTCTAAGGATGTAGATGCTTATTTATTACAGTTACATTGAGAGATTTCATCTACTAAAGAGCATTTGGTTTTTCAAAACATCCCTGAACTGTATAATTTACAAAAAAAAAAAGTCTCGTCTGAGAACTGTGAACTGTGGAAGAAATCAAAACTATTTTTTCTTTTAAAAAGCCACGTAATGAAACCACTAATGAAATCCCAGCAATCTGCTTCACATTGAAGTGGAAAAATATCCAAAAGGAGCAGCTTCAATTTCATTGAGGTGAAAGTGCACTATGAAGATTGTTCACCTTTGCTGCATTTGGGAGTTATATGGTTATTTGGTAACATTAAGAACTACTGGATTTTAATGCAATCCTGCATAAAAATATAATTTATACTATGTGAAAAAATAAGACAGGACTTACCACTAGGAACCACCAAGACCAATCATCATTAACTTTTTTAAGATTGTGTTTTATTAAAAAAAAAAAACACTTAAATGTGTGCAGCTATTTTCTTATGTTGAAAAGACTGAAAGTTTAAAACATGAAAAAAATCAATATTAAACATTTTTTGTTCACACTGAGATACTGTGTATGTAAAATGCCTTAATTATTAATAAGCCAATGTGTTATGATACCAATATCTGTTTTAAAAAACTAAAACCAACCATGCTTCTGGCATGATAAAATCATGGAATTAAATCAGGGGTTTACATTCTTGTAGAGTGTTCTTGAAACACTCTCTGCACCATTTTTAAAACTTGAGAATAGTTTTAGTATCTCTGATATTTTTTGCCAGAATCATCATGTCATGTATGAATGTGTTATCCCTATCTAAGGAAAAAGGTGAATATGTTTTTGTATGAATGTTTAACTGGAAATGTCCATGGACTTGGCTAATTTATATTTACTTTTTATTGTACATAGATTTCTAATATTTTTCATTCCTGTATCATTTAAACTTCCTTCATTTGAGTAAATTCACTAAATATTTCTATTTTTTGCTTTTTTAAATTCTGATTTTATATGAATTCTAATTCTTTTTCACTACATATGTTTTAAAGAGTTACATACAGTGATTTAGAATGGTTTACAGTTAATGCTGATCTTGTATTTTAAATTCCAACACTTTGTGTCACTACCTCCTCTAATGGTTAGTATGATATGCTAGCAGACTGTATGAGGTCTTTTTTTAAAATACCACTTTTAGTGTCAGTGAACCAAATTCTGGAATGTCTTAACAGCTCTAAATCTTACTTGTCTTGAAAATGATTGGGGTTTAATACCACTGCTGGTGGTTCACACATCATCCCATCCTTAATATGCCTGACAGGCATCTGAGCAAAGGTTTTTAGTAATTGAATTTCTCTGCAGTAGTCCTTCAAGCACTTGAATGTAAACCTTTAGCATTTATTCGTTTAATGACTACTGATACGAATCTCAAGCAGATTTCTTGCTCTTAAAAGTTATGTTTCACTGAGTTCTGGTTTTGTGTAGCTATATTTTATATAGCTAGATATTCCTCACAGTGAACATGAATTGTAATAATTGGTTATTTCCTTAAGTCTTTAGATTATAATAATTTCAGATTATTGCACGTCTGTGATTTGAGAGGTGAGTTATTTAAGAGGCCAGTTTTCAGGACATGGGAATTTGAATTGTAAACCTGTTATCTCTGTGAAACTTTTAACATGATAAAATATAACCTTTCTTTGTGCTTATTCCTGTAGTTATCACTGTCTTATGTAGCAGTTTGAACCAGTTAACTTGGTTGGAGTATGGTGCTAAAGAGGCCGTGGACAGGAGTTTGATGCTTTTGTAGGTTCATTAACTTTACATACACACAAAATGTTTTTATAGCTGTCGATTGCACCTTCCGTCAGGTATCCATCTCAGAAATTCAGGAAGATGGTATGTATAGCTTAGCATAAACCTTTCGCCTCAAATGGAAAGATTACTCAATGGGTATATGTGATACTGTAGACTTTTAATCTAACATTTAAAATAATAGATTCAAAATAAGATATCTAAAATACTGTGTAATGTTTAGTTTCAAAGTATTAAGTAATATTACATCAGATATTTTTCACATTTTTCTCTGGGTCAGATCATTGACTAAACAGTATCTTCAAAAATCAAACTTCAATAAATCAGACTTCAGAAAAATTAAGTACAAATGACATATAGTAAGAACAGGTATTATCTTGGTAACATTTATACCTAAATTTAGGTTTTTTGAAGGCATGTAGATAATACTTTATCTTACATACTCAGAGCTATATAAGTCAGCAGAGTTTTTAGCTGACAAAGATTATTGAGTAGCATATACTCCTAATTTCTGTTCTTGGCCTTTGCAGTTTCCTTAGTACCTACCCCTCTCAGTTATTGAATTGATTAGTATTAAGTGATTTTTAAGATTCTTGGATAAATGATATTAGATAAATAAGTATTTTTGAACACTTGTGTTGCTATTAAGCCCTTTCATGCTACAGCATTTTAATTAGAACAGTGTTGATCTCCAGGAAGAGCCAAAGAGAGTGTTTACAAAGTTTTGGCTGTTGTATTGACCTAGATTAGGACAATTACTGTCTGTCATTGCTGATTTGTTGCTGTGCTGCTAAGGAGTATACAGAACTGACGGACTACCCAAGGTCTCTATGCCTTCTTAGTCCTTCTATCTTAGGTTTTCTATACTTGACTTTGCTAACTTTGCAAGTGTAGGGGCAGGTAGTTTATTGAGGTGATAGAGGGTTATCAGATAATTTGCTTCTACTTGGGACAAAGTGGATGAGTTTTGTAATGAGTGATCGTGATGAGAATAATGGTTAAAAGTTAGGAAGTAAGTATCATTAGATGGTTTTTAAAATTAATATTTGGCAGTGATTTCAAAGGCAATTGGCACTATTTACATGAATCTTGAGATGTGAGAATTGGTTGTAAGTATCTCTGTCCATTTGGGGGAATCACAAATACCAACATTGAACTCTAAGGGCTACTGAGGAATTAAATCCTAATGCCTCTAAATTTACTCGGTACACATCATGTCCTAACCTTAACCATGGTTGTGTGGGTTCAAAGCTAGGTTTCTGACCTTTGAAACAGTAGTTTTCTCAAACTTAGAACATTTCTATATTTTGCAAAGTTGTTCACACAATTAATATTAATGGATAACTAATTGGAGTAATGATTATTAGCTACTGAATGCTGATAATAGAAGTCATATTTAAATGCTTACTTAGTTACTTAAGTTAGTCAAGGACTCTGAAAAAATAAGGTTTAAGTTAACAGTGTCATCAGTCATTCCCAGTTATCTTCTTATTTAAGAACAAGATGGTAATGCAGTTGCCTTTGTTTATTTAAATAGAAAAAATTAAATCAGGATAAAATGACCCAACTACAGTGATGTATTTGGACACACTACTTCTTATCTTTCAATATAGACTTTTATTTCTGGATTACCATAGATGGAAATAGTATTACTGGACATATGTTGGTAGGTATTTACTTCTGTGTTTTTCTTTTTCCTTTAATTTCGAATACTTCTAGCTACAAAAATTGTCATAAAACTTTGCAACACACTATACCTCCCCCCTTTTTTATTCTATAACAGAATTATAGAATAAAAATTCAGGCCAGGCGCAGTGGCTCACGCCTGTAATCCCAGCATTTTGGGAGGCCGAGGCAGGTGAATCACCTGAGGTTGGGAGTTCAAGACCAGCCTGACCAACATGGAGAAACCTTGTCTTTACTAAAAAATACAAAATTAGCCAGGCGTAGTGGCACATGCCTGTAATCCCAGCTACTCGGGAGGCTGAGGCAGGTGAATCGCTTGAACCCAGGAGGCAGAGGTTGCAGTAAGCTGAGATAGCGCCATTGCACTCCAGCCTGGGCAACAAGAGCAAAATTCCTACTCAAAAAAAAAGAATTATCCCTCCCTGAACACCGTATGCTTCTAATTTTTCATCTACTTGATTGATTCAGTAATAGCACCAACTATAACAAAGTAAGTACTGCGTATCATATATCCAGTATACTCAGTCCATTTTTCAATGCTATATTTAAAACATGTAGATACTGTAATTTTCTCTGGGCCAAATCATTGACTTAATAGTACCTCCTAAAATCAAACTTCAATAAAATCTCAGTACAACTATAAAAAATATGTATACCATAGTATTTTATAGACTGTAATTGGTCATAAAACACAAAAAGACATAGCTGCTGTGTACTGGTAATTTCATGAAAGGGGCCAAGGCGCGGTGGCTCACGCCTGTAATCCCAGCACTTTGGGAGGCTGAGGCGGGCGGATCATGAGGTCAAGAGATCAAGACCATCCTGGCCAACGTGGTGAAACCCCATCTCTACTAAATACAAAAATTAGCAGGGTGTGGTAGCGCGTGCCTGTAGTCCCAGCTACTTCAGAGGCTGAGGCAGGAGAATCGCCTGAACCCAAGAGGTGGAGTTTGCATTGAGCTGAGATCACGCCACTGCACTCCAGCCTGGTGATGGGGGCGAGACTCTGTCTCAAAAAAAAAAAAAAAAAAAATTCATGAAAGGGCAGCCTCATAGCTGACAATACATTTTTCATAGCAAAGCTTGTTACAATTTCTTTTATATACAGAATTATTACTCTCTGCACTAAGAAGTTTTCAGATGGGAGATGCCTGGAGTCCAGATAAGGATTCACTCCCCAGATACACTTGAATTAGTGTTGATTATTAAGCTTTACAGTATATTCTGTATTTTCATTTAGATTTAAACCAGGATTTGTTTAAAAAATGTCCTGGACCTGGCCAGGACAGTTGTGACACTGGATTTACACCAAAGGTACAAAGAGTTAATGCAAAGCATTTTCTAGGGTAAGAAAGAGTTGTCATGGGAGTCCTGGAATACACTGAATCACCAGAATTACTTGCTTCCAGAATTATTCTATTGCATTTATCCACAAAACCTGCAATGTGGAGCCTGGATTTGAATTGGACCTCATATTCCAGGAGTCAAGAGTAGAGTTAGCTGTCGGGTGCAGTGGCTCACGCCTGCAATCCCGGCACTTTGGGAGGCTGATGTGGGCAGATCTCGAGGTCGGGAGATTGAGACCATCCGGGCTAAGATGGTGAAACCCTGTCTCTACTAAAAATACAGATTAGCCGGGCATGATGGCACGTGCCTGTAGTCCCAGCTACCCGGGAAGCTGAGGCAGGAGGCTGAGGTTGAAGTGAGCCGAGACTGCAGTCCAGCCTGGACGACAGAGCGAGACTCCGTTTCAAAAAAAAAAAAAAATTATTATCTACATCAATCGTAAAGTTATTGGTGATTTTAGTCTGGCATAGTTTCCTTTTTTTTTTTTTTTTTTTTTTTCCTTTTTTTGAGGTGGAGCCTGGCTCTGTAGCGCAGGCTGGAGTGCGGTGGCGCAATCTTGGCTCACTGCAAGCTTCACCTCCCGGGTTCACGCCATTCTCCTGCCTCAGCCGCCAGAGTAGCTGGGACTACAGGCGCCCGCCACCACGCCCGGGTAATTTTTTTGTATTTTTTTAGTAGAGACGGGGTTTCACCGTGTTAGGCAGGATGGCCTCGATCTGACCTCGTGATCCGCCCCCCTTGGCCTCCTAAAGTGCTGGGATTACAGGCGTGAGCCCCCGCACCTGGCTAGTTTCCATTTTTTTAATTTACTAAGTTAATAAGCAGCAAAGCAAATCAACAGAAAGTTATTAATACTCTTTCTAATTTTTTTAATTAAAATAGTTTGTGATTGTTTATGTGTGGTTTTGTCAGGAGCTTTTTAAAGTGATGATAAAATTAGTTTTTTAAAGATAACTGCACATAAGTTTAGCAATTAGGCCGGGCGGGGCAGCTCACACCTGTAATCCCGGCACTTTGGGAGGCTGAGGCAGACGGATCACTTGAGGTCAAGAGTTCGAGAGCAGCCTGGCCAACATGGTGAAACCCCAACTCTACTAAAAATACAAAAATTAGCCGGGCGTGGTGGCGGCACCTGTAGTCCCAGCTACTCCAGAGGCTGAGGCAGGAGAATCGCTTGAACCAGGGAGGTGGAGGTTTCAGTGAGCCAAGATTGTGCCACCACGCTCCAGTATGTACGACAGAGTAAGACCCTATCTCAAAAAAAAAAAAAAGTATAGCAATGAAAATAAACCTAAAATGTTAGGCATTTAAGAATATCCAATAGTATTGATTTAGTGCAATGTTATTATTGGCATAGTCTGATAATCAGCCATTTCTGCTGTCAGGCTCCATTTTGTAGTTAATGAGTATGACTACATTCTACAAATCTCCAAGATACGAAATAGCAAAAGATAGCTTTGAAAGTTTCTGAAGACTTTTGTGTAGAAATTATACTTTGACAAACTATTTAAACTACAGTTTTCCTTAAATTTCATCAATTAAATATTGACAAGTTTAGAATTAATAAAAGCTACAGTAATTATAATGATTGGCATGTGCTTGGTGTAGTCTTAAAGGGAGTAGCTAATGTTTTAGAATAGTATTATGTCATGTATCTTAAGATTTGCTTAGACACATGATAGACTTTTATAATTTGAAATAAGTGAATACAGTATGACTTTCTTTTTCTGTATCTTTATTAGGTAGTGGGACCTAACAGTTTTTTGAAAATATAAGTTGATATGGAAGGACTCATAAGTTTTGTGTTTAAATGACATGAAACTTAGGCTTCTTTAGAAATGTTAATGCAACTGTTGAGTAGTGTGATATTCGAGAAACTGCATTATATCTTTGAAATCAAATACTTTAAAATATATTTATGAAATATACACAGCTTCCATGAGCTCCTTGTAGCAGCTGGCACATCCACATTTGTCATAACACATGTGGCATGAATTTCAAGTCTGTTACTTTTTGTGTGTGTGCGTGGAGACAGAGTCTTGCTCTGTCGCCCAGGCTGGAGTGCAGTGGCACGATCTCGGCTCGCTGCAACCTCTGCTTCCCGGGTTCAAGCGATTCTCCTGCCTCAGCCTCCTGAGTAGCTAGGACTATAGGCATGCGCCACCACTCCCAGCTACTTTTTGTATTTTTAGTAGAGATGGGTTTCAGAATGTTAGCCAGGCTGGCCTCAAACTCCTGACCTCAGGCAGTCCACCCACCTCGGCCTCCAAAGTGCTGGGATTACAGGTGTGAGCCACCACGCCTGGCCTGTTATGTTTGTCTGTTAATTAGTCTTTTGTTTCATCTTTTAAGAAAAAAGCAACAGCTGACTATATAGTGGGAAAAGCTTCCTCCAGTACATTCCAGTAATGTTTATTAGCAGTTATCTGAGTAAGTTGTAACACAGCCATTATAAGCCAAGTGTTAAAGATACCAAAGAAACATATTTGGGTCAACATTCAACAAGTAGGTTGTAAGTAACAACTGCAACTTAATTGTATATTAAAGTTGTATATAAAGAACAGAGCCTCAGGGGGCATGGGAAAAAAAAAAAGAACCTCAAAATTAAAGTTCAATCTCTGGAATTTTTTTCTTCAAGGTTGACTAATATATATCTCTTTTCTTGTTAGTCATTCTGATTATACAGCTCTCTAAAGTCTTATTTCAGGTTTCCCAAAACTTTTATTGGAAAATTAATAGTTTTATGTCCCAACTAATGTTAATAGGTATGATTAAGAGTATGTCTAAATTTCTCTATTTATTGCATGTCCTTGTTTCTAGATGATAAACACAGGCATTGAGCTGCCAGGTACTTGGTGTGTAATAAAATGTCAACTGGTTGAGGTAGTGAGGCTCTCCATAATAAACAGATTACTTGCTATATGCTCGTTAATGTTAAGTGCAAAGGTAAGGTACAGTCCCTACCCTCAAAAAGTTGTTCCGAAATACTAAATGTATTGTGTTTCTAAAAGCATACTATTTTGGAAAAGACTTTGAAAGCTTTAGTTCTAACTTATACTTTTAGGAAGATCCAGATCTAAGCAATTTCAAACTCAAATGTAAAATATAGTATTGCGTTTTGTAAAACCCATTTTTTCTTTATATGTAGTATGTTACTTTTTTCTCCATGACTGGCTACAGAAGGAAGCTATTTGCACTGCTGTCAATAGGACCCTCAGAACTTTATCATCAAATCTCAAGTAATAATTAGGCTTAATAGAGAGTTTTGTATACCATGGCCATCCCTGTTTATTTCTCAGTTAGATATATGATATTCATACTTATATATTAGTTCATTATCCATACTGTGATGTCTTTTGAGGACGTAGCATCCAGTGGACTAAGGTACAACTTTCAAGGGCATTTTGTCTTAGGTTCTTTCTTCCTTCCCTACACATTTTGACTTGTAGAATGGGTAGCTGCTGGGAAGTTTTCCCTACAAGAACTTGACGTGGAAAAATTCTGATTACATCATTTCCAAATCATCCTTTTTCTTGGCTATAAATTTCAAAAATTGTTAAACATCTTAATGTTCTTTGACATCACACCATTATTATTTTCACTGAAATGATGACTATCTTGTTTAGCCATTAATACCTTTGAAGCCAGAGATGTCCCACTGGAGAAACTAATATAATTCAAATTTAAACATTTGCTAAAAAAAGAAAAAAAAGTATTTCTACTTCTTTTTGATAATTTGCTTTTTTTTTTCTTCTACATGCTGTGTACATCCTTGTTCCTATTTAATTTAGATTCTAAGTCCGCTAGACTATACACCCTTCAGTGCTTGTGTCCTGAGTCATACTGAGTAAATAGCTGCTTGGTAAATTCTAAGTATTGGTTTTTAATTTTTTTCTTCCTGAATTGTTGCAGCAACATTCTATCTAAATTACTACTTTTGGCTCTTCAGGAAAAAGTGACATTTTAATTATAAATGATATACAAAATCAAAACTATAGACAGAGCTCCTTTGGGCTTGTGAAGGCATCACCTTTTGTTTTGGGGGGTTTTGTGTTTGTTTTTTTTTTGTTTTGTTTTAATAAAGACAGGGTCTTCCTATATTTCCCAGGCTGGTCTTGAACTCTTGGCCTCAAGATACCCTCCCATGTCAGCCCACCAAAGTGTTGAGACTACAGACATGAGCCACTGCACCCAACCACCATTATCTTGTATAGAAAGAACTTTTTATGTAAATTATGTAAAATCATAGCCTTTAAATATACCCATTCCTCACCTCCACTTCTCTGTGTTATAAAATACTATTACCTGGTGAAATTGACATTGTACAGTGGTTATGCAGTGACTGGATTGTATTCCTAATGCACAAGATGAAACCATGTGTGAAAAGCACTCCCTTTTTTGTGGATGTGTGGTTAGCCTAGAAGAAATACATTCCCTGAACTGTCTCCAGTGAAATTACTGAACTTTTAACTCCAAAGTTGCGTATGTCCTGGATATTTATTTGAGTTTTTCCTTTTAAGGAATCAGAAGGAAGCTGTTCCTTAGCACATGCAGAGTCATAAATACTGTAACACAGGGGAAAAGATACTGGTATAGGATTAGGGGACTCTGAGTTTCAAACACTTAACATTGAGGCTCAGATTATCAGGTGAAGTAGGTTTTATGTACTTGGATTATGAGAAATGAGTCTGACTTCAGCTCAACATCCCAAAATAATAATAGGCTCTGCTCCACGATAATAAAGTCCTCAATATACTGTACAACTTCTGCTTTGACACCACAGTGCAAAATTATCTTAAAACTATGCCAAATTGGGAGACATTTAGATTTTATGTCATCTGAAGCCTTTTTTATATTCCTGAAGGCTGGCCTAGAAGCCGAGCTAAATCCTTAATCCTTAACAAACTTAAGCTCCTTCACTATAGCCTGACCTGCCCCTTTTTGTATACTTCAGATATTAAAGATCTCAGTAAACGTACAACAGCTAGTTAATTGTAAGTTTTGAATTTCTGTATTTATAGAAACATTACAACACTTTATTTGGAACAGCATTCAATGAATGCATTGCCTTCTAAAGGGATTTGCTGAATCACTTGATCTAGTTTGTGATCCATTCAACACTTTCATAGAACTTAAACATTATGTGTGTGAAGCATCAGCACAGCTGTAATTGTGTCCCATAAGCACATTTTTTACTCCTACATTCAAATCTTGATTCCTACTCATGAGCTCTTTCAGCATTTTATACCTGTTTACTCAAAACAACTTGCCTAAGTCAGAGCTTTACAATAATCAGGTGATTTTTTTGTCCTCACCCTTTATTTTTCTCCCAAGAGTTAGTGTTTGATTGCAGCTTTACATCAATAAACATTTTAATGATTACTTGACTTCTTGATATTGTACCTATATGTGTTTTTTCTGCAATCAAAGATAATGCTAAAGAACACAAACATTTCACCCTTTCTAGAAAGAAGCCCTTGCTGTAATTGAGGAGAAAAAGTTTTTCTGGAGATTTATAATAATAGCTAACACTTAACGAATACTGCCAGGTAGTGATCTGAGCACTCGTATTCACTCCTTTTGTCCTCACAACAACCATATGGTAGGTATCATAGGTGTCCTTAAGAAATGAAAGTTCAGAGAATTTAACTGGTTTGCCCAAGTCTATACAGTTAATAACTGTTAAAGCAGACAGCCTAACTCCAGAGTTTATGCTCTTAACCATTCAGTTATGTTCTAGGAGAAAATAAAGAAGGGTGGAGGTGGAGCAGTCTTAGCAATATTTGTTTTTTGTTTGTTTGTTTGAGATGGAGTTTCACTCTTGTTGCCCAGGCTGGAGTGCAATGGCACGATCTTGGCTCACCGCAACCTCCGCCTCCGGGGTTCAAGCGTTACAGGCATTCGCCACCACGCCTGGCTAATTTTGTATTTTTAGTAGAGACGGGGTTTCTCCATGTTGGTCAGACTGGTCTTGAACTCCCAACGTCAGGTGATCCGCAATGCCTCAGCCTCCCAAAGTACTGGGATTATAGGCATGAGCCACCATGCCTGGCCACAATATTTGACCTTTGTTTTTTTGTTTGTTTTTGAAATGGAGTCTCACTCTGTCACCCAGGCTGGAGAGCAGTGGCACAATGTCGGCTTCTGGGTTCAAGCGATTCTCCTACCTCAGCCTCCCAAGTGGCGCCCGCCCCCATGCCCAGCTAATTTTTGTATTTTTAATAGAGACAGGGTTTCACCATGTTGGCCAGGCTGATCCCAAACTCCTGACCGCACGTGATCCACCCGCCTCGGCCTGCCCAAGTGCTGGGATACAGGTGTGAGCCATAGCTCCCGGCCAGTATTTGACCTTTGAATATGTCACTTCACTAAGTAGGCATTACTGTCACCCTTGACATATGTAAATTTTATATTTCTTCAAATAATGTTTTATTCTCTCAGGATATGTGTCTAATATTTGTTTCTTTTGTATGATATATGTTAAACCTTATATGAATGTTTTCATCTGTTTCTACCACATCTCAGATGTTCTTGATAGGAATAATTTCTCTATAGTATTTAAAATACATCTTAATGTGTTCATTCCTGTTTTATTAATACTTTTAACTGTGTATCTTGGCTACTAAAGCACCATACCAATTCATTCCTATGGTGTGCCTTTTGAACTGTAAGTGGAGCAGGAAAAAGTTTCATTTAAAATGTATTTTGCTAAATTTAACAAGAAATCAAAGGTGTTTCCTGCTTATATTTTTTTCTTACTGCAGAGGTTTTAGTATATACCAAACTCCTGTGCATCAAAATGGCAAAAATCTAATCTGAGGCTTATAATAATCTTTTGATACCCTAATAAAGGTAAGCAAAACCATTTAAGAAAATTGATGTTAAAATAACCCAAATAAGCCTGTGTCTTAAGATAGACAAAAGAAACAATATATTGCTTTTGTATTTAAAGTAGTTTATTTTTACTAGAGTTTACTAATTTGTCGTATTGTACATCCTTTGTATATGTGGAAGGTATTCATTATTCTAATGTAACCATAAAGCAGAAAATCTGTAAAAGAGTAATATGGAAAGCTCTTTCCTCATTATGTTTGTAAATAGGGGACCCTAAAGTAAGAATAACAATGAAAATAAGACTCCTAATCTGAACGTAAATTAAGAAATGATACTGGCTTCCTTCCTAACCTTAATTTCTTAAATTTGAAGGCTTATACTTTTCTCCCTGCCCCACCACCACCACCAATAGTATTATTAAAATGAACAGGAGGTTAATTTCCTGGGAAACATATTGCCAAGGATACATGTTTCATGAGTGGGGTCTAGAATTTCACAAAAGCCTATCTCCTTTGATCATGGGAAGCTTCAGGATGAAGAATCAATTAACAACGTTTCCATTTTCCAGCTCATCTTCCAAAAGTGAGCCTAGAGACTGTACTTTGAAGTTACATTTCAAGACTCATTTTCTTACCCTCTCCTCTTTTATTTGGATGCTATTTGGAGTTGTCCTCTGCCCTTAAGCAGTTTCCAACTTCATTGTAATGTATTAGGCTCAGCAGTGGAGGGGAATGTAGGACTTTCTGAGCTCCCAGAGGAAGAAATAAACAGACTGTGGAAAAAGAGACTAGAAAGAAAAGATTCACAGAGGTATCCCAAGTTAAATGAAGATGAGTATGAGCTAGCTAGTTGGGGGAAAGGTAGCCCCAATAAAGTAACCAGTGTGTCTGAAGGCTTACAAAAGTTACATTGGAAGGTGACAGGAGTATACATTGGGCCAGTTAGTAAACGTTTTGTGAGCTTTGATTATATTATTCCAAGTTCTTATATTTGAATCAATATTTGATTATTCAAAACAAGTAAATTGCGTGAAAGTCTTGTCTTTCAGACAACTCATTCTGGCAGTAGTGTAGAAAAGGAATTGCAGGGGATTCAATGGAAGCAGAAAGCTCTGTTAGAAGTCTATGAGGATAAGTCCTGGCCAGTAGGTGTGAGGCCCTGAACTAAAAGCAGAGGCAGTGGAATAGATAGGAAAGAGGTTAAAGGTGGATATTGTGGAGTAAGTCAATGATTGGTGTTCCAGTTATCTATCTATCTATGCCCTAAAACATTGGCATATACGCAAGATTGCAGAAGACAAGGACAACATAGAAAAATTTATTGTATTTCTGTACAGAAGCAATGAGCAGACTGAAAATGAAATTAAGGAAGTGATTCCATTTATAATAACACCAAAAAGAAATAGGAATAAATTGAACAAAAGCAGTGCAAAACTTATACTTTGGAAACTACAAAACATAGTTGAAAGAAAATAAAGAAGACTTAGATAAATGGAAAAACATCCCATGTTAATGGCTTGGAACACTGAATATTAACCTGGTAGTACTCCCAAAATTGACCTACAGATTCCATGCAATCCCTATCGGAATTACAGCTGACTTTGCAGAAATCAACAAACTGGTCGTAAAACTCATATGGAAATGCAAGGGAACCAGGATAGCCAAAACAATTGAGAAAAAACAAATTGGAGGACTCACACTCCTGGTTTCAAGACTTACTACAAAGCTATAGTAATCAAGATGGTGATGATGGTATAAGAACAGACATATATATCAATAGAACAGAATTGAGAGTCAAAAAAGCCCTCATATTTATGGTCAGTTGATTTTCCTCAATGGTGTCACAACAAATGGGGAAAGAATTGTCTTTTCAGAGATGATATTGCTGGAACAATCAAACATCTACATGCAAAAGAATGAATTTAGACCCCTCACATGTACACAAAAATTAAAATGAATTAAGTGTAAGTGCAAAAACTATAAAACTCTTAGAAAAAAACATAGGTTTAAATATTTGTGACCTTGAATTAGTCAATGGTTTCTTAGATATGACAGCAGAAGCAGAAGCAACACAAGAAAGATAAATGGGGCCGGGCACGGTGGCTCACGCCTGTAATCCCAGCACTTTGGGAGGCCAAGGTGGGTGGATCACTTGAGGTCAGGAGTTCAAGATCAGCCTGGCCAACATGGTGAACCCCGTCTCTACTGAAAATACAAAAAATTAGCCAGACATTGTGGCGCACGCCTGTAATCCCAGCTACTCAGGAGGCGGAGGCAGAAGAATCCCTTGAACCAGGGAGTTGGAAATTGTAAAGGGCCAAGACCACACCACTGCACTTTAGCCTGGGCGACAGAGCGAGACTCCATCTCAAAAGAAAAAAAGATAAATTGGACTTTCTCAAAATTAAAAGCTTTTGTGCCTTAAGGTTTGTGCTATCAAAAAAGTGAAAATACTCATAGGATGGTAGAAAACAGTTGCAAATCATATGTCTGCTAAAGGACGTGTATCTAGAATATATATAAAGAGCTACTACATTTGTATAAAGAGCTATTTATACTACATGTATATAAAGAGCTACTCAAAAAGACAACACAATTATGGACAAAGACTCTGAATAGGCAGTTCTCCAAAGAGGATATACATGACCAATAAGCACATGAAAAGGTGCTCAACATCATTTGCCATCAGGGAAGTGCAAACCAAAACCACAGTGAGATACCACTTCACACCCACTAGGATGACTATCAACAAAAAGACAGATTATAACAAGTGTTGGCAAGGATGTGGAGAAACTGGAATCCTCATACATTGCTGGTGGGAATGTAAAATAGTGTAGTTCTTTGGAACATAGTCTAGTAGTTCCTCAAATGGTTAAACAAGGTTACCATATGATTTAGCAATTTCACTTCTAGATACTCACCTAAGAGAATACCAAGAGAAATCAAAATCTGTTCACCCAAAAGCTTGTGTATGAATGTCCAAACCAGAATTATTTATGATGGCCAAAAGGTGAAAAACACCCAAATGCCCATAAGTGATTAATGGAAAGATAAAATGTGTATTCATTCAATGGAATATTATTTGTCGATGAAAAGAATGAAATACTATACATGCTACAACATGGTGAACCTTTAAAACACTATACTAAGTGAAAGAAGCCAGTCACAAGGGACCACATTGTATGATTCCATTTATATGAAATGTCCAAAATAGGCAAACATGTACAGACAAAAACAGCAGATTAGTGGTTGCCTAAGGATATACGGATGGGAAAATTGGGGAGTGACAGCTAAGGGGGGATAGAATTGGGGGTAATGAACGTGTTCTAAAATTGTGATGGATACACAACTGAATATATTAAAAGCCAGTGAATTGTATACTTAAGTGAATTTTATGGTATGTGAATTATATCTCAGTAAAGCTATTTGAAAGAAAAACTTAATGGCAGACTGGCATGGTGATTCATGCCTGTAATCCCAACACTTTGGGATAACTTGAGCCTAGGAGTTCAAGGCCAGCCTGGGCAGCATAGCAAGACCCTGTCTCTTCAAAAAAAAATTAAAATTAGCTGGGCCTGGTGGTGAGCACCTGTACCCCTAGCTACTTGGGAGGCTGAGGTGAATGATCGCTTGAGCCCAGGAGTTTGAGCCTGCAGTTTGAGTTATAATTGGTTTTGGTGGGTGTATGTGCACCACTGAGACAGAAAAGTGCTACAAATTAGTGTTTCCTGGTTTGAGTATTAGAGCAAGGAACAAAGAAAAAAAATAGAATGGCATCAGAATTCTCTCTAAAGAAGGGGCTGCAGTCTTTTTGTGCTTAGTTTTGTTTTTTTGTTTTGCTGAGGTTTTAACATAAGGATTAAGCTGTTAGGGTGCTTCTCTCCCTGAGATGGCAGAATGAAAATTGAGACAAGAACATTCTCCTGCTGCAGTCAGGCAGCCCTCTCCCAGCCTGTTTCCTGAGGATTCCCAGGTTCCCATCACCATGTGACCTACTCCAGCAGAGGAGTGAAGGATGGTAGTCTAGGTCAGGAGGGTCACAGCACCATGAAAAGCCCAGGGATCTGTCATTTACTCTTCAAGAAGAGTAATTATAATTTGAAATACTTTAAATGACATGTTTTTGGAAGGGGAGAGGCACCTGAAATAAGCATAATTAGGGGCCCTCTGGCAACTCTCTTTTGTTCATATTGAGGATGAAATTCTTTGGGTTGAGCTGTTTAGAATCTCCTACTACTTCACTTTTTCTGTCTGTATCAACACAAAAGTTTGGGAAACTACAAACTCCAAATCAAATTTTCAGGTGTATTGTTGCCGACAGATTGTTATGCACATAAATGCTGATATGTAAAATCATGCCTTCATAGAAAACAGACAAAACAGACCCCATTACATGTTCCTGCTGCTTGAGGCTTTGTGGACTCTATTGGAAGATACACTTTTTTTTTTTAAGTAAAAAGTAGTATAAAGCATGTGAGTGGAAGGAGTATGCTTGTGTTTGTTGTTTTTGTTTATGTTATTTTTGCTGGCTGCAGCTGGTTAAGGGTTGATTACTTCAGTCTGGAGGAATCTGGGAAAACATGATCTTTGCACTTAGGCTAGTAGTTCAGGCAATATATATCAAATACCAAATTTGTTCAAATACTTTATAGGCTTTCTGTGGACAGAATTCCTTTATTGTTGTCTACTAATTGAATAGTTTTCTTACTCACATTGACGAAACTGCTGTGTTCCTTATATTTTACAGTTAGTTGGGAATAGATAGGCTTTAACAGGATACAGGGAGGAAGCATCAATAGCTAGCATAGAAACCGAAGAGCCCATCACTCTTCAACTTTACACAGAATCTGCTCAGATTTAATGACATCAACTTACTGCTGCTAGTGACCTAACTGGAACTTCCTGGCACCTTGTATAGTTTTAGTAATTTCAGAAATTACTGTATGTTACTTTTTTTTTTTTTAAGAGGCAGGGTCTCTCTGTCACCCAGGCTGGAGTGCCCTGATGTAATCATAGCTCATAGCTCACTGCAGCTCGAACTCCTGGGCTCACGGGATCCTTCAGCCTCAGCCTCCTGAGTAGCAGGGACTGCCCAGCTAATATTTCTTTTGTTTTGTAGAGACAGGGTCTCGTTATGTTGCCCAGGCTGGTCTCGAGCTCCTGGACTCAAGCAATCTTCCTGCCTTGGCCTCCCAAAGTGCTGAGATTACCATTGTGAGCCACTGTGCCTGGCCACTAGCTTCTTCTTGTTCCTGGCTTTGCTTTCTACCCTCATCTCATCTCAACATCACACACATACATACTCCACCGTATGCCAGGGTACTCTTGGGCCATTTGGTTGGACATACCCTGCAATTTCAGTCCAGGCCTTCAAACTTACTGTTTTTCTCTGCGGAGAACACTCACTCCTGTCTCTGCCTTTTTCCCTTCATCCATCCTCCCACCTTCTCTGAAAATAACTCTTTCTTGAATCTTCAAGTCTTAGCTTGTTCTTCTCTTCAAATTTTTGTGTTGGGTGCCCCTTCTTTGTGCTCTGAGTGTATCCTGTTCTTCCCCCATCATGGTACATAAGTATAATTGGCTATACTAAATTTTACTTATTTACCTGTCAGTAGCCTCTTAGGTAGGATCAATGTTTGTCTAACTCACCATTGTAACTCCAGCTCCCTGCTCTGTGCAACCTAAATATAATAAGAAATGTTCAATAAAAATTTGTTGAATAAATGAATAAAGGAACAAAGAGCTACTGGGTGTTTAAAATAAACTAGAATATTCAGACGAGACCCAGGTGCCTGTTCCTATCAGTCATTCATCCTTCTTGGCTGTAGCCACCAACCAGCACCTGTTTTTCTATCAAGAGAAGATTCATTCCGTAATAGAACTCCTGTAACAGGACCCTGCCATGCTGTCAATGAGCATATCTGCAAACCCTCTGTTACTGCCATTAGGATTCACTCCCTCACACATGGATCATTAATTGTAAGACTGCATATTTTGTCGCAGAATTAATGTAAGGTACTTATTCTGTATGGGTACCTAGCACAGTACGCTTTACAGTTGCATTGTTCCATAGATGTGTGCTGATAATTATAAACCCAGGGGACCTCCAGCAGCCCATCAGGATCTCTGCCAGTAGATCTTGCATGAAAGCCATTTTTCTCACCATATTGGTTATGCCTCTGACCAGCTCCAAGAGAAGGGCAAAAGTAGGGAGCTGACCGACTCTATCATCAGCACTGTCCATCTCTGTTCAGGGACTTCACTGCTGACTTCTGGGACAGTTTCTGCCCTCGCCTCACCCCTACCCCTACCCATTTGGAATCATAAAGTATCTAGGAAATAAAAAGTTGTTCTTACAGATAAAAATTAGGGACCTTTGAGAACCAGAGTTGCATAAGTCTAGGATAGGGCAATTGAATTTCTCCACTGGAAATGTAGTTGAAGATTCTTTATCTGAAAAATTGTTCATTTTAATGTAATAGGCCAGAGCACTATAACTAAAAAAACTGTGGTTAATTCTGCTTGCTGATTACTATTATCACTTTTCGGTCTGGTATTATAGACATATGCCTTCATCACCATAAGACTATTTTTATTTTTAAAAAGCATTCTGGTTTTGAGGGATAACTTTGGCTTAGGATATAAAACCAGTCTCCTAAATCTTGGATTTCCATAGCTTGTGACTGCTGTGTTGCCTAGAATATGAAACAGGTGGCCATCTCATGCCATTCATTTTCTTCTGTAAAATGATCTCCCTATGTGATATGGAAGTATTTTTGTAAGTGATATAAACACATTAAGAATGGAAGAGACTAAATATAATTACTTACTTTAAAATAGATAAAACATTTGTTTGTAGTGTGTATAATATACACACTTGTATGTTTCACCCTTTCCAGAACAAATATATGGTCACAGAAAGCTTAATATGATCATATTAAGTTGATCCTGTTTCTAATCCTGCATTAATCACAGCAAGGTCACACTGAAATCATCTAGTAATTAGTCAACATAATAATAATAGTTCCTTTTTTTTTTTTTTTTTTGAGACAAGGTTTCACTCTTGTTGCCCAGGCTGGATAATGGTGCGATCTCAGCTTACTTCAACCTCCACTTCCCGGGTTCAAGTGATTCTCCTGCCTAAGCCTCCCAGGTAGCTGGGATTATAGGCACCTGCCACCACGCCTGGCTAATTTTTGTATTTTTAATAGAGATGGGGTTTCACCATGTTGGCCAGGCTGTTCTCGAACTCCTGACCTCATGATTCGCCTGCCTCGGCCTCCCAAAGTGCTGGGATTACAGTTGTGAGCCACCACGCCTGGCCAATAGTTCCATTTATTGATTGCTTTTCACTTGCCTATAGCTGTGGTAGGTGCCTTATTTACATTCTCTCATTTAATCCTCATACAATCCTGGGAGATAAATAAGTACTCTAGTTCCTTTTTCCACATGCAGAAACTAAGGCTCAACATGAAGCCACTTGGACAAGGTCTCACTGCTAGTAATTGACACAGCCAGGATTCAAACCCTGGTTTGACCCCATATCCTGTGTGTGTGTTCTTAACCCCTGCACTGTTTTAACTGTTGAGTCAAAGCTAGACAGAAATTTGTTAGTATCGTGATAAATGGACATACCATTTCTGCTTCTGGAAAGTCGCTAATGACTAATAGCCACAAAGGAAGCATTATGCTTTGTTTTCTAAGAGCTTTACTAGACTACTTATTTAATGCAAATGCTATTCCCCTGAGATAGGCCAGCAGCTCTCAAACTTGCGGCACATCGGAATGACATCACAAGCTTGTAAACATGGAACTGCCCAGGGCCCCATTCCAGACCAACCGAGTTAGAATCTCCAGGGGTGGGGCCCAGGCATCTGATGTTTATTACACTCCCCGGGTGATTCTCACACACACATAAGTTTGAGAATCATTGAGGTCTGTGAGTGGTAGGGTTTTGTTATTGTTTTAGGAATTACAATGTTCAGGTTTGTCAGTTTAGTCAGGGCCTCACAGGAAGTTTGGGAATAGCAAAATTATAACTAACAAATTATAAATCATCTTGTCTAATTTTATAGTATAATTGTCAATTGGCAACATCTGCAGTATGACCTATTAAAATGGAACTCATTGAATTTTTATTTTTTTCTCATTGAAAGATTCTGTATCCACAGAAATGAAAAAAAAAAATCCTAAAATGTACATGGAATCACAGAAGACCCCAAATAGCCAAAGTTATACTAAGCAAAAAGACCAAAACTGGAGGAATCACATTATCTGACTTCAAATTGTACTACAGAGCTGTAGTAATCAAAAGAGCATAGTACTGGCATAAAAACAGACTCATAGACCAATGGAACAGAATAGAGAACTCAGAAACAAATACACATACCTACAATGAACTCATTTTCAACAAAGAGGCCAATAACATACACTGGGAAAAGAGTCTCTTCAATAAATGGTGCTGGGAAAACTGGATATCCATATGCAGAAGAATGAAACTAGACCCATATCTCTCACCGTGTAGCAGGACAAGCCGCAGACAAAACTCCTCAGACACCGAGTTAAAGAAGGAAGAGGTTTATTTGGCCGGGAGCATTGGCAGGACTCCTGTCTCAAGAGCTGAGCTCCCTGAGTTAGCAATTCTTGTCCTTTTTAAGGGCTCACAACTCTAAGGGGGTCCACGTGAGAAGGTGGTGATCGATTGAGCAAGCAGCGGGCACGTGACAGGGGCTGCCTGCACCAGTGGTCAGAGTGAAACAGAACAGACCGGCAAGTTTTACAATGTCTTTCTGTAATCTATAGATAACATCGGTTGCTAGGTCAGGGGTCGAATTTTAACTACCAGGCTTAGGTCAGGCAGGCCTAGGCCTGGTTTCGGGTCTGGTTCCTAGGCACCAGGCTACCTGCCTTTAGTTTTGCTTCTCTTTCCTTTTCTGAGTATAAAACAATATGAGAGGGTCTGTCTCTCTTCTCTCAACCATACACAAAAATCAAATCAAAATGGATTAAATACTTAAACCTAAGACTTCAAACTATGAAACTACTACAAGAAAACACTGGGGAGGCCAGGTGCAGTGGCTCACGCCTGCAAACTTAGCACTTTGGGAGGTCAAGGTGGGCAGATCTCTTGAGCTCAGAAGTTCAAGACCAGCCTGAGCAAACATGGCGAAACCCTGTCTCTAAAAAAAATTCAAAAAATTAGCTCGGTGTGGTGGCTTGCCCCTGTAGTCCCAGCTACTCAGGAGGCTGAGGTGGGAGGATCGCTTGAGCCCAGGAGGTGGAGGTTGCAGTGAGCCAAGATCAAACCACTGCAATCCAACCTGGGTGACAGAGTGAGACCCTGTCTAAAAAAAAAAAAAAGGAAAAGGAAAAAAAATACACTGGGGAAACTTTCGGATATTGGTCTGGGCAAAAATTTCTTTAGTAATACCCCACAAGCACCGGCAACCAAAGCAAAAATGGAATGGACAAATGGCATCACATCAAGTTAAAAAGCTTCTGCACAGCAAAGGAAGCAATCAGTAAAGTGAACAACCTAGAGATTGGGAGAAAATATTTTCAAATTACCCATCTGAAAAGGGATTAATAACCAGAATATAAAAGGAGCTCAAACAACTCTATGGGGAAAAAAATTTAATAATCTGATTGGGCAAAAGATTTTAATAGACATTTCTCAAAAGAAGACATACAAATGGCAAACAGGCATGTGAAAAAGTGCTCAACATCACTGATGATGACTGAAATGCAAATCAAAACTACAATGAGAAATAATCTCACCCCAGTTAAAATGGCTTTTATCCAAAAGGCAATAACAAATGCTGACGTGTATGTAGAGAAAAGGGAACTCTTCTAACTGTTGGTAGGAATGTAAACTAATACAACCACTATGGAGGACAGTTTGCAGGTTCCTCAAAAAATTAAAAATAGAGCTACCATACGACCCAGCAATCCCACCACTGGGTATATACCCCAAAGAAAGGAAATCAGTATATTGAGGAGATATCTGCACTCCCATGTTTATTGCAGCTCTATTCATCATAACCAAGATTTGGAAGCAACTTAAGTGTCCAGCAACAGATGAATGGATAAAGAAAATGTGGTACTTACACACAATGGAGTACTATTCAGCCATAAAAAGAATCCTGTCATTTGCAACAACATGGATGTAACTGGAGGTCATTATGTTAAGTGAAGTAAGCCAGGCACAGAAAGACAAACATCACATGTTCTCACTTACTTGTGGGATCTAAAATTCAACACGATTGAACTGATGGACATGGAGAAAAGAAGGACGGTTACTAGAGACTGGGAAGGGCAATGAGGGACTGTGGGGGTGATGGGAATGTTTAATGGGTACCAAAAGAAAAATAGAAATAATGAATAAGACATAGTATTTGATAGCACGAAATGGAGACTATAATCAATAATTCAGTTGTACATTTAAAAATAACAAAGAGTGGCCGGGCGCGGTGGCTCACGCCTATAATCCCAGCACTTTGGGAGGCTGAGGTGGGTGGATCACATGAGGTCAGGAGTTCGAGACCAGCCTGGCCAACATGGTGAAACCCCATCTCTACTAAAAATACAAAAAAATTAGCCAGGTGTGATGGTGGGCGCCTTGTAATCCCAGCTACTCAGGAGGCTGAGGCAGGAGAATCGCTTGAATCCAGGAGGCCAAGGTTGCAGTGAGCTGAGATAACCCCTGCACTCCAGCCTGGGCAACAGAGCGAGACTCCGTCTCAAAAACAAAACAAAACAAAGAGTATAATTGGAATGTTTGTAACACAAAGGTAATGCTTGAAGGAATGGATACCCCATTTTTCATGATGTGATTATTATGCATTGCATGCCTGGATCAAAATATCTCACATAACCCATAAATATATATACCTACTATGTACCCACAAAAATTAAAATAAAATTTTTTTTTAAAGATTGTGTATTAATGATAACAGCTAGCACTCTGTTTTGTATGTGTTTCATCTTTTTCACTTGGCATGTGAGAAATGATGGTTGTTTTTCCGTAACCACTGTTAATAAACTCTCAGTTTAAAACAACTGTTCAGACTCCAAATAAAGAACCGCAAACTCCCAAGATTAAAGTGATCATGCACAGCCATATGTTACTTGAATTCTCTTTTACAGCATCTCCACCAAGTGGCTAAGTGGCTTATTCCTGCCAGGAATTCCTGACCACGCCCTGGGAATGATCTATTCTGTCTGACTTAGAAAGCTCTTCCTTATAATAAGATTTAATCTATTTCTCTAGAGCTGCCATACATTAGTCCTTTTTTAAACCTTCTTATCAGAACTTCTTATCAAATCAGCCAAAACCTTTACTCAAGAAGATGACTCGATTGCAGTTTTCTGGAAGTTCACAGGATGCCCTCACTATCTGATGTAAGCTATGTTTATTCCATGGCCAGGTCATCTGTCAGGCTATTTTCTGTACAGTTGCACATGTAATTATAGGATTTGGGCTGGGCACGGTGGCTCACGCCTGTAATCCCAGCACTTTGGGAGGCTGAGGCAGGCAGGTCACTTGAGGTCAGGGGTTCAAGACCAGCCTGGCCAACATGGTGAAAACCTGTCTCTACTAAAAATACAAAAAGTGGCCAGGCATGGGGGTGCACGCCTGTAGTCCCAGCTACTTGGCAGGCTGAGGCAGGAAAATCACTTGAACACGGAGGCAGAGGTTGCAGTGAGACCAGATCATGCCACTGCACTCTGGCCTGGGTGACAGAGCCAGACTCCATCTCAAAAAATAAAAATTACGGCACTTAAACTAAATTCATGATTCATATTGTTTCTTTATAAATTTTAGTAATTCTTTATAGAGACATTTTTTCTTGGGTGTTGAAATATAGAGGCTCAAATGACAGAAAAAGGAATGTGATCTTATATTCTGTCAAAGCATTCTAAATGTTCCATTTATATTATAATTAGCATGTAGCAACCAGATTTAAAGTTTAAGAAGTCGTTTGCTTTGTTTCTGAGTTGTTCAGAACTTTCTAAAAACCCTGTGGTTGTTAATAGGTATCTTCTAAATGAAAAATATATGGTACATCTGGTTCCTGTGATTCACTTGCTCCTTTGAAGCTAGAAAGAAAAAGAACATTTGGGCCGATCACAGTGGCTCATGCCTTGGGAGGCCAAGGCGGGCTGATTGCCTGAGCTCAGGAGTTCGAGACCAGCCTGGGCAACACCGTGAAATCCTATCTCTACTAAAAAATTGGCCAAGCGTGGCGGCGTGCGCCTGTAGTCCCAGCTACTCAGGAGGCTGAGGCAGGAGAATCGCTTGAACCCGGGAGGTGGAGGTTGCTGTGAGCTGTGATCGCACCACTGCACTCCAGCCTGGGCGACAGGGAGAGACTCCATCTCCAAAAAAAAAAAAAAAAGAAAAAGAAAAAGAACATTTGGGTCCTCACTACCCGAGAACTCCTAATGCTCCTTCCTCAAGGTATGTACACTTTTTTCACCACCCTTTTCCAGACCAGAACTTGACTTAGAGCCTAAGAAAAGAAGAGTGAATGCATTGCTAACCAGCTGCCCAAATGATTGCCATTTAACCTTCAAAGCTCTGCATTCAATTAGAGTCAAATGCAGGCAGTAACTAAGATAACAAGTCAGGGGAGTATTGGGAAGGGGCATTTTCCTGGTAGGCCTTCCTTGCTGTAGGTATATTTGGGTATAAGTCTGAATATTAGAGGAAAAGCCAGACCCTACTATGACCATTCAGATAGACCAGCCAGGTTGAGCACTGAAAACCCTAATCACAGATGAAAATGACATGATATACTAGCATAAAGAGAATTTGCAGTCTGATTATAACTTATGATGAAAGTTATGAGGTATGCACCCAGGAGACCGTCCCTTCTCCAATATCCTTTTTCCTGAGGTAGAATGACAGGCCAGCATTTTCCTCTGTTTCCCTTGAGGCTTCCAGATTTGGTCCTGTCATGAATCTTCTTTTCTGAAACTGTAGTGATCTCTTTTTGTTACTCTCAGTCCATCTATCCAAGATATTTTGCCACCCTTTCTTTAGCATCTGGTTCTACCTAGTCTCCTACCCTCATTGATGACATCTAGATTCAAGTTAATTCTTCAGGTTTAAAACAAAGTACAGAAAAGAAACATACATATGAGTCACTTGTATTTACAAGAGAAGACTGTGAATTTATAGACATGAGCTGACAACTAAAAAAGTACCCCTGTGGGAAATTATATATGTATACATCTGCTTTTGCAACAAGGGACTGAATGATTGATATTTAAACTGCAATTGTACCTGTGTTAAAGTCTAACTTTGGGAAAATTATAGGTAAAAATGTATCCATTTGTATCATTAAACTTTCTAGGGTTAACACCATACAAACTAACAGAGTACACGGTTTTTATAATTAAAAAACAAGAAGAGGCAGGGTGTGGTGGCTCCCACCTGTAATCCCAGCAGTTTGGGAGGCCGAAGCAGGCGGATCACTTGAGGTCAGGAGTTCGAGACCAGGCTGGCCAACATGGCGAAACCACATCTCTACTGAAAATATAAAAAATTAGCCAGGCGTGGTGGCGTGTGCTTGTAATCCCAGCTACTCTGGAGGCTGAGGCAGGAGAATCGCTTGAACCTTGGGGCGGAGGTTGCAGTGAGCCGAGATCGTGCCACTGCACTCCAGCCTGGGCAATGGAGCAAAACTCTGTTTCAAAAAACAACAACAAACAAAACAAACAAGAAAAGCAGCAATGGAAAATTATGACCAACTAACAACAACACTGCTGATCCAGTTTCAGATAGCATCTTGTCTGAAAATCATAGGAATTCCAACCATCTGCCTCTGCCCATTAATTGTGGGAGCTCAGCAATCTGCCAACTATTGTATGGCTGCCAGTCTTACCCGTAGAATTCTGAATTAGAGTCTTCAACAAACCAAGGCCAGCATTCCCATTAGGCACAGTAAATACAGGGCCTAGCGCCAATGATACTTTCAGGGCTCCACAAAAATGTCTTAATTCCTTTTAAAATAAGAAACAATAGTGAATATACAATAATGAATCTGCCTGTAGTATATTTATCCTTATCTCAGTGCAGCAATAAAATATAATTTTTAATTTTTTTATGGAGGAAAGTGATCTACAAAGGCAAAAGTGCTTAGGACCCCCCCAAAATTGTGACATAGCCCTGTGGTAAACTCTCATACTCTGCTAATTTAGCTCATGAATACCAAATTTACATCCTTAATAACTCATAAGATATAGCATTGTTGTGAGCGAGAATAAAAAGAATGAGATCCTATAGTGCTATGTGAAACTTTATGAAGCTGTTTGTCATATGATAAAAACTGAAAAAGAATTTATATTTTAGCATCTGGACTGGAGGATCCTCAAAGCCCACCCAGGAACAAAAGGCCATACATAATCTCAGGTCTCCTCCTTTCCTACTTAAAGTGGCTCCATCCGCTAGTAGCATGAAGGAGCGTCTTAGAAATGCAGAACCTGTTTGGGCCAGGTGTGGTGGCTCATGCCTATAATCCCAGCACTTTGGGAGGCCAAGACGGGCAGATCACCTGAGGTCAGGAGTTCGAGACCAACCTGGCCAACGTGGTGAAACCCTGTCTCTACTAAAAATACAAAAATTAGCCAGGTATAGTGGAACATGCCTGTAATCCCAGCTACTCGGGAGGCTGAGGCAGGATAATAGCTTGAACCCAGGAGGCAGAAGTTGCAGTGAGCTGAGATCACACCATTGCACTCCAGCCTGGGTGACAAGAGTGAAACTCCGTCTAAAAAAAAAAAAGAAAGAAAGAAATGCAGAATCTCAGGCCCTATCCAGGCCTTCCTAATTAAAGTGTACATTTTTTACAACATTTGCAGGTGATATGTATGTATGTGAAAATTGAGAGGCGCTGTCAGTTTTAGAAGAATCTATACCTAGGAAAATATTCTCCATTCTAAAGGAGAGGACTGGCCAGGCGCAGTGGCTTACGTCTATAATCCCAACACTTCAGGAGGCCAAGGCAGGTGGATCACCTGACGTCAGGAGTACAAGACCAGCCTGGCCAACATGGTAAAACTCTGTCTCTACTAAAAACACAAAAACTAGCAGGGCATGGTGATGTGTGCCTGTAATCCCAGCTTCTAGGGAGGCTGAGGCAGGAGAATCACTTGAACCCGGGAGGCAGAGGTTGCAGTGAGCCAAGATCACACCACTGCACTCCAGCCTGGGCGAAAGAGCAAGAAGACTCCATCTCAAAAAATAAAAATAAAAATAAAATTAAATAAAGGAGAGGACTGCTCCAAAAGCAGTATCGATACAATATATTTTCTTGACCCCTTTGTAGGACTCATGACAGGGGTGCCCCATTTACTCAGCCCACTCTGCTCAAGCCCTTGCTGGATGGAGCACATGAGCAAAGGAGTGTGGGAACCAGCCGGTCACTTCAGCGCCAGTGGGAGCAAACTCTGTTCACTAGGGTTTGCAACCATGTTCCACCCCTTGCTGGAGGGAGTGCATAGGTGACTGAGTGCAGTAACCAGCTCACTGCTTTAGCGCCAGCAGAAGTGAATTCTGTGCAGGCCCCAAGGCAGTGTCCAGGTGAGAGTGCCTGTGACCCCAAGGCCTTAGAGGGCGTGTTACAATGCTCACTTAGCTCTGCCATCCACAAACAGCAGTGTGTTATCAGCTCAGTGGGCATTTTGCCTCATTGAGTGGGGTGGCTGCCCTCCACCGGCGAGGGCAAAGGGCCAGTGTGACAGCCTTTTTGGCTACCTGCACTTGGTGCATACTGAATTCTTGTCCAGTGCCCAGGGGGAATAAGGTCACACAGAAAAATTGAAGGATGGTGAATGCAGAGAATTTTATTGAGCAACAAAAGCAGCTCTCAGCAGAGAGGAGAGCTGGAAAGGGTTGAGAAGGGCAGGTTGCTCTCCCCTAAAACCAAGTGACCTCTCTACCTCTCTCTTCTGAAGTCAAGTTGCCTCTTTCCAACATCCAGCCATCATCTTTGAAGTCAAGTTACCTCTCCCCGACATCAGCTTATTCTCTTCTCTACTGGCTGAGTCTGGGGTCTTTATAGGCACAGTATGGCGGGTGGGGCGGGCAGTAGGTGGTTTTGGAAAAGGCAACATTAGATTAGTAAAAATACATTATTCAGAAAGAACCAATTGAGAGACAGCGGGCACACAGGGATGGAAGTTCTCACTTTGGGCCATGGGTTTCAGGCTTTTGGGCTCAAAAATGGGGTTGTGCCAGGGACCTGCCCCTGTCTGCCCAGAGTTTATCTGCCTCCTGCCTCTATCAATATGATTGAGTAAACAGACAAACAAATCCTTGACCAACAACTCTACCCACAGGACATGAGTAGTCCAGATCCCACAAGAAGCAGAGAAATCTCCCAACAAATGCAGAAAAGGTAGTCATAAAAAGACAATAAGAAAACTACAAAATTCTTAGAAGAAAACATATGGGGAAAGCTTCATGAGAATGGATTTAGAAATGATTTCATGCCAGGTGTGATGGCTCATACCTGTAATCTCAGCACTTTGGGAGGCTGAGGCAGGCAGATCACTTGAGCTCAGGAGTTCAAGACCAGCCTGGCCAACATGATGAAGCCCCGTCTCTACTAAAAATATAAAATTTAGCCAGGCATTGTGGCCCGTGACTGTAATCCTAGCTACTCAAAGGCTGAGGCAGGAGAATAGCTTGAACCTGGGAGGTGGAGGTTGCAGTGAGCTGAGATTTTACCACTGCACTCCAGCCTGGGTGACAGAGCGAGACTCCATCTCAACAACAACAACAACAACAACAAAAAGAAATTATTTCTTAGACATGACACATCAAGAAGAGCACAGATAACCAAAATAAAATAAAAACAAATAAAATGAACTACATCAAAATTAGAAATTTCTGTGCATTAAAGGGCACAATCAACAGAGTGAAAAAACAACCTACAGAATGGAAAAAAATATTTGCAAATCATACATTTGATATGAAGTTAATATTCAAAAAATATACAATACTCCTACAATTCAACCACAAAAAATCCTATTTAAAAATAGGCTAAAGGCTAGACATGGTAGCTCACACCTGTAATTCCACCAGTTAGTTTGGCAGGCTGAGGCAGGAGGACTGCTTGAGCTCAGAATTTGAGACTAGCCTGGGCAACATTTTTTTTCCTGTCTCCACAGAAAATAAACAATTAGCCAGGTGTGGTGGTACATGCCTGTAGTCCCAGCTACTTGGGAGGATGAGGTGGGTGGATTGCTTGAGCCCAGGAGATTGAGGCCATAGTGAGCCATGATTATGCCACTGCACTCCAGCCTGGGAAAGTGAGCAAGACCCTGTCTCAAAAAGAAAAAGAAACACAACAGAAAATAGTGTTAGCGAGGATGTGGAGAAACTTGTGTACTCTTGGTGGGAGTGTAAAATGGGGCAGCCACTATGGAAGACAGTATGACAGTTTTAATAAAAACTGAAAATAGAATTACTATATTATCCAGCAATTCCACTTCTAGGTATATACCCAAAAGAAGTGAAGGAAAGCACTTGAACAGATATTTGTATACCTATGTTCTTAGCAGCATCATTCACAATGGCCAAAAGATGGAAGCAACCCAAGTGTCCATCGACAGATGAATGGATAAACAAAATATAGTACATACATTCAATGTAATTTATTCAGTCTTTAAAAAGAAAAAAATTTGGACACATGCTAGAACATGAATGAACATTGAGGTCATTATCCTGAGTGAAATAAGCTATTCACAAAAAGACACATGCTGTATGATTCCACTTGTATGAGTTATTTAAAGTAGTCAAATTCACTGGGTGCGGTGGCTCACACCTGTAATCCCAGCACTTTGGGAGGCCAAGGCAGGTAGATCACGAGGTCAGGAGTTCAAGACCAGCCTGGCCAATATGGTGAAACCCCATCTCTACTAAAAATATAAAAATTAGCCAGGAGTGGTGGCGTTCACCTGCAGTCCCAGCTACTCAGGAGGCTGACGCAGAAGAATTCCTTGAACCTGGGAGGCAGAGGTTGCAGGGAGCCGAGATCATGCCACTGCACTCCAACCTAAGTGACAGAGAAAGACTCCATCTCAAAAAAAAAAGTAGTCAAATTTACAGAAGCAGAAAGAATGGTGGTTACCAGAGGCTGTGGGGAAATGGGGAGTTTAATGGGTATAGTTTCAGTTTTGCAAGATAAAAAATTTCTGGAGATTAGTTTTACAACAACGATAACTTAATACAACAGTGACATACCTAACACTACTGAAATGTACACTTAAAAATAGTTGAGATGGTAGGCCGGGCGCGGTAGCTCACACCTGTAATCCCAGCACTTTGGGAGGCCAAGGTGGGGGCATCAAGAGGTCAGGAGATTGAGACCATCCTGGCCAACATGGTGAAACTCCGTCTCTACTAAAAATACAAAAAGTAGCTAGGCGTGGTGGCAGGTGCCTGTAATCCCAGCTACTCAGGAGGCTGAGGCAGGAGAATTGCTTGAACCTGGGAGGCGGAGGTTGCAGTGAGCTAAGATCACGCCACTGCACTCCAGCCTGGCAACAGAGTGAGATACCATTCCCCCACCAAAAAAATAAAATAAAAAATAGTTGAGATGGTAAAATTTTATCATCTACCCATTTGCACATTGATGATAGTAAATTTTTATTTATTTTTCTGAGACAAGGTCTCGCTCTGTTGCCCAGCTGGAGTGCAGTGGTGCACCCTCAGCTCACTACAATCTCTACCTTCTGGGTTCAAGTGATTCTCCTGCCTCAGCCTTGCAAGTAGCTGGGATTACAGGGGTGTGCCACCATGCCCAGCTAATTTTTGTACTTTTAGTGGAGACAGGGTTTCACCATGTTGGCCAGGCTAGTCTCGAACTCCTGAGCTCAGGCAATCCACCCGCCTCAGCCTCCCAAAGTACTGGGATTGCAGGCGTGAGTCACTGTGCTCAGCCCACAGTTTTTTTTTGTTTGTTTGTTTGAAGTAAAACCCTAATCGAGGCATGAAGGAGATCCAGCTTTTGCATTTATTATGTAGAGATGTAAATAGAGCACTAATGCTTTGTAAGGGCTGGCATGTGAGGCAGCAACACAGAGACTATACAAGGAGGGCTTTGGATGTCGTGTGTGGAGCTGGAGTTTAACTACTGTGCTTAAGTTTTGTGACTGGTCTTAGAGCCAGTCCTTTAGCCTAGGTCCCCCGTAGTGCATTGAACATCCCTATACCTGTACCACAGGCCATTTGAGAAGCAGGGTTCACCAGGCGAGCAGAGCCTAAAAGCACAAAGCATAGTCAGTGCAACATAACTCCTTCCCCCTAACGTTTTCACTTCTTAGTCAGTATTGTTCAATTATAGTAACTAACAATATTTACAGTTTAGCATTTACAGAGCACTTTAGAATATCTCCGGATGTTTGCAATTGTATAACATTTCTTAATATCAAAGATGATTGCCTCCTCTTCATGTTTATAAGTTATTTAGCATGTCTTCACACTTTCACAATTTATTTTACTTATGTTTTTCACAGAATTTGGTGGAAGGGATAAGAATTTAGAGTAAAATGAGGAAAGTGAAATCTTTCCATTATAATTTATTTTTGCAGGACACTGAGGCAAGTTAGGATTCATCTTGAACTCCCTCTGAGAATGACGGATGACCCATCCGATTTCAGAGGACTTCATAGGGAACTTCAGAAAGCCAAATCCACAGTCCTAGTGGATGACAAGCATTTAAAAATATTATGGGAATTGGCTCCAGTTTACTGGAGTGAAAAAGATTAGCTAGTCTACTTGAAGTAAATGAGATTTGAAAACTTAAAGCTCAAAAATCACTTAAAGTAAATGAGGTATTTGGAGATTAGAGCGGCTGAAGTTTCCCAAGCATTCTGCTAGTGTTACTCTATTTTAAAAAATACCACAAACCCATTGATTTAAATATAAAAGAGAAGTGGCTAAAGGTATAATCCTCGTTACTTTATAGTCATACCTTATAACTGACTACCTCTTACTTGTAAATAGATAGCCAATGTGTGAAGAATAGTTTAAAAAGCACCATTATATCAGTGCTGACAAGCAGAATACTGAAAGAGAGCGGGGAAAGGCCGAAACTATCCCCAAAGATGTTGCTTTAAATGATCATGAAAAGTCCAGATAGAGATGATAACTGTTTTTTGACAGATTCCAATTTTAAGAGTTCAAAGTAAATTCTATTATATATTTTTAGCAAGTTTACTTCCCCCTTTATTTTGAAAAACAGCTTTATACGTTCCTGACTATAAAAATGTTGCCCAAAACAGAAACTTAAAAAGAATACTGGATAAAAAAGAAGTATTACCTGTAAACCCCAGAGTTAACTTTTGTTGGTATAATTGAACATTTATAAAAATTCCTAAAGCATGGGTTTTGAGATTTGTTTCTGTGCCTATCTTTGTTCACCCCCTTGTGGCCATGATATGAAGTCAAGAGCTAGGCAGCAAAAAAAGAAGAGGGAGAAAAGTGAACAGCTTGGATAGTAAACTGATCACTTCTCACTTTAACACTATTTGCAATAATTAACATATGTAGAACATAGTTCTACTTGAAATACATATGGGTCAGAGTCTTGGCAGGAAAGAAAGGGAACACTCAAAAGGGGCAATTGTAAACTATCCCTTCATTAGAATTTTTGAAGTATGGGGAGCTGCTTCAGTTAACTATGCAGTTAAGAGAAACTGCAAGGGGTGTGTTACTGATAGCTCCCATTGGCTGAACCCAACAGGAAGCCAGAAGGAAATGGAACTGAATTTTTGCAGCCCTTAAAGGTCCACCCTTCCAGGTCACAAAGCAGGGTAAGAGTAGAAAGTGATCTGGCTGGGCCGGGTGCAGTGGCTCACACCTGTAATCCCAGCGCTTTGGGAGGTTGAGGTGGGTGGATCCCAAGGTCAAGAGATTGAGACCATCCTGGCCAACATGGTGAAATCCCGTCTCTACTAAAAATACAAAAATTAGCTGGGCGTGGTGGCACGCACCTGTAGTCCCAACTACTTGGGAGGCTGAGGCAGGAGAATCGCTTGAACCCGGGAGGCGGAGGTTGTAGTAAGCTGAGATCACGCCACTGCAACAGAGTGAGACTGACAACAGAGTGAGACTCCGTCTAAAAAAAAAAAAAAAGTGATCTGGCTGGACAAACTGAGCCAGTCCAGCACAAAATCTTTCTAAAATATTTTATTATAATTATAGTTTCTTTTATAAAGCATGAGTCCAAGGGCTACATTATGGGAAAACACATAATTTGGAGTTGAATCTCTATACAATTCCTCTGGCCTACCTGGAAAATAGTAGAGATAACAGAATTTTGCACTACCTGAAAACGTTACTCAGGCTTTTCTTCTCCATGTAGTGCCTATAGAGGTATAAGCCTGGCATGTGAGGGGTTTGAAGCATTGGATAGTTTAGTATGAGTGACAATAAGGGAAGGGAAGAAAGGAAGGCAGAAATGGGGATACAGAGACTTCAGTTACTGTTCACTGCTGGTCCTCATCCACCTTTTGTCCCACTGCAAAGTAAACTTCCCAGCTCCTACCTGGGGAAATATGACGAGCACTGATTACTTGTTAGTCAAACTGAACAAGTGTCAAGGCCGGGCATGGTGGCTCATGCCTGTAATCCCAGCACTTTGGAAGTCCAAGGCGGGCGAATCACCAGAGGTCAGGAGTTCGAGATTAGCCTGGCCAACGTGGCAAAACCCTGTCTCTACTAAAAACACAAAAAGAAGCCAGGCATGGTGGTGCGCGTCTGTAGTCCCAGCTACTCGGGAGGCTGAGGCAAGAGAATTGCTTGAACCGGGAGGTGGAGGTTGCAGTGACCTGAGATCACGCCGTTGCAGTGAGCTAAGATCACGCCATTGCACTCCCGCCTGGGTGACAGAGTGAGACTCTGCCTCAAAAAAAAAAAAAAAAAAAAAACTGAACAAGTGTCTAAGATACCACCAGCAAAGAAGGGTCACCAAACATATACAGAAAAAAAAAATCAGGAAACTTGGGATGAAGCTGTTTTTATTTCAGCATATTTCTAAATTTTGCAATTTTTGAAATCATTTTTGAAAAGTAAAATTTTATTAATAGTTTAGAAAGTGTAATGGTCAGAGGGCTGTAGCACATTATAATCCTTTGTCCCATTCCATTATTTCTCAAATAATCTTTTTACTACGGTTTCAACAATGCTTACTTCTGCTCTGGTTGGGACTGAAACAAAGGCCTCAGGGCTCAGCTCAACATGTACTGATTTTAAAATCAGCACTTTGTATTTCAAAATCAGGATTTTGAGGCTTTTATCCTTCATGATAACTATCCTTGGCTGAACACATGGCTTTATTCCTCTTTAGCTGCTCTCCATTAATCCTACAATACAACTTAGATTTAATTCACCATATGGCAGAAGATGGATTAAAAAACCAAGAAGAGGCCCAGCGTGGTGGCTCACGCCTGTCATCCCAGCACTTTGGGAGGCCAAGGCAGGCGGATTACCTGAGGTCAGGAGTTTGAGACCAGCCTGGCCAACATGGTGAAACTCCGTCTCTACTAAAAGTACAAAAATTAGCCAGGCGTGGTGGCACACATCTGTAATCCTAGCTACTCAGGAGGCTGAGGCAGGAGAATTGCTTGAGCCTGGGAGACAGAGGTTGCAGTGAGCCAATATCGTGCCACTGCACTCCAGCCTGGCTGACAGAGCAAGACTCTGTCTCAAAACAAACAAGCAAGAAGAGCCAGGCATGGTGGCTCACGCCTGTAATTCCAGCACTTTGGGAGGCCGAGGCAGGTGGATCACCTGAGGTTAGGAGTTCGAGGTCAGCCTAGCCAACATGGTGAAACCCTGTCTCTACTAAAAATACAAAAATTAACTGGGTGTGGTGGCAGGTGCCTGTAATCCCAGCTACTCGGGAGGGTGAGACAGGAGAATCGTTTGAACCTGGGAGGCGGAGGTTACAGTGAGCCGAGATCACGCCACTGCACTCCAGCCTGGGCAACAAAGAGTGAAACTCTGTCTCAAAAAACAAACAAACAAACAAAAACTGAGATATCACTTTTAATTTATTTGCTTGGCAAAAATAACATTTGATAGCTCATTGTTGGTGAGGGTATGAAGAAGCAAGTTATCTTACACATTGCTGGTGAGAGTGAAAGTTGCAACAACTTCTGTGGAAGAAGATTTCACAATATCATCAAAATTACAAAGGCACATACTCTTTGATCTAGCAATTCTACTTTCTACTAGTACTAATTACGCTACATATATACACCTGTGGAAATCACATGGCAAAAGAAATTCACTTCAGCAAAATTAGGAATAGTAAAATAGGACACAATCTTAATGTTGCTCGATAGAGAATCAGTCCATCCATAAGCTGGAACATTTTGCAGCCATAAAAAGGAACTATGAAGCTTTTTATGTACGAATAAAGGATGATTTCCAAGATATATTTAGTAAAAAGAGCAAAGTGCGGAAGTGCATTTATAGTATACTTTGGAAATATGTATGTAAAACAGTACACATTATAGTTATATATAATCATATGTTAGGTAATACATTATTATATATTAGTGTATTTTATATTAAACAATTTATTTCTAGAATGTTATTTGTATATAAGTTAAATAAATATATATTTTGCCCCTTTTTTCACACAACTGGTAGCATACTATATATATACATATATATGTATATATGGATTTGTTTTTTTGTCTTTTTTTTTTTTTTTTTTTTTTTTAGAGACAGGGTCTGGCTATGTTGCCCAGGATGGAGTGCAATGGCTATTCACAGGCCTGCTATCATAGCACACTACAGCTTCAAATTCCTGGCCCTCCTGGCCTCAAGTGATCCTCCTGCTTCAACCTTCTGAGTAGCTGGGACTACAGGCATGCCACTGTGCCTGGCCTTATTTTTAATGTATATATTTTTCTGTAGATAGTTGACTATCTGTGGAAGAATACTCAGGAAAATGGCAACAGTGATTGCCTCTTGAGAATTGGGTGACTAGGGAGAGAAGTAGGTGGGAGATTTTTTTTGTATACTCATACCTTTTGAATATTGTACCATGTGCCTTTTGAATATTGTACCATGTGCCTTTTGAATATTGTACCATGTGACAAAGTCTATCAGATAAAGACCACCAAGGAACACACCTGCGGTCAAGTTAAGTTTATGAGCTTGCTGCTGTAAGGAAGACCCCACACCAGAGAAACCAAGGATATAACAGTAAGAGGGAACAGAAGGAAACTTTTTTATTTTTTGAGATGGAGTCTCACTCTGTCGCCAGGGCTGGAGTGCAGTGGTGCGATCTTGGCTCACTGCAACCTCTGCCTCCCGGGTTCAAGTGATTCTCCTGTCTCAGCCTCCCAAGTAGCTGGGATTACAGGCACCCACCACTATGCCCAGCTAATTTTTTTTTGTATTTTTAGTAGAGACAGGGTTTCACCATGTTGGCCAGGCTAGTCTCAAACTCCTGACCTTGTGATTCGCCCATCTCGGCCTTCCAAAGTGCTGGGATTACAGGCGTGAGCCACTGTGCCCGGCCCAGAAAGGAACTTTTACAAGATTTGGGCTTCTGTTGAATGATTGAGGAGAGTCTAGGGAAGCAAGGATTGGCTCTTGATTGGGTATCTCAGCAGTCTGTTCAGAGGCACGAGGAACAAAGCGAAGTCATTGGTAAGAAAGTGGTAATCACTGAAAAGAAGAAGGTTGTTAGGCATTTTGCAGGTGTGGTGTGGCCTTGGGAAGAAGTTTTCTGATGGCCTTGCCACTGGCCCTGTCTGTATCTAGTTGGTACATTACAGTCTGATTAAAATCAGCACTGATCTTTCCTTTCTCAGTCCTGAACTGACTTTTACTTTCTGACACTTGAATGTCTTATCTATTCAAAAACTAAGGCATATTTTAAAGTAAAAAGAATGAAAATAAACCTTCTCCACACACTTCTTGAGCCTAGATTACCAGTTCCCTAGCAAATAAGAAATTTATTTGGCAGACAAGAAAGTCAAGTGTGTGTGTGTGTGTGTGTGTTTCTGAGCAATGCTGCTCCTTCCGATGATCAAATATGAAGAAGTAACTATCTTCAGAAAAAAGATGAAGGCAAGTACCCCAGTACTGCAGTAGCTGATGCCAGGGAGACTGGAGTATAGGGGTGGCTCTGGGCATCATGTCCCCATCCCCTGCCAGGGCTGAGTACTTGGCTCTTGAATCTCTTTTTTCAATTGCTGTTACTCTTTCCCATGATGCTGACTCTAAGAGTGCACAAGGCTAAAACATGCATTGCTCTCAATAGGAATCTGTAGCAGAGACAGCGATGTTTAGGGCCAACAAAGATCTTGGGCAAGTCACTTCACTTTCCACCATAAAGAAAATGAAAGGACTGGAGCAAATGATGCCTGAAATCTTGGCTAAGGCCTCAGCAATCAACATTGGCAGCAATCAACCCCTGCCCTCCTCCCCAATACAACCTTGTTATGTTCACAGTAAAACAATCACAACAGGAAGAATAGTGTAGCATCAGATAAATTGTCTTCCAATCCTTTTCACTAGAGGCAACCCTTAGTTAACAGTTATGTGTTTTTCCAGCTATTTTTGTTCAGAGACAGTATCTCCTTCCCATTTTCCATTTAGGAAAAAAAAAAGTGTAGCTCGCTGCCTGCACTCATTTAGTTTTACATAAACACCCTCTTTGAGGCTGAAGCAAATCTGACTGATTTTCAATGTGAAAATAAAATATAAAAACTGTTCTTGGTGCTAGGCGCAGTGGCTCATGCCTATAATCCCAGGACTTTGTGAGGCCCAGATAGGCGGATCACCTGAGGTCGGGAGGTCAAGACTAGCCTGACCAACATGGATAAACCCAGTCTCTACTAAAAATGCAAAATTAGGTGGGTGTGGTGGCACATGCCTGTAATCCCAGCTACTAGGGAGGCTGAGGCACGAGAATCGCTTGAACCTGGGAGGTGGAGGTTACAGTGAGCCAATATCATGCCATTGCACTCCAGCCTGGGCAACAAGAGTGAAACTCCGTCTCAAAACAAAACAAAACAAAACAAAAACAACAAAACTGTTCTTGGAGTTATTTCTTTTTTTTGAGATGGAGTCTCGCTATGTCACCCAGGCTGGAGTGCAGTGGTGTGATCTCAGCTCACTGCAACCTCCGCCTCATGGGTTCAAGCAATTCTCCTGCCTCAGCCTCCCAAGTAGCTTGGATTACAGGCATGTGCCACCACATCCAGCTAATTGTTGTATTTTTAGTAGAGACAGGGTTTCACCATGTTGGCCAGGCTGGTCTTGAATTCCTGATCTCAGGTGATCCACCCAGGTCGGCCTCCCAATCTTGGAGTTATTTCTAAACAGAACTTGTCTCTAATCCTAATGGAACAGATGTGTATGATGATCGGTATTTAATAATTTTTTTTCGTGTGGTAAATTTCAAAGCACGGAACAACACAAAGCGGAACATCACATTCGGCACAAAAATAGCGCGTTTCTTTCCGGATCTTCTTGCCATCCTTGTCGTATTGGGAGCAGCAAATTTTGCAGCGACCAGTTGGATTCTGTTTCCCGGACGTTGCTGGTATGCTCTTGGGGAAATGTCTTCCAGACAGACGAAGAGGTGTGACATCATCGGAGCAAGGACGACCTCGAAGATGTTGCTGCCCTGGCTTGTGATGCTTTTCCAGCATTCTTTCAATCAATGCCAGTCTGAAGTTTATATGGCTCATCGTGTGCTCAGGATTATCCTTCTTGAACAGGATGTAGGAGTTCAGCACTGTAATGTGTAGAAGATGGTGAAAGAATTTCTTATACCAAACCTTGTGTCTTTTGCGCTCAGATGGATAAGAAGTAAGCATTTGATCAGCCGAGTCCACTGCTCCCATATTCTCGTTATAATCCACAATGACACGTGGCCTTTTAGTTTTCTTTCCATTTCTATTGTTTACTTCAATCACAGTATCATTGTGGAATGTTGACAACATTGTCACCTCCTTGCCGTCACACCATTTCAGTGCCATAAGTTCACCACAGAATCTGGCTACAGTCGTCCCCTTTGCAATCCTTTTTTTCAGATCATTTGGAATCTGTTTTCTGTTCAAACGAGCTGTCCCAACTGCATCAGTCCTATTTTGATGTAATTCTCTGAAAAGCATGGGAGATATATTAAAGTTATCGAGGAAGACACAATACCCTTGGCCAAGAAGGTCATTGACCAAGGTAAGAACAATGCGTGATGATTTCAGGCCATCCGCTGAATCTTTCAAATTCATGCCAGGCCCTGTGTGAACAAGCGCATTCCACACATAACCAGACTGACTTTCACAAAGTACATATAGCTTCAGACCAAATCGTACTCGTTTTGTCGGGAGGTACTGCTTCATAGCTAATGGCCCCTTGAACAGCATCAGTGATTCATCAACTGCAATGTTTCTGTTTGGAGTATATACAGTGGAAAATTTATTTACAAGAAAGTCGAACACAGGTTTGATCTTCTGCAATGAAATCTGGGCCTTTGATTGACCAGCAGATATAGAAGAATTGTTGACAAAATGCAGGCACCGAAACAAAAGTAAAAATCTTTCACCAGTCATAATTTGCCTGAGATAAGGTGTATCCAAAAGAGGCCTTGTTGACCAAAACATCTCCAGCTCAGGTTTCTGCACAATACCTTGCAGTAACATTACTGCAAAAAAGACTTTGAGCTCGTCATTGTCAGTGTCTTTCCATTTATCCATTCGCGAAAATCCTTTCGGACCCGGTGGCTTTGAAGCCAACAAGGCAGCTTGGGCATTTGTTTCTCTAGTAATTTTTGAAACTAATTCCTCAGTAAAGAACAGTTCAAAATACTGCAATGGGTCAGTGATATCACTGACATCGACTTTTCTGCCAGGTGTGCCGGTAAAGTCATACCTTTGACGTGGAATCATAGCACGAGCTGACCATTTCATGGAGCGCCCTGAGTCACTTGATGTAGAGCTCTTTCCATCAGATTCTAAATGGGACAGAGGCCTGATCTTATCGGCTTCTAAAGCACTATCCGAAAAATTATCAGAATCATCTATTTCCGAAAAATCAGATTCATCAAATGAATCTTCAGCCAACAACTGTTCGAGACCGGTATTACTATCACGCATAGGAATGCTACGTTTTCTAGGATTTGACATTTCAGCGATCGAGAATTACTATATTTTGTAGATGGAAATCCCACTACTAAAAACAGAATGCTATAAACAGAATGATGTCTTTTGTTTCAAAAGTCAATATACCAGAACCATGCGAAAATAACAGAAGCGAGATATTTCGTGGCAAACTTTGGGAGTAAGGTTGGCACTGTAATCCACGAGTTATCTCGGCGTAAACGCTGCAGTCGCAGGCACAGCAGCGCGTAATCTCGGGGCTAAGGAGAAATGAGTTAAACGCACACAGACAGAAGAAGCCTTTCATCTCATACGTCTTGGGGAGTCTCTAGAAGTTTTTTGAAAGGTCTCTTCTGGATGGTGTTTCTCCCGAAGCCAGTCTCGTCATCTTTTACTCCCGTGAGGTCCTTGGCCTCCGTGGCTGCCGCAGCAACACACACTTGACTTTCACTTCATGGGCAGTCCCCTTCATAGGCACTTGACACAGGCTCTGTGCGCCGTCTTCCAATCCAGAGTGCCGGGAGTTAAGGGCAGTACTTCCGCCTTACTTCCGCCTCGCTAGTCGATCGGCCATGATCTCTTCCCTCTGGTTGGATCCCACAGCTTATGACAGAAACGGGCGCGCAGTGATGACAACATCAAGCCGCCAGCGGCGGCGGTGGCGGCCGGGAGACTGGGAGGGCTTCCGGGGCTGCCGGTCTGAGTGCAGAGCTGCTGTCATGGCGGCCGCTCTGTGGGGCTTCTTTCCCGTCCTGCTGCTGCTGCTGCTATCGGGGGATGTCCAGAGCTCGGAGGTGCCCGGGGCTGCTGCTGAGGGATCGGGAGGGAGTGGGGTCGGCATAGGAGATCGCTTCAAGATTGAGGGGCGTGCAGTTGTTCCAGGGGTGAAGCCTCAGGACTGGATCTCGGCGGCCCGAGTGCTGGTAGACGGAGAAGAGCACGTCGGTTTCCTTAAGTGAGCATCCTGAGGGCAGCGGGAAAAAGGCTGGGATGGAGGCCGGACAGGGACCCCACCAGGAGAGTTAAGTGTCAGGACGGGACAACGTCGCTGTCTCAGACTGAAGGGGAGGGTGCCGCTAACGGTCTATGCCGGGAGACCTTGGGAGGCAGTCGGATGCTTTCCCTTTCCTGGTCCTGTACCTCTGGAATGAGCATGGCAGGCGCTCACCCCCTGCCATGGTCAGAGCATGGAGTCAGTTATTTCCAACCTTATTTTGGCCCCATGTGGGGACGATCATTCCTGGGCCCTGGGGACAGGTGGACCCTTATTAGTCTCTTGTTGGATTCTTTTATATCTCATCTGGTTTCCCTAGAACCTAGTCGTTTTTTGCATTCACTTCAGTCTTTTGGTAGCTTGTTATTATGTAGAAAGATGCGACACAAGTGGGAATTCTCAAAACCCAAAGGGCTTCTAGTGACGACATAGACTGGGAGGCTAATGTTACTGCTTCTAAAATTAATAGGCTCTGAAATCCCTAATCAAAGCACTTTTTTTTTCTTTTTTTTTTTGCTTGGGGGTGGGATCGTTGTTCTTTTTTACAGTTGAATTCATCGAGAGATTTGCTATATCACACTTGTCATTTATGTGAGACTAGGGTTCCTCTACATTGCTTTCTTGCTTCTGTCCTTTCATGCTATTAGTGGAAGTGGGTTTTCTGTCTATATTAAAAGACAGGATGAATTTGTTAGCACTAGTTTTGCAGCAGCCTGCTTTTGAAATGTCTAGGCACGCGTATGTTGTTTTAAATCTTTCCACCCTTACTTGGAGGTGAAACTGTAAACTGAAAGCAAATAATTAGGAAGTATTTCCTTTGGTGGGTTCGTACACCAGCAAATGGTATCTGAAAATCAGACAACTTAAATGTAGACATTTAAATCCAAATCTGATTTACATATTTGTTCAGATCATCTAAGTGCCCTTGAGTGGTTATTCAACCTCAGATTAATAAATAGTGACAAATTTACAACCAGTATTTTACTGCTGTCTGTCATTAAGAATCTGGCATTAGGGCATTCGTTAGAGTTTACCCTAATTAATGATGTTTTAATGATAAAGTTCTCATTAAGCTTTAGGAATAAGCCTTAATTGACCATTTGGCCACTCTTCTGTATACAGTTCTTTTAAAAAGCATTTAATTTCTGTTTAAAAATAGTATATTAGAAACAAAGTAGGAAAACAACCCTTAATGTTTCATTGTATCTTTCTTTTTATTTTTTTGAGACAAGGTCTTTTTCTGTTACTCAGCCTGGAGTGCAGTGGCGAGATCATAGTTCATGGCAGCTTCGAACTTCTGTACTCAAGTGATCCTCCTGTCTCAGCCTCCTCAGTAGATAGGACTACAGGCGGACACCATCATGTCCAGCTAATTTTTTAATTTTTTGTAGAGACAGGGTCTTGCTATGTTGCCCAGTGTGGTCTCAAACTCCTGGCCTCAAGTGATATTTCTGCCTCAGCCTGTCACATTTTTGGGATTATAGGCGTGAGCCACGGTGCCTACCATTTTTCCAGCTTCTTTTGGAATCATATGACTTAGGTTTTTACTAGTAAAATACAACATGTAGTAGTTTGTATCCTGCCTTTTTCACTTAATATTTTTGAACAGCTTTTGATACCATTTCATGTTCTTTATTTGTATGTAGAAAGGTTGATGGAGAATTTCCAGGCGCGGTGGCTCATACCTGTAATCTTACTTTGGGAGGCTGAGGTGGAAGGATCGCTTGAGCCCAGGAGTTTCAGACCAGCTGGGGCAACATAGTGGGACCCCATTTCTACAAAAAATAAATAATTAGCCAGGAGTGGTGGTGTGCACCTGTAGTCCAAGCTACTCAGGAGGCTGAGGTGGGAGGATCACTTGAGCCGAGGCGGTTGAGGCTGTAGTGAGCTGTGATCATGCCATTGCGTTCCAGCCTGGGCTACAGAGCAAAACCCCGTCTCTCAGGAAAAAAAGAAACATTGATGGAGAATTAATATGAGGAGTTTATGGTGATAATCTTATTGGAAAAGGGGTAGGTAATTTGTATTGTAGCTGTTTTGCATAACTAGCACACAGTTTTGACTTACATTTGTGCTTATTGGAGGTGGCTTAGGACTTAGTTAATGGAGATAAAGGGAATTGGGCCTGAAGACTCCTCATGCCATTTCTTGCTATCATCACAATGTATATAAGCCATAATTTATTTAACCAGTCCTCTGTTTTTGGACAGGTGGTTTTCATGTGTTTTTGTTTGTTTGTTTGTTTACATAGTAATATTATATTCTATACTTTTTTGCACTTTTTATTATAGAAATTTTCAAACATTTATAGAATGGCATTCTACTGTTTTGTTTCATGTCTTTTGTGTACCTCATTAATTTTTTTCTGAAATATTTTTAAATGGTTCTAAGCATAATAGGATTTTACTTGTAAAAGCATTATTATGTATCTCCAAAAAATAAGGACTTAAACAAAAACCACATTACCATTATTGATTCAACAAAATAATCATGCCTTAATATCATCTAACAGTCCCATTTTTATGTTTCCTCAGTTTTCTCAAAAATATTTTTTATATAATTGTTCTTTCAAATCAGGATCCAATAAGGCCTACATTTTGTAGAGTACATTTTTAAGGATGAATTTTAAATTTTGTATTGCAAACTTTATGTTATTTTTCTCAAGTAAAATATTTACCTTAGGATGATAAATATATTTGCTTTTTCTTTAATTATTTCTGATATTATTTGTGTTCCACTGTCATCAGTTTGTTTTTTTCTGGATCTGAAAAAATGTTTTGAAATTGGTTGAGTCAGGGCTGGGTACGGTGGCTCATACCTGTAATCCTAGCACTTTGGGAGGCCGAGGCAGGCGGATCACCAGAGGTCAGGAGTTCGAGACCAGCCTGGCCAACATGGAAAAACCCCATCTCTACTAAAAATACAAAAAAAAAAAAAAAAAATCAGCCAGGCATACTGGCGGTAGTCTGTAATCCCAGCTACTAGGGAGGCTGAGGCGGGAGAATCACTTAAACCCAGGAGGCGGAGGTTGCAGTGAGCAGAGATCACCTCACTGCACTCCATCCTGGGTGACAGAGTGAGACTCTGTCTCAAAAAAAAAAAAAAAAGAAAGAAAGAAATTGGTTCAGTCAGGGTCCCATTAAGAAGTAGAAGATGCACTCAAATTAGAGTAATTCAAGGATAATTTAATGAAGGCATCAAACAGTGTAGTCATGGTGTTGGGAAACAGCCAGATTGTGCAGTACCCTGGAGCTTACATCCTCAAGGTTATTATCACCACCTCTAATCCTGAAGGAAGAGGAGAGTAGAGGTTACTGGAACCTTGAAGGGAAGAAAGGCCTGCATTGAAAGACACAAACCAGTCCCTTAACACAGCCAGTCAGAGGTGGCCTGTCAGTGAGAGGTCTGGGGGGAAAATAGACTAAGCTCATTTTCTTTCCTTCCTCCAGTCTGCAAAGAGGAGAAAGGTAGAGAGTGGATCTAGAGGGCAAATGGAACATGTCCAGGCCAGGCATAAGTTAACTTTTTTACATTTCAATTCTGGCTTAGTGTGCTCTGGAGTGACACTTTTTCATCTTACTTTTTTTTTTTTTTTTGAGACGGAGTCTCGATCTGTCACCCAGGCTGGAGTGCAATGGCACAATCTCGGCTCATTGCAACTTCCGCCTCCCAGGTTCAAGTGATTCTCCTGCCCCAGCCTCCTGAGTAGCTGGGACTACACGCGCATGCCACCACACCCAGCTAATTTTTGTATTTTTAGTAGAGACAGGGTTTCACCGTATTAGTCAGGATGGTCTCGTCATCTTGCTTTTTAGTAACTGTTGTGGATATCATCAGTATCAGTTATTCCTTTAACTATGAAAGAGCCTATGAGGATTTAAGAAGCATTATTTTAATATATTATTATGATATCGGGAATTCTCTGATACAGTTGGTCATTTTAGAACCATTTGTTTTCCTGAAACATAAACTTTTTTTCCCCCCTCAGAATAGTAGTTTCTCATTTTTCAAACAAATTAATTTTGATCTGTGAAATGAAATTATCAGCTCTTGATAGGATGGTTTTCTAAGTCTAGGAAGTTTAGAAGAAATCAGTAAGGAAAAGATGGATGTTTTTAACTACATAAACATTTTAAGCTTCTAGTAACCAAAGTAAATGGGAATTATTTATAGCAAATAGAACAAATGGTACTTAAATACCTTTTATTATTTGTTAAAAAGAACAGAAAACCGGCCAGGCGCAGTGGCTCACGCCTGTAATCCCAGCACTTTGGGAGGCCGAGGCGGGCGGATCACGAGGTCAGGAGATTGAGACCATTCTGGCTAACACGGTGAAACCCCGTCTCTACTAAAAATACAAAAAATTAACCGGGCGTGATGGAGGGCGCCTGTAGTCCCAGCTACTCGGGAGACTGAGGAAGGAGAATGGCGTGAACGCAGGAGGCGGAGCTTGCAGTGAGCCGAGATAGGGCCACTGCACTCCAGCCTGGGCAACAGAGTGAGACTCCGTCTCAAAAAAAAAAAAGAAGAAGAACAGAAAACCAAAAATTGCAAGTTAAAACTAGAACAAAATGCCTTTTTTTTTTTTTGTTGGAGATGGAGTTTTTGCTCTGGTTGCCCAGGCTGGACAGCTCACTGCAACCTCTGCCTCCCGGGTTAAAGCAATTCTCCTATCTCAGTCTCCCGAGTAGCTGGGATTACAGGCATGCGCCACCACGCCTGGCTAATTTTGTATTTTTAGTAGAGATGGGGTTTCTCCATGTTGGTCAGGCTGGTCTCTAACTCCCAACCTCAGGTGATCTGTCTGCCTCGGCCTCCCAAAGTGCTGGGATTACAGGCGGCAGCCACCACGCCTGGCCTGCCATTTTTAACAGTAAGAAGTTGTTGGGGGTGACTGGCAAAATTGGAACCCTAATATTTTAATAATAATGTATATTCAATGAAGACATGGCTTTAGAATGGGAATTGTGTTTCTGTCACCTGTCATCTCTACCCATAGAAGGAAAATAATTACTTTCTATGTCAGGCTTCTCTGCTACCCTGGAGTGGTCTTGGGTATTTTCAGAACCTATTCAGTGTAATTATAGACACTGAAGGCCGGCACAGTGGCTCATGCCTGTAATCCCAGCACTTTGGGAGGCTGAGACGGGTGGATTACCCGAGGTCAGGAGTTCGAGACCAGCCTGGCCAACATGGTGAAACCCCGTCTCTACTAAAAATACAAAAATTAGCTGGGCATGATGGGGCACGCCTGTAATCCCAGCTACTCGGGAGGCTGAGGCAGGAGAATCGCTCGAACCCAGGAGGCGGAAGTTGCAGCGAGCTGAGATCGTGCCATTGCACTCCACCCTGAGCGTCGCAGCGAGACTCCGTCTCAAAAGAAAAAAGAAAAGAAACTGAAGCATAGGACAACTTTCGCCAAGGTTTTGTTTGTTTGTTTGCCCGTTGCTTTTAATGTCATTTTTCGGGAGAGTTGATTTGGGAATTAGCAAGTAAGAAAAGACTAAGCTGTTGATCAGTAGTAGCTAAACATGATTTTCATTTTTCCAGGACAGATGGGAGTTTTGTGGTTCATGATATACCTTCTGGATCTTATGTAGTGGAAGTTGTATCTCCAGCTTACAGATTTGATCCCGTTCGAGTGGATATCACTTCGAAAGGAAAAATGAGGTGAGGGCACCTGATTTAATTTTTGCCAAAAGCTAGGCTACTGAATACCTTAGTATATATTCCTTTTAGAATTAATAGTTTAGATGGAAAATTCTTTTTATTTAAACTACAGCTATTCCTTAAAACACTTAAAATATCCTCGTTTATTTAATCTGAACATTGAAAAAATTGTAAAGTTGAGCTTCTTGCTCTGGCTTAAAATTTATTTTAAAGCTCCTAATATGATTACATAAAGAAAAGGTAAGATTACTTACTATAGGAGCTAAAGTGCTATGAAAGTTATAATTGAAATATGATTATTAAGTTGGAAATAATTTAACTTTTCTAAATTAGAAATACTATTCATCACCTGTTTTTCACTGGGATATTTTGATAATACCTCTTATTACCTATTTGATACTTCATTGATCTGGAAATTTCTGTGGTCCTTTCTTTATGGAATCTTTTATGTTCAATGGAAATATAGTATTTCTAGGGAAAACAATTGAGGTGAAAAGAACTATAGTCTAATTTAGACTGTGAGTGTGGAATAGCAAAACCTATTTGAAGTTGAAACATTTGTATAGTATCTATAGTCTTCAGAGTCAGCTTCCCATTATAATAGAACACATTTATTTATTTATTTTGTTGTCTCATGGCAATAGCATCCTCTTTGGTCAAATCTGACCAGGAAATATATGAAGCAACTCCTAAGTGGTAATGTCTCTTCTTTAAGCTATCAAATATGACTATGTTGCAGTAATAAAGCACAGGTCATGCAAAGGCAAAAACAATTTCTGGAGGTGGAGGACTAATAAATAATTTTACTACTGATCTTTTTGGTGTCTGCGCAGCATATTTAGACTGACTTGTAGAGACTCAAAATTGAGCTGACACATGTTCAGTTAGTACCATACTATTTACATTTGAGTTAGTGTTTACTCCTAAAATTTGTAATTTGTTTCTTCTTTCTTTGCTTTCTTTGACATTGAAAGTTTTAAAAATGTAATATGTAAATATGCCATAATTCAAATAGAATGAGTCACACATGGAGTTGTCCCATCCTTTATCTTAGCTGCGTGTTAGTCCATTGGTGGATTTGACATCATTTATATAACCGGCTCCTATTGATAGACAAGCAGTGATTTCTTTCTCTTCTTTTAGCATGTATACTAAACAGAGACAGTTATCAAGAGAATATTCTTTTTTTTTTTGAGACAAAGTCTTGCTCTGTTGCCCAAGCTAGAGTGCAGTGGCGCAATCTTGGCTCATTGCATCCTCTGCCTCCCAGGTTCAAGGGATTCTCGTACCTCAGCCTCCCAAGTAGTTGGGATTACAGCTGCACGCCACCATGCCTGTCTGATTTTTTGTTTGTTTGTTTGAGATGGAGTCTCGCTCTGTCACCCAGGCTAGAATGCAGTGGTGTGATTTCGGCTCACTGCAACCTCTGCCTCCTGGGTTCAAGCAATTCTTCTGCCTCAGCCTCCTAAGTAGCTGGGACTACAGGCACCTACCACCAACGCCCGGCTAATTTTTGTATTTTTAGTAGAGACGGGATTTCACCATATTGGCCAGGCTGGTCTCGAACTCCTGACCTTGTGATCTGCCCGCCTCCCAAAGTCCTGGGATTACAGGTGTGAGCCACGGCACCTGGCTTGATTTTTTTATTTTTTTGTAGAGATGGGGTTTCGCCATGTTGGCCAGGCTGGTCTCAAACTCCTGACCTCAAGTGATCTGCCCACTTTGGCCTCCCAAAGTGCTGGGATTACAGATGTGAGCCACTGCACCTGTCCAAGAGAATATTCTTGATATTATCAGGAAAGTAATACTCTAATGCCACTAATATATTCTTAAAAACAAATTACTTTTCCCCCCTACTTTGTAGAGAGACAAAATCTTGCTATGTTGCCTAGGCTGGAGTGTAGTGGTTTTTCTCAGGTGCAATCATAGCCCGCTACAGCCTCAAATTGACCTTTAGTGATCTTCCCACCTCAGCCTCCTAAGTAGCTGGGATTATAGGCATGACTGTACCACTGCACTCCAGCCTGGGCAACAAAGCAAGATCCTGTCTCAAAAAAAAAAAAAAAAAAAATATATATATATATATATGTGTGTGTGTGTGTGTGTGTGTGTATACATATATGTGTATATGTAAAGTTCTTTTATATTAAATCTGTGCCTTAAAGGACTTATTCATGACTTTTTGTATATTTTAGAATTGTAAGCTTGGAAATGGAGGGGTACGTGGATCACAGTATATGTTATATATACTGCTTTAAACATTTTTTTTATATTGAAAACACAATATTGGACGGAATGAGAGCTGCTACACAAAAGGGAATACTTGTATTTTTTTTTAATCCTTTTTACTCTGGTTAAATTTTGAATAAAATAGTCTTAGCAAATAGGAATATTGTTTTAAATATAGACGGTCCCCAGCTTACAATGGTTCAACTTATAATTTTTTTTTTTTTTTTAATTTGAGACAGTCTCGCTCTGTCACCAGGCTGGAGTGCAGTGGCGTGATCTCGGCTCACTGCAACCTCCGCCTCCCGGGTTCAAGCGATTCCCCTGCCTCAGCCTCCTGAGTAGCTGGGACTACAGGCATGCGCCACCACTCCCAACTAATTTTGCATTTTTAATAGAGGCAGGGTCTCACCATGTTGGCCAGGATGGTTTCGATCTCTTGACATCATGATCCTCCTGCCTCGGCCTCCCAAAGTACTGGGATTACAGGTGTGAGCCACTGTGCCCAGCCCTCAACTTAGAATTTTTTGACTTTACCATGGTGCGAAAGCGATACACAGTAGAAACCATACTTTAAGTACCCATAACAACCATTCTTTTTTTTATGCTTAGTACAGAATTTAGTAAGTTACATGAATTAAATAAGTTTCTTATTATAAAGTGGGCTTTGTATTAGGTGATTTTGCCACTGTTGGCTAATGTAAGTATTCTGAGCACTTTTAAGGTAGGCTAAGCTAGGCTATGTTGTTCTGTGAGTTAGCTGTATTAAATGCATTTTTGACTTACAGTATTTTTCAATCTATAATGGGCTTATTGGAATGTAAATTGAGGAGCAACTGTATAAAGTTTTCATTGCCTTTTTACCTTGAGTAAAGAGTACTTCCTGCTTTAGCACTTATGAACTGGTTGCAGCAGTGGGATTCATGTTCTCAGATACATTCCTGATGATTGGATGTCTGAAGCATAGGTTAAATTAAAAAAAAGAAAAAATTATTTAAAAATTATTTTAATAATTAGGGATGGGGCTGGGCACGGTGGCTCACACCTGTAATCCCAGCACTTTGGGAGGCCGAGGCAGGTGAATCACGAGGTCAGGAGTTCAAGACCAGCCTGACCAACATGATGAACCCCATCTCTACTAAAAATACAAAAATTAGCTGGACATGGTGGCGTGCGCCTGTAATTCCAGCTACTCAGGAGGCTGAGGCAGGAGAATCACTTGAACCCGGGAGGCAAAGGTTGCAGTGAGCCGAGATTGCGCCACTACACTTCAGCCTGGGCTTCAGAGCAATATTTCGTCTCAAAAAAATAAAAAATAATTGGGGGTGTGACAGAGTAGAGAACAAAGTGGGATTCATATAAGATCCTAATTCTTTGTGTGTGTGTGTGTGTGTGTGTGTGTGTGTGACGGAGTCTCACTCTGTCACCCAGGCTGGATTGCAGTGGTGCACCCTCAGCTCACTACAATCTCCACTTCCTGGGTTCGAGTGATTCTCCTGCCTCAGCCTCCCAAGTAGCTGGGATTACAGGCATGTGCCACCATGCCTGGCTAATTTTTGTATTTTTAGTGGAGACAGGTTTTACCATGTTGGCCAGGCTGGTCTCAAACTCCTGACCTCAAATGATCCACCCACCTTGGCCTCCCAAAGTGCTGAGATTACAGGCATTAGCCACTGTGCCCAGCCTTGACCAATATTTTATAAGCATGCAGCATGCATGATAAATTAGTTTTGAATATATGTGGGATTTTCAGTTCTGACATTTTGGCAGAGAAATGCTGGATAAAAATATGACGAACATTTTCTTTTATTAATAAATGCATAGCTCCCCCCACAACAAAGGAAATCCCTAGGGGATAAACTATAAAGCACTTCCCCACCTGGAGATTTTGATATTCTCTAACCCAGAAGGCTTAGATTTAATTAGCAATGTGCAGGGAGGAGGCAAGCCATGGGCTTGCTTGGAGTCAGAATTAGATCTAAAATTTGGTCCTCCCTTTGACCTTTGGTACTAAAATGCAGAAGGCCCTGGATTTTCGGAGGGAAAAGTCTGATGCTGGCCTTTGGGGGAAAAAGTCTCCCCTGAAAACTGATAGTTACGCTCCTACACTCATTACAAGTTGGGGTATGAATTTATTACTTTCTGCATAATCCAGGAACTTCCAAGCTAAGCAATGAACAAAATAGTTTCTGTTTATAATTCCCAAATTCCTGGCAGTAACAAATGCATAATCTCTCTGGAAGGAGATACCCTTTGTATCTCTTTACTTAAATAAAGGTAAATAAAGTCTACTAAACTTACAAAGAACCCAAGAAAACAGTCTACATTGAGTCAGCAAATAAATCAGACCTCTAAGAACTTTAAATAGTAGAATTATTAGATATAGACTGTAAAATAATTTAATGTATATTTAAAGTACTTAAGGAAATAAAAGACTGCCATAGAAATGATATACCAAAATAGGCTATAGATATTTGAAAAAAGAATAGAATAGAATCTCTACAATGAATATAGGCATTGAAATGTACAACTAAATGGATGCATTAAGAAACTGAGCAGAAGTCTGATGAAGTGGGAGACAGATCAGAAAAAAAATTTCCCAACACAGCAATGACAGTGAAATAGGAGAGGCAGTTTTCAAAAAGTAAAATGGATCCTATGTAAACATGGATGAGAATTTTGATTAAAATTAGTGCGTCTTTGGTGAAAAATGTAGCGTTACCTATAGCACTGCTGCAGTGCTTTCTTGCATTATAACATTTTCTGGCAATATAGCCTTAAAAATTGGTTACATCCAATAATGCATTTCTTAGACCATCAAAAAAATAAAATCCAGTATTTTTGTATGGTATAATGAAGTAAATTCATTACTAAATATAATCAAATAACTTTAGCACCAGAAGGATTCTAAAAGAACTTTTGACATAAATAGAAGTTAGGGAACTGATTTAATCCCACAGGTCTAGGTAATGACAGAGCTGCAGCTAGAAGATTCCAAGTCTAGCGTTTTTTTCTCTGTGTTTTGCTGCATATTTTAGACATGTAGATAAAGCTATTTTGGTCAGATTTTCAAGATCAAAAGTTTAGGTTTTAAAGCATTTTGGAAAAAGCTGAAAGTGTGTATAAGGCATTGCTAATATAATATAAGCAGTTCTTTTAACCAGTAATGTTTTTAATGGAATTACTGTTGCTTTCCCCATGTTGCTTTATCAGAGCAAGATATGTGAATTACATCAAAACATCAGAGGTTGTCAGACTGCCCTATCCTCTCCAAATGAAATCTTCAGGTCCACCTTCTTACTTTATTAAAAGGGAATCGTGGGGCTGGACAGACTTTCTAATGAACCCAATGGTATGTATCAGGCTAAAATAAAGCACTTTACTAATACCTAATTTGCTTCTAGGCAGTGGAAACTTCAAACCTCTGTGAGATAGAAAGCTGAGGTCAGATTGGTGGATGAAAGGATAATTGTGAATAATTTGCAGATTTCAGAAGAATAGTGGCTTTGGGAATACATAATGAAGAGAATATAATGAGAATTGCACTGTAGATTTGATTATTGAAATGTGTAATAGAAATTGGATAAATATTTATAGCATGTTTTACATTTCAAATAGAATAAGAATACTCAGTAAGTCAGTCATACCTGGAGCTGTCTCATTCTTCATACTACCTGCGTATTTTTTGTTTGTGGTTTGTTTTGGCTTTTTTTAGACGGGGTTTCGCTCTTGTTGGCCAGGCTGGAGTGCAATGGTGCGATCTCGGCTCACCACAACCTCTGCCTCCCAGGTTCAAGCGATTCTCATGCCTCAGCCTCCCAAGTAGCTGGGATTACAGGCATGTGCCACCACGCCCGGCTAATTTTGTATTTTTAGTAGTGACAGAGTTTCTCCATCTTGGCCAGGCTGGTCTTGAACTCCTGACCTCAGGTGATCTGCCCGCCTCGGCCTCCTAAAGTGCTGGGATTACAGGCGTGAGCCACCGCACCCAGCCATACTGCCTGCATATTATTAGTCCATTGATGAATGTGCCATCATTTATTAACCAGCCCCTATTGATAGCACAAGTAAGGATTTCTTCCTCTTTTTTTAACATGTGTAGTGAAGAGAAAAGTTATTCTATGGTAATTTAAGTAGTTGGCATTATGAACCGATGTTATGATACTCACTAATAATAAAACACTAATAGCATGCATTCTTTAAAAATTTGTTTTTATTTTTAATTATTATAGGTGCCTAATAGATGTACATTTATGAAGTACATATGATGTTTTGATATAGGCATACGATGTGTATTAATCACATCAGGGTAATTGGGATATCCCTCACCTTAAGCATTTATCATGTTTTTATAAATGTTAGGAACATACCAATTCCACTCTTTGATTGTGATTTTAAAATATACAATAAATTATTGTTGACTATCATCAAGAAAACAGTTTTTAGAAACAAATCGACCTTTTCTTTTGCTGTTTTTAAAAATTGAATTGCTGTCTTAGAATTTGTCTAAGTAGGCCAGGCGCGGTGGCTCACGCCTGTAATCCCAGCACTTTGGGAGGCTGAGGTGGGCGGATCACAAGGTCAGGAGTTCGAGACCAGCCTGGCCAACATGGTGAAACCTCATCTCTATCAAAAATATAAAAAGTTAGCTGGGTGTGGTGGCGGGGACCTGTAATCCCAGCTACTTGGGAGGCTGAGGCAGGAGAACTGCTTGAACCAGAGGGGGTGGAGGTTGCAGTGAGCCAAGATTGCACCACCACACTTCAGCCCGGGGAACAGAGCGAGACCGTGTCTCAAAAAATAAAAATAAAAATAAAAGAATTTATCTAAGTTTTGGTCATAATCCTTGCTGATAGCTATTTAGATCACACATGATCTGTTTTCAGAGGCTGTATATCCCCTAGGGAGGAATAAATTAGTACCTAGAATCTGTAATCAGAGATAAAGAGGCGGGGGGAGACTGGATGGAAGAAGTCAGCAGTGAAACTCCAGAGCTTATTCACCTTCCATGTTCTCATTTCTGAAATTCCGTGGAAGTGTATCTAGTGCTCCAGTGCTTGATGCTTCTAGGTCATTTTTCAAAACTGGTCTGCTAAAGTAGGTCAGTTTTCCAAGAACCACAGTCACCTGAAAAGAGCAGTTAGCTTGCCATCAGATCACCAATCCCATTGCCAGACTATAGATTAAAAAAAAAAAAAAAGGGAATAGATAGTTCCATTTGCAAACTATTTGTGTTAAATAACACTGTAACTCTGCAAAAAGATAGGTGGGTGGCACAACTATGAAGTGAGGTGTCTATAAAGTCCAAACATACATACAGAAAACTTTAATATTCTATAATAGTCCACCATAGTCAGACAGACAGCCCCTTGCTATCATCAGAACTGGCTCAGTAGAATTGCGGTGGTTGCTACTAGTGTTATTGTATAGACAACGTTTAAATCTTTAATTTTACCATTGGTTGTTAAGTGCAGTTTTTGTTCTATTAACTGTAAAGTGGGGGAAAAACATTTTCTGGATTTTTTTTTTCTGCAGGTTATGATGATGGTTCTTCCTTTATTGATATTTGTGCTTCTGCCTAAAGTGGTCAACACAAGTGATCCTGACATGAGACGGGTAAGATGATGGTCCAGCTATGGATTTTTTTTTTTTTAAGAGATAGAGCCTCTGTTGCTCAAGCTGGAATGCAGTGGCACAATCAGTTTGAGTGGCCTCAAACTCCTGGGCTCAAGCTATCCACCTGCCTCAGCCTCCCAAAGCACTGGGATTATAGGTCCGAGGCACCATGCCTGGCCCCACCTGTGGGTTTTTGAACCGTATTGTGATGTTTGCTCTGTCCCATCGTAGCTGGGTAGCTTAGTTTTTCTCAATTTTATTCTAGTTCCCAAGCCAAATTAATCTAGAGGTTGTATTAACATAGTATCATGTTTATGGCTTTTAATTAGTTGCTTCCATTAGACTAGATAAATTGTTAGTTCTGCCTGGCCTGGATCTCTTTATGTAGCTAAAACATCTTACTGCATCCTAGCCTCTTTGTGTGCCTTACTTTTTAAATAGCTGAAATGTACAATACTTCTGGTATGCTGAATCTAAATATTTTACAAAGTGATTGTTCCTGTGATCTGCCTTTACTTTACAAAACTCTCTTCAGAGTACATACTCAGTTTATGTGTTCAGACACACAGATAGACCAAGGGGGATGGATAAGTAGAAGAGTGACCTTTGAATTCTGTTCCACAAAACCATACTGGTTCTGCAGAGGGAGAGGATTTGCTAAGTAGGATGCTTCCAATTTAGTGCCACCACATTTTCTCTTTGAATATTGGCTTCTATTTGAACTCTTCATTTTTTCAAAAAACCATCATGCATTTTTCCGTTCAACCATCAACAAGTATCTTCTGAGTTTCAAGGTTCCCCATTTTATTTAGTATATAGATGTGGTGACATTTTATTCATTCCTGAGTAAACATTTATCAATTTCTAGGGTCTAGATACTGGAGATACAGAAATGAATTATAGGCCATACCTGTCATCAGTAGGCTCAGTCCCAGTTAAATGTAGAAAATAGAATGGATTTATCAAATATTCTTCTTGCTATCAGGGGATTTTGTGACTTTTTCTTTTCTTTTTTCTTAATAGAAATTTGTCTTATTTCTTAAAGAAATAAGGTAAATAAAAATGTTTGCTAAGGTAGTAGGTGATTATGTTCTGTGGAAGGTAATAAGGGGTATATTCAAAGCAGGAATGGCAGAAAAAGATTCATAGGAAAAGAAAGGTTTTTGATATTTCAAAATGTTTTATTGGTGAATGTTTGCATTTTTGCTTCAGTGTTAGACTGAAAGTAATACATCCTGTGCATTCCTTGTATATGTTAAGCCAATTAACTGTGGCATCAGTAGAAGGAAACATCAGAAGTCACATTTGATTAAAAGTTCATTCTGGCCGGGCGCGGTGGCGCAGGCCTGTAATCCCAGCACTTTGGGAGGCCAAGGCAGGTGGATCACCTGAGGTCAGGAGTTCACGACCAGCCTGACTAACATGGTGAAACCCCGTCTCTACTAAATACAAAAAAATTAGCCGGGCATGGTGGCGCATGCCTGTAATCTGAGCTACTTGGGAGGCTGAGACAGGAGAATCGCTTGAAACTGGGAGGCAGAGGTTGCAGTGAGCTGAGATCGTGCCATTGCACTCCAGCCTGGGCAATAAGAGCAAAACTCCGTTAAAAAAAAAAAAAGTTCATTCCTTGTGAAGTGCTTTGCACATAGTAAGCATCTTAAAAAGTTGATTCAAGAGCTTCAGAAGCTCTCTTCCTTGGCACTGCCTGCAGAGGTGGCACCATCTCCTACTTGGCATCATGGCTGCCCTCAGATCCTTTGTGAAGCCCAAGATCATCAAAAAGACAACTAAGAGGTTTATCTGGCACCAGTCAGACCAATATGTCAAAATTTAGCTTAACTGGCAGAAACCTAGAGGTGTTGACAACAGTGTTCGTAGAAGATTCAAGGGCCAGATCTTGATCCCCAACATTGGTTATGGGAGCAGCAAAGAAACAAAGTACTTACTACCCAGTGGCTTCTGGAAGTTCCTGGTCTACAACATCAAGGAGCTGGAAGTACTGCTGATCTGCAACAAATGTTACCGTGCTGAGATTACTCACAGTGTTTCCTCCAAGAACCACAAAACCATCTGGAAAGAGCAGCCCAGCTGGCCATCACAGTCACTAGTCCCAATGCCAGGCTCCACAGTGAGGAAAAGGAATCAACGGCTCTCATGCATGTTTTATTTGTGTTTAAATAAAACCACAAAAACTGAAAAAAAAAAAAAAAAAAAAGGGGAGCTTCAGAATTGAACAGATTCAAAAATAGAGTTGATATATGTTTGCAGGGACTCAAGAGCTGTTACCATATACATTTATTTCTTAATTATTGGGGCATGTTAACATACTTGATTTATGTTTACAATATTTCTTTCGCTAGCCTTATTTGTAAAAGCAACTTCTCCTTTAAAATTTAGGAATCAATTCTACCTTTGTGGGAAAAGCTCAAGCTAATATCCCAACAGTGTTCAATTTGAAATGGAAGCCTAGTGCTGTGCTGTGTGCCTATAGTCCCAGCTGCCCAGGAAGCTGAGGCAGGAAGATCACCTGAGCACTGTCTCCTAAAAAAAAAAAGAAAAGAAAAAAATGAAAGAAATGATAGATAATATAGTATTTGCTATCTTTTTCATGTATGAATGAACTAAAGTCAATTTTAAGTTCACTTTGAGAATGTCACTTAAAATTTAAATGAAGCAGATGTTACATTAATATTATATAACTATCAAACAGTACTTTATAGATTTTTGGCTCAATTAAAGGGGAGGACAAATACTCAAAAGTGCCAAGTCCTATCCTGTTTTGCCAATGACTTCTTTGTAACAGTGTGTTGCTTGCTTTAGAGTCTAATTGAAGTCATGCAAGCCATACAGCATTCATAGATTTACTACTGAGGCTTATAAATGAATTCTTAGAAATATTGCACTTATTTTCCAAACTGTACTGATACCTTGATATATAGTTAAAAATTAATATTCTGGTTATATGCATCTAAAGGAAGCATGAACTTAAAAATGTACTCATTAAAACAATAAGAAATCACTTTAATCAGAAAACATAAAATAAGAGAGGAATATGATCAAATATATTCAGTATCAGAAAAAAGTGTTCTTTATTAAGACAAGCAGAATCACACGAAAGGGAACATCACACACAGGGCCTGTTGTGGGGTGGGGGGAGGTGGGAGGGATAGCATTAGAAGATATACCTAATGTTAAATGATGAGTTAATGGGTGCAGCACACCAACATGGCACATGCGTACGTATGTAACAAACCTGCACGTTGTGCACATGTACCCTAAAACTTAAAGTATAATAATAAAAAAAAAAAAAGGCAAGCAGAATCAAACCCTAGGCAGTCATTTATTGGACATTTACTAAGAGTCAAAATGTCTAGTGGTATAAAGGAGATATGGAAAATAGTTACTAATGATATATAGGTGAAGTACTACTGAGTATGATGTTGCATCATTGCTCAGAACCAGTACCTTTCACTTGTTCTACTCCTTTACTTTTTCCTTAATAGGAAGTGTTAGGAGTTAAAAGACTCGAAGGATCCTACATATCATTGTGCCTTGTCTTCTTGCAGGAAATGGAGCAGTCAATGAATATGCTGAATTCCAACCATGAGTTGCCTGATGTTTCTGAGTTCATGACAAGACTCTTCTCTTCAAAATCATCTGGCAAATCTAGCAGCGGCAGCAGTAAAACAGGCAAAAGTGGGGCTGGCAAAAGGAGGTAGTCAGGCCGTCCAGAGCTGGCATTTGCACAAACACGGCAACACTGGGTGGCATCCAAGTCTTGGAAAACCGTGTGAAGCAACTACTATAAACTTGAGTCATCCCGACGTTGATCTCTTACAACTGTGTATGTTAACTTTTTAGCACATGTTTTGTACTTGGTACACGAGAAAACCCAGCTTTCATCTTTTGTCTGTATGAGGTCAATATTGATGTCACTGAATTAATTACAGTGTCCTATAGAAAATGCCATTAATAAATTATATGAACTACTATACATTATGTATATTAATTAAAACATCTTAATCCAGAAATCAAATCATCTTTCTTTTTTTTTACTTAATGTTTCTTTTTTTCTGACAATTTTCTTCAATTATCTGAGGCTTGAAATTTACCTTTCCTCTTTAAAAGGGAGTGGTTGTTATTTTTAGACAGCATGCACATTGTTTTTTATGTGGCCACACCTTTCAAAATTTTCAGCTCTCTGCCATTTAATTCTCTGATAATCTGAGCCATATGTTGCTGATGTAGTTTCAATTTTTTATTATTACAGTTAGTTTCAGAGTATGGATATATGAATCACAATAGATCTTATCAACTATTTTATTCTGGTTACCATCTATGGTATTCGTCTTACAATTATTGAGTACCAGCTTTGTGCTGTGATGCAAGGTAGAATACAGAGATGGATAATATACAAGTGCTTCTCCTTGATAGAACTTATTATGTCGGGAGGGAGGACAAATAATAACAGGGAATGAATGGCCAGGGGAAAGAAGTACAACAGTAGGAGAGCCTTCTAGATCCTGAGGATGGGGAATCAACCTTAGACCTCCATATTGTAACAGAGATATATAACACAGGTAGCTTTTCAGTCCCCTCATCTTTCTCATCATAGATTCTCAGAGGTGTTAGAAGATAAATTACTACTTTCTTTTTTTTTTGAGAGAAGTCTCGCTCTTGTACCCCAGGTTTGAGTGCAATGGCTTTATCTCGACTCACTGCAAACTCCGCCTCCCGGGTTCAAACAATTCTCCTGCCTCTGCCTCCCAAGTAGCTGGGATTAAGGCACTGGCCACCACAGCCAGCTAATTTTTGTATTTTTTAGCAGAGACGGGGTTTCACCATGTTGGCCAGGCTGGTCTCGAACTCCTGACCTCAGATGATCTGCCCGCCTCAGCCTCCCAAAGTGCTGGGATTACAGGCGTGAGCCACCACGCCTGGTCTCTTTTTTTTTTTGAAACAGAGTTTCACCTTTGTTGCCCAAGCTGGAGTGCAAGGGCACGATCTCGGCTCACTGCAACCTCTGCCTCCTGGGTTCAAGCGATTCTTCTGCCTCAGCCTCCCAAGTAGCTGGGATTACAGGCATGTGCCACCATGCCCAGCTAATTTTTGTATTTTTAGTAGAGATGGGGTTTCACCACGTTGGCCAGGCTGGTCTCCAACTCCTGACCTCAGTTGATCTGCCTGCCTCGGTTTCCCAAAGTGCTGGGATTACAGCTGTGAGCCACTGTGCCTGGCCAAATAACTACTTTCCAATCGGGAGTATCTCAAAAGTTTTTTATTTCAATAAGTTACAACATTTTCACACCTTTTCCTTTTGGGTTATTTTAATTAAAGAACTCTCAGGCCACAGTACTGCTTCTAGTAGAGGGTTCCTATTCTTTCCCATATTAAATAACTCCTGTATTGCTTTCTTAAAGTTATTAAATCAGTGAAAAAAACAGAGTAGCTTCCAAACTCAATTTTCTCTTTTGTATTAGGTGCTATTGTTCATTTAAAAATGAGGTACGTGTTTTCTCTTAAAGAAATACGTTCTGGGCCGGGCGCTGTGGCTCACGCCTGTAATCCCAGTACTTTGGGAGGCTGAGGTGGGAGGATCACCTGAGGTCAGGAGTTTGAGACCAGCCTTACCAACATGGTGAAACCCTGTCTCTCCTAAAAATACAAAAAATTAGCCAGGCTTGGTGGCAGGCGCCTGTAATCCCAGCTGCTGGGGAGGCTGAGGCAGGAGAATTGCTTGAACCTGGGGGAGGTGGAGGTTGCAGTCAGCCATCATGCCACTGCACTCCAGCCTGGGTGACAAGAGTGAGACTCTGTCTCAAAAAAAAAAAAAAAAAAGTTCTGATGCAGAACATTTTATTAACTGTTTCTATTTATATTACATACACTGTTACCAAACTGGTTAAGCTATGAATGATTAGATGGGTCAACAGGTTAATGATAGAAGTAGGTCTTTTAAAATCGAGTCATTTATGAAAATAAAGTGTTAGAACACTAGCTAAATGTCGTTCATTCAACTAGTATTCTAATTTTCACTTAAAATTAGTGTTTTAGGCCGGGCACGGTGGCTCACGCCTGTAATCCCAGTACTTTGGGAGGCCCAGGCAGGCAGATCATGAGGTCAAGAGATCAAGACCATCCTAGCCAAGACGGTGAAATCCCGTCTCTACTAAAAATACAAAAATTAGTTGGGCATGGTGGCATGCGCCTGTAGTCCCAGCTACTTGGGAGGCGGAGGCAGGAGAATTGCTTGAACCCGGGAGGTGGAGGTTGCAGTGAGCCAAGGTCACGCCACTGAACTCCAGCGTAATGACAGAGTGAGACTCTGTCTCAAAAAAAAAAATTAGTGTTCTAATTTTCACTTAAACATTAAGTTAAAAAAATGACATTCTCCTTTGTAATTCAAAGGAGACATAGTAAGAGTCATATGACCAGAAACCATGTTTTAAAATTTCATAATTTACCTTGTGACATGTGTTTATCTGTGTAACAAACCTTCACATGTACCCCCAAACTTAAAAAATAAATAAAAATTTTATAATTTAGATTGTCAACATTTGCACAACACCTAATGACTGAGAAATTAGGAAGCACTTCCAAGGAAATTACTGTTTCATATGCTACATAAGAAACTGGTTATTTTACATGGATTCTAACAGCATCTGAATATAATCTATACCCCTTATATATTATGTATACCCCTTATCATATTACCTCTAAATATAATATATACCCCTTATGAAATGTATCAGTTGTGTATGAAAATCTTATATTTTCATAGAACCATCATCAAATGCTTAAGGTGCTTATAGGCACAGAAATGACTATATATTATTGGACAATATGGGGTTTAGTGCAAAGAGCCCCTGGTTAGCTGCTAACTTGCTTTGTGACTTTGAGCAAGTCACTGTCCTGGACCATGTCTTGTCTTGGTCTTTGTACTATCTCTAGCATCTAGCATGTAGGCACACCAATAAAAGTTTGTTGAATGAATAATAAATGGACCTTAAGTTTCCTCATCTATAAATGGAAGGATTTGGATTAGACCTGTAAATTTCTTTTTGAAATTTCAAATTTGAAATCTCAAATTCTGTTATACTTTTAGCCCAGTCCTAGTATTTCCTACCCTTAAGAACCATATGATCAGTGCTGGCTTTCTTATTTTACTTCCTTGGATTCTTTCTGCTATTTCCCATTTGGAACAAAGTATTGTTTTGCTCTTCTTTAGAGCCTTTGTTAGATTTGGTTTATATGTATCTCCTTTTATTTATTTTTAAAATTTTATTATATATATATATATATATTATTTCTTTTTCTTTGAGAGGGAGTTTCCCTCTGTCACCCAGGCTGGAGTGCAGTGGCACCATCTTGGTTCACTGCAGCCTCTGCCTCTCAGGTTCAAGCGATTCTTCTGCCTCAGCCTCCCGAGTAGCTGGGATAACAGGCGAGTGCCACCACCCCTGGCTAATTTTGTGTATTTTTAGTAGAGATCGGGTTTCACCATGTTGGCCAGGCTGGCTCCAAACTCCTGACCTCAAGTGATCCGCCTGCCTTGGCCTCCCAAAGTGCTGGGATTACAGGCATGAGCCGGTCACTATGTATCTTCTTTTAAATGTAAGTTTTGTGTTTTATAATTTTTCACATCTACTGAATTAAATCTGAACAGTGACTTTGTGCAAAATAAATTTTGCTGTCCATTCTTGCCAAAAAGTCCTGAATGTCCAGGATGATTTCTCCAGGACATCTCTATTGCTCCCAAGTTTCAAACAGTTTTTTGGGAGCCAAAACCTCAGGATTTACCCTAGATCTGGTTAACATTTTGAAAAGATACAGGATTTTACCTAAACTGCCCTGAGTAGAAAACCATCTTGTCATTTTTCCCTTATGCCTTCCCTGACAGGAGGGCAGATACTATCACACAGCATACTTCTCAGTAGTTGGAAGGGTTTGAAGGTCCTGATAAGCAGTGTCCATAAAGATAAGGGAGAGCTTTTCATTTAACTAGTCACTCAGACTTTCAGGAAGTTTTGAGTGTTTTTTGTTTCTTTTTTTTTGAGACAGTCTCACTCTGTTGCCCAGGCTGGAGTACAATGGCGCGATCTCAGCTCACTGCAACCTCCACCTCCCGGGTTCATGCCGTTCTCCTGCCTCAGCCTCCCAAGTAGCTGGGACTACAGGTGCCCGCCACTATGCCTGGCTAATTGTTTGTATTTTTAGTAGAGATGGGGTTTCACTGTGTTAGCTAGGACGGTCTCGATCTCCTGACCTCGTGATCCATCCACTTCAGCCTCCCAAAGTGCTGGGATTACAGGTGTGAGCCACCACACCTGGCTTGTTTCTTTTTTTTTTAAGTGCTCAACTAGAGTATCTTTTGTTTAAAAACTGTTACTGAAAATATTTTTATTAAATATTTTAAACCACTATTTTCATTTTTGCTTATTGCCTTTCGGGTCACATATAGACATACATTTGCATGGTTACAATCATGTATGTACATTTTGTATTTAAACCCAGCAAAAATTCTGCTAAGCACCAATTTCAGGTAACCCAACAGAAGCTAGTGACTGAGTCTTTTAATTCAGCTCAAAGAGTATGTTGAGATGGGACCAGTTGTACTGAGCTCTTCCGCATTTTAGGTGTGATTATTTTCATTATTTAGAGTCTTAAATTTATAAGGCTGGTGAGAATATCCATTTGGTTTAAATGTTTATGTTATTCAGGAGAACTTGAAAGTAGCTTCGGTAAAATTCAAATGGTGTCTATAAATTGTGGATATTGTTTTTATACTCTTGGTAAAAGATGAAGTATTGAAAATTTTAAAATGCCCCCAAAATAGCTCCAAATATTAGCTTATCTCTTTAGTTTATGGTAAAACGATCTTATTATGAGCACTAGGGGAACTGAAGCTTTCCACAGTGGCTTCTGTCTGGTAGGACTGAGCCAGCCAGGCAAGCAACCCTGAGAAGAGGAAGGAGTAAATTAAGGTCAAACATTAAACTGGAGGAATGAGTGGAACTGTAAAAACTAGCTATACGCAGCATTTCCAACAGAAAACTGTTGACAAGGCGTTTAATTCCACTGAAATTTAATAATCTATTGATTCATATTTGTACCTCTTAGATAATTTTGAAATCAAATTTTTCATATATATGAATGTAAATTTATTTCATTCCCTTTTAAAAATATTTAAAAATAATTTATAAAGATTGACTATATTCAGAGTATAAAATGTGATTATTTGATATACATTGTATTATGACTACCACAATCAAATTAATTAATACATCCACCATCACTCATGATGTAGTTAAGATCCCTGAAACTTGTTCATCTTATAATTGAGTTTGTACCCTTTGGCCAGTATCTTCCCATTTCTCCTACCCCTCAACCCACCATTTCATTCTCTGCTTCCATGAGTTTGGCTTTTTTAGATTCCACACATAAGTGAGATAAGGCATATAAGTTCTCGATGAGTTTATAATTATTAATATTCTTATTTTTCAGATGAGGAAACAGGTTAAACAATTTCCCAAACTCATCAGTGGGTAAGTGGTCTTAATCTAGAGAAAACTGTTAACTGCTTTCTGTAGTACTGCTCTCACATGCTAAACTGAAAAACATTAATATACCCATAGTCAACACATGGTATACATCTCTTCCAACCTGTCCACCCTCCTCCTACCTCTATTGGCATGATCTAGGGACTTGCCTCTCTCCTTCCAAACTCTCCTTAGAGAGAAAGCAGTGGTGTAGTCAAGAGAAATTGACTTCCAAGAGAAAGTAGTTGTAGTCCTAGTTTCTGGTAACTGGAGCTTTAGACACTAATCTTAAAGATGTTTCTAAAAGGCAAATCTGATGGGATCACTCATCAATTAAACCCTGTGTTGACTCTCATGGACTTCAAGACAAACATCTTTGGCCCCTGAACACAGTTCCTTCAGACTCACTTCTTGCCACTTCCCTATGTATCTCAAATTATTCACAATTCCCCTCTGAAAACTCCATGCTCTCTCACCTCTGAGCCTTTTTGAGTATCTCTTCATCTCAGCTCTCCACCCCATGCCTATTTTTTTCCCTTATCAACCTGTAACATCTTTTTTAGGACTTTCTACAGAAATCTTCCAGATGCTCATGAGGATCAGATAAGAGCCTCCTTGTCCCCCTTCATGCCTGGCTTATCCTATTATATATATAGCACTTCATTTTCTGAGATTACTTGTCTACTTCTCTGACTTCCCTACCTGGACCCTAAGCTCCTTGGACTGTAAAGCACTAGTAGTACAACAGTCCTGTCCTCAAGGAAGGGTAGGAAGAATATTAATCTCTCCTCTAAAATAGTTCTGGGATGGCTGCCATACATACAGCTCTATCATATTGTTGGGATCCTAACTCAAATCGTTAGACAAGGATAGAGATCAGAGACCCATGGTGAATTAAGTTTGTACTTTTCAGGGAATCATAAAGATACTAAGAATACAGGAAAAAACAAAAACCAGGAACCTTGCCTTGTAACCATCTCCTATCGCAGGTAAGCACATACTTACTTAGTACAGAATACATTGTGAAGTACTGTTGCCACGTATGTGCCAAGGGCTACTAGGTGAGGGGATATGATCATGAGCACAATAAGCATGAACTCTGGCTTCAGAGATGAGCATTTAGAGGGAGACACAGACATTGAATCAACCAAACACACACAGGTATCTAATGAAAACTTTGGTAGATGCTACCAAGAAAAAGTCATTTATAAGCTCATAAATGGGGAACCCGAATGGGTGGGTAGAGGGCAAATGTAAGAGCACTTCCATTAAAAAGTGACTCATAGGTAAGACTGAAAGACTAGGAATTAACCAGGCTGAGACTGAGAAGAGCGGGATAAGAATGAGGTGCTTCCTAGTCTGAGCTGAAGGAGGGGTGGGCCTGGAGCTTGGCTCTTGAAGGAACTGAAAGAACAGTACAGCTGGAGAGAAGAGAGGCGAAAAAGGTAGGCAGACATCGCCTGGTTGCATTGCAGGCCTGAACTCGCCTTATCTTCTGGAGGACAATACCCTGATTCTCTCTGGAAAAATGATAAGGGAAAGCCCTGTGTATGGTGTTCAGTGTGCTTGAGACAATGAGGTAGAACTGATCACAGATTGGGAGCCAGGCCAGCTTGGGTTTGAATCTTGTGAGTAACATGGTGGTGACTGTGGCTAATGACCATTAATAATAAGTAAAGTGGTGAAGTCATAAGGCTCCTTCCAATGACTTCTATCACTTCCAATCACTTCTAGTTGAAGCCTAGAAGTAATTATTCACTTTACTAAAGGATTCACTAGAAGCGTCCTTCACATAGTTCCCCCTAATGCACCTAAAATAGATGTGATTGCCACAGGCAAATCACACAATTCTGGAGGGACTCCCTCTTATGGAGACCTGAAGCTGGCTGTGACTGGCTGTGATCACCTGGCCATGATGTACTGATAACAGGTCTCTGAGCAAACTGTGGTATATGAAAATCATTGCCAAGAAAGCCTAGAATCTTTAGTAGAAATCTCAGAGTCCCAGAAACTTTGAGAGAATATGTTAGTTGGAGGAAAAATAAGCATTGTCTTCCCTCCTGCCTTGTTCTCTGCCTACCTCTGGCCCAACCTCAAATCTTTAAATGATGTAGCCCAGCAGAGGCCAGTGGCATAAAGACGGTTTCTCTCCCTTCATCCTCTTTGGAGCTGGTGGGAATTGGTTGGAAGGAAGGTTTCCGGTCTTTTTCAAAGCCTCTCAGAGGTCTCCTCATTCCTGGTAGGCCCTCAGCACTCCTACTGTGAACCAGCTGCTCCCACCTTGAGACTCTGTACTCACTGCTTTAAGTTGTGCTCTAATGTGTGTGATTGTATGCATTTGATTTTGAAAATTTGGAGAATTCTATGGAAAACTCTAATTTCTTTGTATTTCTACCTGATCTCTGCTCCTCCCTTGAGAAGAAGTTGGATTATGGAATAAGAAATTTAGGGTATATCTAGACAGGGCAAGTCTTCTTTCTGAAAAACACAGTACCTTGGCATGTAGTCCAGGAACTGGGAACCAAACTGAAAAAAAAAAAAAAAGATCAGAGGCCTGTGCTTGTGAGATCCTGTGAGTGGAATGTTGGATGTTATCCGCATTCATCTTGTCATTCCTCAGTCATCCTTCCTCTTCAAGCCTATATGTTTAGGCTTCAGTGCTAATTTTCCTTCTGTGCCAAAGAGCAGGGAATAAGAGGCCTGGAGAAGCAAAACGCTTGTTCTTGGGGAGGAGCATGTCCTTCAGCCACCACTGGGACAATTTTCTTTGTAGTTACTGTAGTTGTTCCATCCATCATTCTGTTAGTCTATGTTCCTAGAGGGCAGAGACAGTGTCTTATTCCCTTCCACATCCCCAAGCTTTCCAAATAGATCAATAACTATTTGCTGAACAAATAAGTAACCAAACAAAGGAGTAATTAGATTGCCTAGCTGGTGATTCTTGGATATAAAAAGATAGTGAATGATATGGTCTGGCTCTGTGTCCCCACCCAAATCTCATTTTGAATAGTAATCCAAATTGTAATCCCTATGTGTTGACGGAGGGACCTCGTGGGAGGTGATTTGATCATGGGGGCACTCCTCGCCATGCTGTTCTTGTGATAGTGAGTTCTCATGAAATCTGATAGTTTTATAAGGGGTTTTCCCCCTCTTCACTCTGCACTTCTCTCTCCTGCTGTCACGTGAAGAAGTACATGTTTACTTCCCCTTCCGCTGCGATTGTAAGTTTCCTGAGGCCTCCCAAGCCATGCGGAACTGTGAGTAAATTAAACTTCTTTCCTTTATAAATTACCCAGTTTCAGGTAGTTCTTTTTTTTTTTTTTTTTTTTTTTGAGCCAGAGTCTCGCTCTTTTGCCCAGGCTGGAGTGCAGTGGCGTGATCTTGGCTTGGTCCACTGCAACCTCCACCTCCCGGGTTCAACTGATTCTCCTGCCTCAGCCTCCTGAGTAACTGGGACTACAGGCGTGTGCCACCACGCCCAGCTACTTTTTGTATTTTTAGTAGAGACAAGGTTTCACCGTGTTAGCCAGGATGGTCTCGATCTCCTGACCTCATGATCTGCCCTCCTCGGCCTCCCAAAGTGCTGGGATTACAGGTGTGAGCCACCGCACCTGGTCAATCCTTTCCATTCAATACTACCCATCATTGGTCTACAGTTCGTTCAACTATAAAAAAGGAAAGTGTTTTTCTTGCTTGGTTATTATTATGGATTGAATTGTGTCCCCCCAACAAACAGATACATTGGAGTCCTAACTCCCAGTACTTCAGAATGTGACTGTCTTTGGAAATAGGGTCTTTAGGAGGTAATAAAGGTAAGATGAAGTCATTACGGTGGACCCTAATCCAATATAACTGATATCCCCCAAAGGGAGAAATTGAGACACAGAGACCGACACCAAAGAGAGAAGATGATATGAGGAGACACAGGGAGAAGATGGACATTTAACAGCTGAGGAACACAAGACTACCAGAAGCTAGGAGAGAGGCCTGAAACAGATCCTTTCTCAGTTCCTTCAGAGGGATCATGGCCCTGCTGACACCTTGATTTCAGACTTCTGGCCTCCAGAACTATGAAATGGTAAATTTTTGTTGTTCTAAACCACCCAGTTTGTGGAACTGTGTTGCTGGAGCCCTAGGAAACTAACACAGTTATTCTAAAATTTAAATATACTTTTTTTTGGTTGTTTTTTGTTTTTGTTTTTTAAGTTCCTCCATGGGCCAGGTGCAGTGGCTCATGTCTGTAATCCCAGCACTTTGGGAGGCTGAGGCGGGTGGATCACTTGAAGTCAGGAGTTCGAGATCAGCCTGGCCAACATAGTCAAACCCCATCTCTACTAAAAATACAAAAATTAGCTGGGTGTGGTGGCGTGCACCTGTGGTCCCAGCTACTCAGAAGGCTGAGGCATGAGAATTGCTTGAACCTGGGAGGCAGAGACTGCAGTGAGCCGAAATTGTGACACTGCACTCCAGCCTGGATGACAGAGCAGGACTGTGTCTCAAAAAAAAAAAAAAAAAAAAAAAAAAGAAGAAGAAGAAAAAAGAAAGTTCCTCCAAACAGTAATTGTTTTTTCTCAAGAATTCCGATGGAAATAGTTCCTGTAGACTAAGCTGTACTGGGTGCATGTAACAGACATGGAAAAGGACAGAAGTAATCTCTTTCTAATCTACGTTTAGTTATGGATAAGAGCTCCCTGGCTAGGTGCAGTGACTCACGCCTGTAATCCCAACACTTTGGGAGGCCGAGGCGGGTGGATCACCCAAGGTCAGGAGTTCAAGACCAGCCTGGCCAACATGGCGAGACCCCATCTCTACTAAAAATACAAAAATTAGCTGGGTGTGGTGGTGTGCACCTGTTATCCCAGCTACTCGGGAGGCTGAGGCAGGAGAATTGCTTGAACCCGGGAGGCGGAAGTTGTGGTGAGCCGAGATCATGCCGTTGCACTCCAGCCTGGGCAACAAGAGCGAAACTCCGTCTCAAAAAAAAAAAAAAAAAAGAAAAAAGAAAAGAAAAGAAAAAAGAGCTCCCTATGTTACTCGAAGCCTTATGATTTTTTTGTTTTTGAAGAGTTTGAATGACCAGATATTTTCTGCAAGATATGAGCATGAGGATTGCTAAACAGTATTTAACAGCTCTGTGTGTTTAAAAAAGTGTCTGTACAGGCCGGGCGCGGTGGCTCACGCCTGTAATCCCAGCACTTTGGGAGGCCGAGGAGGGAGGATCACGAGGTCAGGAAATCGAGACCATCCTGGCGAACACAGGGAAACCCCGTCTCTACTAAAAATACAAAAAAAAAAAAAAAAAAAAATTAGCCGGGCGAGGTGGCGGGCGCCTGTAGTCCCAGCTACTCGGGAGGCTGAGGCAGGAGAATGGCGTGAACCCGGGAGGTGGAGCTTGCAGTGAGTCGAGATCGTGCCACTGCACTCCAGCCTGGGCGACAGAGCGAGACTCCGTCTCAAAAAAAAGAAAAAGAAAAAAAAAAAGTGTCTGTACATAGAAAAAAGACTAGAAGGATAGATGGTAAGATATTTGGCAGAGATTATTTCTGGGTATTAAAATTACAGGTAGGCTGGGTGCGGTGGCTCACGCGTGTAATCCCAGCACTTTGGGAGGCCAAGGCAGGCGGATCAAAAGGTCAGGAGATCGAGACCATCGTGGCTAACAGGGTGAAACCCCATCTCTACTAAAAATGCAAAAAAATTAGCTGAGTGTGGTGGTGTACTGTAATCTCAGCTACTCGGGAGGCTGAGGCAGGAGAATGGTGTGTTGAACCCGGGAGGCGGAGCTTGCAGTGAGCCAAGATCTGGCCACTGCACTCCAGAGCCTGGGCAACAGAGCAAGACTCCATCTCAAAAAAATAATAATAATAAAAAGTAAAATAAAATAAAATTACAGGTAATTTTTTTTTTTGATACAGAATCTCTGTTGCCCAGGCTGGAGTGCAGTGGCCAGATCTTGACTCACTGCAACCTCCACCTCCTGGGTTCAAATGATTCTCCTGCCTCAGCCTCCTGAGTAGCTGGGATTACAGCACACCACCACACCCAGCTAATTTTTTTGTATTTTTAGTAGAGACGGGGTTTCACCATGTTGGTTAGTCTGGTCTCGAACTCCTGACCTCGTGATCTGCCCACCTCGGCCTCCCAAAGTGCTGGGATTACAGGCTTGAGCCACTGCGCCCGGCCCAGGTAATTTTTTATTTGCTTATTTGTTTTCTTAGAATATATGTATTATTATTATTTTTTTAAAGACAGGGTCTCACTCTGTCGCCCAGGCTGGAGAGAGATGGTGCCATCATAGGTCACTGTAACCTTGAACTCCTGGGCTCAAGAGTTCCTCCCGCCTCAGCCTCTTGAGCAGCTAGGACTACAGGCGGGTGTCACCATGCCTAGCTAATTAAAAACTTTTTTTTGGTAGAGATAAGGTCTTGCTATGTTGCCCAGGCTGATCTCAGACTCCTGGCCTCAAGTGATCCTCCTGCCTCAGCCTCCCAAAGTGCTGGAATTACAGGCATGAGTCCCTGTGCCTGGCCAGAAAATATGTATTAATATATTAATGACTATATTATTACATATAGTGAATATAAAAGATAACCTAGTCTAGTTTTCTGAGTTAAAGACTTCATTTTGTTTCTGACTCTTATTGATAAGTCCTATCTTTTGGGTATGAAAGGACCTATCAAAGGATTTTTTATTCATGGAAGTCTAGTTTCTTAGGGAGAAAGAGTAGTCCTCCAAATACCAGTTTAAATTTGTATCACTTGTTCTTCTTTACTGTTTTCCAGCCTGGTGTTTTCCACTGCAGTGCACTATATGGTATACTAGGGGCACTGAGCTGTAGTTAGTACATCATGATCAATAGCTTTATGGATTTTGATTGAAAGTGGCTGGACTATAAACCTGTCTTTGGATACACATGGAACTACTAAAAATAAGCACCTGGCTGGACACGGTGCCTCACACCTGGAATCCCAGCACTTTGGGAGGCTGAGGTAGGAGGATCACTTGAGCTCAGGAGTTCGAGACCATCCTGGGCAACATAGAGAGACCACATCTCTACTAAAAATAAAAAAAAATTAGCTTGATATGGTGGCATGCACCTGTAGTCCCAGCTACTTGGGAGGCTGAGGCAGAAGTATCACTTGAGCCTGGGAGATGGAGGCTACCATGCCATTGCACTCCACTCTAGGTGACAGAGCGAGACTCTGTCTCAAAATAAAATTAAAATGAAAAATAAGCAGCAACTCCCTAGCTAGTAATATTGGGGTAAGTGAGTTGAGTATGAGCCATTCTTTGTTGAAGGTAAGGGTGCCCATTCCTTTACTAGGACACCACTAAAGATCCATTCATGCAAGATAACCCTTGTCAGAAAATCATTGCCAAGAACTGGGAAAGTACCCTCTGAAGAACTACTCTTAGCAGGAGCATGAAGGCATCACTGGAGGCATCTGGTGGGTGGGATGAGGTTTGTTCAAGAGCCATATAAAATTAAAAGTTAGGACTTTTTGGACAGACGCATTGACACGAAGCACACTAACACAGGGTGGTAGTCAAGCCCAGTGAGCAGAGTTAGACCTTGGCTTTCTTTGCCTAATCACAGATCACAGAGAAATTTAAGGTTTTAACTCCCGTCCATCCCACCTCATGCACATTAATTCATCAGGGGAGATGGGGGACAGTGAAATTTATTGCAGAATAATACTGGCTGTGCCCTCTTTGAGTTTAATGTGAATATTTAACAGTGTCAGTCTTTTGCCTGTTATTACTTAGTGTCTCCAGAGTTGTTCAACTTGTTCTACTTGGTGTATTCGTAGCTCTCAATATCAGTAGATGCTCCAAGACTTAGACTGTGTCTTCTTTTCTAGGACCCACATCCTTAGCTCAATGGAGAGCTCTAGCACCCTGTATCCAAGTGATCACTTCATAAAGGTACCCATTTATGCATAGCTTTGTAGACTGAGGGCCAGAGGAGTGGCTGTTTGGTAAGTAGTCATCACTATGTAAGAATCAAACCTTTATTTTTCTCGGTAGAAAGTCAGTAGATATTTTCTTAAACTAAAAACATTAAAATAAAACTATATGGATATTTTAAAATATGGATACAAAAATGGCTAAAAGAGTTCGATTTAAAAAAAAAAAAGAAACAAAGAAGGGATAAACCAGAGACTGAAGAAAATTTGTTATCTACAGGACAGGGTGATTTGGCTTTGTGTTCCCATCCAAATCTCATCTTGAATTGTAATCCCATAATCCCCATGTCTTGTGGGACGGACCCAGTGGGAGGTAGTTGAAGCCTGGAGGCGGTTTCCCCCGTGCTGTTCTCGTGATAGTAAGTTCTCACGAGATCTGATGGTTTTATAAGCATCTGGCATTTTCCCTGCTGGCACTCATTTTCTTTCCTGCTGCCCTGTGAAGAGGTGACTTCAGTCATGATTGTAAGTTTCCTGAGGCCTCCCCAGCCATGCAGAACTCTGTGAGTCAATGAAACCTCTTTTCTTTATAAATTACCCAGTCGTGGGTATTTCTTCATAGCAGTGTAAGAACAGACTAATACAGGTGGGAATGGGATGGAAGGTATAAAGGATAGAGTGACACTTCTCTGAGTGTATCTTCTCATATCGTTTTGATGTTCAACCATATTAATATTTTACTTATTCAAGAAAATGAAATTAAATAAACAGTTATGGGAGAAAACTCTGAAATTCAATATAAATAGGAGCAAACCCAACTGATTTCAAATGAACAATATAACCACACTGAATCAAAAAAATTAACAAAAGCAATTATTGAGCATAGTAATCTGAGTATATCCCTTCAATCTGAAGATAAAAAAATTATAAGCAAATCTTGGAACTTTACTTAAAAGGTTAGTGTACTTAAAACATCGATCAATATTAACATCACCAATAATGAGATAGAACATCATATGCCTCCTGATGTGATGCATTGAGAACATAGTAACGCATTGTGATATTCTTGGCCCCCCAAAAACAATTAAATGGAATCTAATAAGGAAATATCAGATAGCCTCAAACTGATGAAATTAGTTTTACTTATTTATTTTTAGAGATGAAGTCTTTCTCTGTTTTCAGGCTGGAGTGCCGTGGCACGATCTCAGCTCACTTCAACCTCCGCCTCCCAGGTTCAAGCAATTCTCCTGCCTCAGCCTCCCAGGTTCAAGCAATTCTCCTGCCTCAGCCTCCCAAGTAGCTGGGATTACAGGCACGCACCACCATGCCTGGCTAATTTTTGTATTTTTAGTAGAGACAGGGTTTCACCATGTTGGTCAGGCTGGTCTCAAACTCCTGACATCGTGATTCAGCCTCCTCAGTCTCCCAAAGTGTTGGGATTACAGGCATGAGCCACCGCGCCCAGCCGAAATTGTTTTTAAAAATTGGACTGTAGGGGCTTGGCGCGGTGGCTCACTCCTGTAATCCCAGCACTTTGGGAGGCCGAGGCGGGTGGATCATGAGGTCAGGAGATCGAGACCATCCTGGCTAACACGGTGAAACCCCGTCTCTACTAAAAATACAAAAAATTAGCCGGGCGTGGTGGCAGGCGCCTGTAGTCCCAGCTACTGGGGAGGCTGAGGCAGGAGAATGGCGTGAACCCGGGAGGCGGACCTTGCAGTGAGCCGAGATTGCGCCACTGCACTCCAGCCTGGGCAAAGGAGCGAGACTCCGTCTCAAAAAAAAAAAAAAAATTGGATTGTAGGTGCTCTTAAAAGATGACTATATCATGAAAGACAGAAAAGCTGTAGACAGATTAAATAAGTCTAACCATGACATGACAACTAAATGCAATGTGTGATCCTGGATTAGATATTGAACTGGAAAATAAATTTTTATAATGAACATATATTAGTTTCCCAAATAGAAAAACTAGTAAAATTTGAGTGTGGACTGTAGATTACATAATAACATTGTAACAATGTCAAATTTCCTGATTTTTATATTTGTATTGAGGTTATGTAAAATAATCTCCTCCTTCTTAAGAAATACACACTCTAAGGTCAGACGCGGTGGTTCCTGCCTGCAATCTCAGCACTTTGCCAGGCCAAATCGGGTGGATTGCCTGAGCCCAGGAGTTCAAGACTAGCTTGAGCACCATGGTGAAACCCTGTCTCTACAAAAAGTAGAAAAAATTAACCTGGCGTGGTGGCGTGCGTCTGTAATCCCAGCTACTTGGGAGGCTGAGGTGGGATCACTTGAGTCTGGGAGGTCGAAGCTGCCACTCCAGCCTGGATGACAGAGTGAGACCCTGTCTTGAAAAAAAAAAAAAATGAATGAAAAAAGGAATACACACTCAAGAAGTATTTAGTGGTAAATTGGCAAGAGGTCTGCAACTTACTCTCAAATGGTTGAGAAAAAAATGTGCACACACACACACACACACATACAGAGAGAGCAGGCACAGATGTGGCAAAACGTTAAGTGCGGAATGTGGGTGAAGGACATTAGGAGTTCTTCTTATTACTCTTGCAACTTTTCTGTAAATTTTAAATGATTTCAAAAAAGTTTTGTTTTGTTTTTAATTGCTTCCAGCTTCTTCTTTGACAATTAAACTTTTTTCCCTTCTTCCGCTCACTCTCGATCTGGGGTCTTTATTGGGCAAGAGTTTACATAATCTTGAACTTTACCAGTAAAATGATGTGGGGAAGATGGAAATTAGTATCACTTACAATGGGAATGGAGTGGGGCACCGACTCTTTAAATAGTTGACAAGGAAATGCTGCTGCCCCTTTTTGTGCAGTCTCCACTCGGTAAAGGACTGTGGTTTCAGGTCTGCCCCACCTCCCTTGTCCCATAGGGAAGGGAAAGCGTTTTACTCACAGATCTCTTGTCATCATTATTTAATCTTAGTTTGGTCATTGGTAACTTAGAGGGAAGGAGGAATCACAAAAGGTAGCAAGAAGGACGTGTATCCATACTGTGTATCAATCCCAACTTTCTTGAAAGGCCAGGCCATGCAAAGGTGTGTGGGAAACCCAATATAGATGGATCTAATAGGCTACTCTGAAACAATTTTCTTATTTAAATGCTCTGCATTGGACCACTGTGCGGTTAAATTTCTTTAATATCTAGAATAGTGCTTATACAATACAGAAAAGCAGCCCAGTCCCCATATCCTTTGCTGTAATTCCAGTATTTACAGTAGACAACTGGAGATTCTAATCCAGAGGTTTGGGTACAGATTTCACAATTACAAAGAGCTGGCATCAGTATTGTCTTCAAAGGACATTCACCAAAGGAGCGAAGCAAAAGCTGAGAATATTGACAAAATGCTTTGTTCAACCAAAAATTGAATGGAAAACAGATTCCCTGACAAGTCATCAAATTCACAGCCAAGGGGAAACAAATTACAATGATAGCAAAGTAACAGCATCCAGTAGGTAACTAGCCAAAGTCATACATGGTTTACTATAGACAAAGCCTGGAAGACTGGGGGCATAGAAGGCCTAAGATCTCAAGTCAGGCCATGCGCCTCCCACCCACCCATCAGGTCCCTGTAGTTTACAATTAGGTCTATTCATTCTGAGGACCCCACTAAAGCCGCTATTCTATAGAAGTCTAGTTGTCCCTAGTAGTTTGGGATATTTTTTGTCTATGTCAAGAGGCATAGGTAGTCTGCAAAACTGGCTGCTTTCCAAAACCAATGATAAAAAAAGAAGCATTGACCTCTCTCTCTCTCTTTTTTTTTTTGAGGCAGGGTCTTGCTCTGTCACTTAGACTGGAATGCAGTAGTGTGATCATAGCTCACTGCAACCTCTAACTCCTGGGCTCATGCGATCCTCCTGCTTCAACCTCTGAAGTAGCTGGGTCTACAGGCACACACTACGATGCCCTGCTAATGCCCAGGTATTTAAAATTTTTTTTGTAGAGACAGGGTCTCCCTATGTTGCCAGGCTGGTCTTGAGCCCCTAGGGTCAAGCAGTCCTCTTGCCTCAGCCTCCCAAAGTGCTGGGATTACAGGTGTCAGCCACCACACCCAGCAATACACTTCTTAATCAATTTCACAAAAGATGAACAAAAAAGGCCAAGTCCTAAGCAAGTGCGGAGTGTGCGAGGAGTGCCCTCCATGGCATCCTTTCCCGATTTGTGTTCTTTTGTTTAAATTAGCTTGTTTCACTCTCAACTGCGAATGGTGAATGCCCAACATGGGCTTAAAAGCCTATTCTCATGAAGGGGTTTTCATCTTTATCAGGAATCAAAGCCTTAAACGAAGACTCAACTGTTTATCTGGCGCTGGTAGAGCAGGTTTGCTCATGAAGTCACACCCAGTTGGCATCACGGAGGCCCGAAAGCCTCTGTGCTGGAGAACTGAGCCAATTACTGTTCCCACCGAATTCTTTGCAGGTGTCAACCTGCCCTTTACAAAGGCTCAGCAGATGCACTGCTTACAAGATGTTTCATGTCAACGTGAAGTCTTTATAAGGGACCAGTCCCGTCCTGCCTGAGATTCTACTACCCTGAAGCCTCCGTGGGACATCCTGTGAGAGGCTGATGATGCTCTTCAGTGGTAGGCTGAAGCTCTCCCATACTCAGGTACATATCTAATTCCCAGGACAACTAAACCAGCTAATTTTCCATCCTCTTAGCAAATGAGACTGAAAAGGACCCGGCCTACACTAAGACGCATGAAGTCTGGTGATTTTTAAGTCCAGCTGCAGATGTAACCAACGAGTTAAATAATGTCTGACAGGAGTGCTTCATCTTTAAAATCCTTGCTGTGTACCACACTACTGCTTCTTTGTGGACTTTTGTCCACAAAGGTCCTTTGATTCCGTTTGTTTATACGCACTTAGAGATTTCAATTAAGTGTGGTTTTTAATAATCCTCATGCTGTCATGCATGTCAACTGTTTTATTTTTATGTATTACTATGACCTACACTTTGTTTTTAAAAATGAAGCTTTCAGATCATTTTCAGCTTCATCGCACCCTCAAGTGTGCTTTTCTGGCCTTCTCATTTGTGACCGAATTTGGAGAGGAATAAAGAAGTCATTTTTAGGCCCTGATTTGAAGGACCTATAAAAAAAGACTTTCTACCCCCACCTCACCCCACAACCCCCTGCTTGGAGGCAGCACAGCTGACCTGCTTGCGTCTTGGTGTGAACTGGGGATCTGAACAAGGGAAATTGGAGGCTGCAAAAGGGCTCTGGAAGAAATTCAAAAGCAAATCTGTTTTCCACATTTTGCTCAGGTTTGCCCTGTGAAGAGATTAGAAAGCAAGATCTCTGAAAACAATATAAGAACCTTAATTCAACAGCCTGGAGAAAATCTTCAGCCAGTGAAGGGCTCTTACACAATTAGTCTTCCTAAGAACAGAGCATAAATAAATGGGTTCAAATGGGCACAAAATAGAATGCACAATATCTGTTTAGATAAAAGAAAAAATTTCCACTGGCAAAAACTAAAATAACTGACTGTGGAGACTTGATCCATCTTTATTAGTAGAAAAGAGGCCCCTTGAAAGGACTGGGTATGACCAGGTTTCAGTCCTTCCAGACTCTGGATTCTGAGAGGAAGGATGGTTCCCTGGAGATCAGCATGGGTTCAGTGAGTACAAGGAATTGACATTGGATATGAAAGGGAAGAGCAAGACCTTCACTCAGATGTGGGGACAGGAAAACAAACCACAGTATAGTATAGACCACATAATAGCTGCATAATAGATAGTGATCAGTTTATGAAGATACATATTCTTAGAAGCCTGTTGAATATCAGTCTCGTTAACAAGTGACACTGTTGTACATTCTCCTGCTGGTTCTCACTGGCACAAGACAGCTTCATAGACACATACATATTGCACAAAATTCTATGACAGGTTTCCACAGGAAAAGGTTTCCACCTGGTCTCTGCTGTTTCCTACAGAAGGGGCATAAGTTCCCTGAGTCACTGTTCATTGTTACCCAGTGTGCTTCCTCTTGTGAAGGGCCATGAGCCTATCCCTTTACTTCATTGGCAAACTCCCCTGGCATCAAATGGCCTTGGTCATAGGCAAGAGTCATTTAATATGTCAGCAATTGCTGCAGCTATGGCCCCTTCCATTTGGCAACCAAACTTGAGCCTTTACAAAAATCTTCAAGGACTCAAAATGAGATGTCTTCTTTTTGAAAATATACAAACCAGAATCAGCTTGCTCATCCTCAGAGGATGTTGACTGTGGTCATTGTTCTTTCGAGAGGAGTTGTTGACTTTTCAGGGTAGCTTGCTGTTCCCCTGCCAGTACAACTTCTCTTCCACTTTTTTCTTTTTCCATCGGCAGAGAAGCAGCATCTTAAAGGTCTTCCTGAAGGTTCTGTTGCAGAGGGCATAGCAGATGGGGTTGACAGTGCTATTGACATAGCACAACCAATAGCCCAAGTGCCACAGGGTGACTGGGACACACTTGTCACAGAAGGTAGAAACCAGGACCATGATGTTATACGGGGTCCATGTGATGATGAAGGCCAGGAGAATGGCACTCAGTGTCTGGGCTGCTTTCCTCTCTTTGACTAGGACCACTCTCTTTCGTTTGGTCATTTGATGGCTGGGGTTGGGATTGAGGCCTTTCGTTGAAGGTTCCTTGGCCACTGGGAAGGGGCAGGGCATGATTTTCACCTTGTGACAGCCATTGTTGGTCTCCTGGTTCCCGTCAGCTTTTACCACCAATCGGAACTTATAGGCCACACATTTCTGACTCTTGGGTCTATGAGCAGCTGCTGGAGACAGAAGGTAGTTTGGGGTGTCATAGTCACTTTTTTCAGTTTCAGCTTTCACAAAAGTTTCCTCAGTCTCTTCAGCACTGAATTCTTCCCCTGGGCTTTCCTTACCCTGACTCTTGTAGACCACTTGGAGGACAGGGTCAGTGGCGGGCTTGTCCTCATCCTCTGAGGAAGGGTAGCTGCTACAGGTGGTGAGCTGCTCAGCTTTGGCCCAATTGGCGCTTGGGCCAGTGGCTTGGGATGGCTTCCCAGTGGTGGAGGTGCTCCTGCGGGAGGATGACCAGGAGGCCTGGTTCCTTTCCCGCTGGGCCAGGGTGGGTCGAGGACAGCGCAAGCAGGATCTGAACAGAGCCCTATGAGCTGGCTTTCTCTTCTCAGCTTTGGTCACAGAGTCAGAACCCTGGAGGTCAGCCAGGTCCTTGGTTCGCTTCTCTGTTTCCCGGTAGATTCGACAGTAGAGGATGGTCATGACAGAAACAGGGATGTAGAAGGCAGCAATGGCAGTGCCAAAAGTGATGGTGGGCTCAGAGAGAAACTGGATCTGGCACTCATCCAGTGGAACTGTCCGCTTCCCAACCAAGTACTGCCAGCAGAGGATTGCTGGGGCCCAGAGGATGAAGGAGATCAGCCAGGCCAAGCCAATCATGATGCCAGCCCTTTTCGGAGTACGCTTGGCCCGATATGTCAAGGGTCTTGTGATGGAAAAGTAACGGTCAAAACTGATCACCAGAAGGTTCATGACAGAAGCGTTGCTGGCCACGTAGTCCAGTGCAAGCCAAAGGTCACAAGCCAGACTCCCGAGAGCCCAGCGTCCCATGAGGATGTAGGTGGTGTAGAGGTTCATGGAGAAGATTCCAATGATGAGATCTGCACAGGCTAAGCTGAGCAGGTAATAGTTGTTAACTGTCTTGAGCTGGCTGTTGACTTTGAAGGAGATCATGACCAAGACATTGCCCACAATGGTGATCAGGCTTACCACAGCAGTCACAGCTGCAATGGTGATGACTTCCCACAACCTGTGGCGTTCCAAAGGCTGGTGATTTACTGGGGTGCCATTGACGGTGGTTGCATTGTGGTAAGAATCCCCTTCCATCCTGGTGCAAAAATTTTACAGTAAATAGTGTTAGGTTCTAGGCTGTTTTCTATTTCAGCTCTTCTTGGCCAGCATCTGGAAGAGAGGGAAACACATTAGCTTCGCACACCAGCATGATTTTCTTGTCCATCCATTGTTTATAGTTTTTTTTTTTTTTTTTTTTGAGACAGAATCTCGCTTTGTCACCCAGGCTGGAGTGCAGTGGTGCGATCTCAGCTCTCTACAAGCTCCGCCTCCCGGGTTCAGGCCATTCTCCTGCCTCAGCCTCCCGAGTAGCTGGGATCACAGGCTCCCACCACCACGCCCAGCTATTTTTTTGTATTTTTAGTAGAGACGGGGTTTCACTGTGTTAGGCGGGATGGTCTCGATCTCCTGACTTCGTGATCCACCCGCCTCGGCCTCCCAAAGTGCTGGGATTACAGGCGTGAGCCACCGCGCCCGGCCCATTGTTTATAGTTTCTAATGGAATATTAAACGTGGCTGCACACATATTCAGAGCAAGATGCTGAAATCTCTAAAGTTTGATCACCTATTTTTAATGGCATCCTTTTGCTTTTTGTTGTTACCTATGGCTGAGTGCCCTTCTTATGCATGAGGCTGCTGCCCTCTTGTGGCAATTTTAAAAAGGGCTGGGAAGACGAGGAGGGTGAAGGGAAAGGAAAAAAAATGGATTGTTGAGAAGCAGTAAAGAGAGGAAAGCAGGGATGTTAAATCACTTTAGATTGCAATGATCATAAGGGCTGAAACCCTATATTTTTAAGATCCTGGTGATAAATACCTAAATCGTCATGCACTGGGGAAAAAGTGGTATCTATTCTATAGTCCCAGTCTTGATTATTAAACATTACTGAGGTGCCGTTGTGAGCCAAGACCATATTATACCACCTCTCCTTGCCCTAATGCACAAACTCCAAGTGCATATCTGGTTTTCATCTAGGGGGTTTTACATTTGCCCCAGCTGCTGAAGATAAGGACCTTCTCTCTGTTCCTGAACTATTTGCAATATCATAGAATTGTTTTAGGTTATCTTTTTTCTGGTTATAGAGTAATACATTCCTTATAAAAGCTCAAACAATGTCAAAATGTAAATCTTAGAAAGCAAAAGTCTCCTCTAATTCCACCTTGCAGAGGTAATCAATGCTAACAGTTTAGTGTATATTTTGGCATTTTCCCATATGCATATACTAATAAATAAATATTTAAATACAATTTCCCCTATGCATATACTAATAATTATTTTAAATGGGTGCCTTTTACCATTTACAATTTGAATTTTGTTTTTTACTTAACAAATGAATTATCACAGACAGCTTTTTATCAGTACATCTAGAGCTACCACTTTCATTGTAATGACTGTACATTATTCCACTTAATGGATGTACTATATTTAATTAACCCTCTGTTGACAAATTTTAACTTTCAAAACTAAAATGAAATTTTCCCTTTGTAGATTAAAAAATCTATGTACATGATAAAGATTTCAGTGTGTACTAAAGGGTAAATTGTAGAAATTAGGTCTCCCTCCCACCTCTGACCTCCAAGCTTGCAAGCTCCCCATTTTCAGAGGTAACCACTGCTACCATTTATTTTTCCTTCTAGAGATATATATGCATACAACATAAATTTGATGATATATAACAAACACCACCTTGACATGATAATGGGCGGTAAAGGGAAAAAAAAAATCTTTTTTTTTTTTTTTGAGACGGAGTCTCGCTCTGTTGCCCAAGCTGGAGTACAGTGGCGCTATCTCGGCTCACTGCAAGCTCCGCCTCCTGGGTTCACGCCATTCTCCTGCCTCAGCCTCCCCAGTAGCTGGGACTACAGGCGCCTGCCACCACGCCCGGCTAACAGAGTCTTGCCCTTGTCACCCAGGCTGAAGTGTAGTGGCACCATCTCGGCTCACTGCAACCTCTGCCCCTTGGGTTCAAGCAATTCTCCTGCCTCAGCCTCCTGAGTAGCTGGGATTACAGCCACCAAGCCTGGCTAATTTTTGTACTTTTTAGTAGAGATGAGGTTTCGCCATGTTGGCCAGACTGGTCTCGAACTCCTGACCCCAGGCGATCCACCCACCTCAGCTTCCCAAAGTTCTGGGATTACAGGCGAAAGCCACCGTGCCCGGTGAAAATCTTTTTGATGACCCTTAAAATACCCCATGTGGGCAATTTTATTTAATGGGGTATTTCTGCTCTGCCTATGGCCAGTCTTGACACTTTTTTGATAACAGTAACTGACAGAAAGGTGACAAATTTGCAAAGGGCTACAGTTTTCTTGGCTTTGCTTTATATTTTCAGCTGTAATTTTGGGTGTTTTCATAACACCTCAAATTCAATATGGAATCGAGTTGATGATATTGTCTTGCACCGGAAACCAGATTCTCCCATCTTCCCAATCTTGCATGCTTCTTCACCTCCCAAACACATGCAGTCTAACTGACCCACGAAGACTCCTCTTTTTGGTCCCTCTCCATTCCTGCTGCTACCAACTGTCAGCTTATACCTATAATACCTCGGTGTTATCAACATTCTTCAAGTTGTTGAAGCAAATTCTAAGGTTGCCAGGTCATTAGGTAGAGATTCCCCAGCATCTGAAAAGACCAGTTACTCTACACTCTACAAATCTCTAGGCAAATGCCATCACAGATTATCTTCCAATGGTCAGATCTAAGCCACACAGTGCAAAAAAGGGCCTGTGGAAATCGCTTTCTCCTTTATTCTTTCTTTTCTTCCTTCCTCTCCTGCCCCTCTTAAATATTTGAATGTTTATTATGGAACAGACTCTAATGCTGGCGATACCATGGAATAGGCTAATGTCTCTGCTCTTTAGACACTAGTTGGGAATGTAAATAAATTAGCAGATAGAAATAGCAGGGGTGCAACATGCCATAGGGGCACCTGTGAAGGACCTCCAGCCTCGTTGAGTGGACATGGGAAGCACTTCCTGAGGAAGAGACCTAAGAGTCGAGACTTGAAGAATGAAGTCACCAATAGCTAGGCAAAAGGTGGGTGGAGGCTGGGGATGCTAGTGCCAGAATGTTTCAGACAGGGAAGGGAAGAGCTTGTTTGTAAGCCCAGAGGCAAAAGAGGAGGAATGGAAAGAAACAAGGTAGCTGGAGCCAAAGAAAGCTGAGAAGTGAAAGGTGAAACTGGAGAGGCTGGCAGGAGAAGGAGGGACAGGAGAGGACCTAAGAGAAAAGTCAGCTTTATGGGAGAGCTGTGTCAGCTATTTCCAGACTCCCCATCTACTCTGAAGGTAGTCCCAACATCCAGGTGTTGGGGAGCATTAGTCCGGAGAGAAGTAGTAAAATGATCTGACCGCTTGCTGAATTTTTTCTAATCAATTCTTCAAAATAGGAATACATGGTGTTTTGGAAGGATTTAATTTTTCCACTTAATTTTATTATCAGGTCATAAGCAATTTATGGAAGTTTCTGGGAATTTGGATGTGCACATACTCCTTTGGACACATGTATAGCCTGGGTACTTCTTTTTCATCTGTTTCCTCATTAGAAAAAATAAGGAGGCCAGGTGTGGTGGCTCACGCCTGTAATCCCAGCACTTTGGGAGGCCGAGGCGGGTGGATAGCCTGAGGTCAGGAATTCGAGACCAGCCTGGCCAACATGATGAAACCCTGTCTCTACTAAAAATGCAAAAGTTAGCTGGGCATGGTGGTGTGTGCCTGTAATCTTAGCTACTTGGGAGGTTGAGGCAGGAGAATTGCTTGAACTCAGGAGGTGGAGGTTGCAGTGAGCCAAGATCTTGCCACTGCATTCCAGCCTGGGCGACAGAGTGAGACTCTGTTTCAAAAGAAGAAAGTTAAGAAAAAAAGGAAATTGGACTATGGGAACTAACATACCTACATTTCTATGACTTTGTATATTATATTGTGTCAAAAAACAAAATTAAAACAATTGTAAAGATCTCAGTTGGCTTTATTTGTGATTCTAGAATCAGGCAATTCTTCATTTTGTGAAATAAATGTTCTGATGAGCTGACCAGAAGAATTTGGCTTTATAGGCAGAGAAGGCCTGAAGAAAGCAGAAGCAAAGAACAAGGGTGTATTAGTTACTTCCAGACAGAACAACAGAAAATAACTGGTTAGTTAACATCAGGTTACTTCAGGCTGTGTGTGTGTGTGTGTGTGTGTGTGTGTGTGTGTGTGTTAGAATTAAAGCAGAGAGAACTTCCTTATTATGCTGATTGAAGATTTATAGTGGCCTGTTTGGGAAATTGGCTCTCTCTCTCTCCTGATTTCTCAGGTCAAATAACAACTTAGTTTAGGTTTGTTGACTTGGAACTTTAGTATGGGTGGCTCCATTTTGATTTTTATTCTGGTTTGTTGGAGCCTAGTTCAAGAGCTTAGTCCAAAACAATGACCTCCTGTAATTTTTTATTTATCAATAGTGTGATGGTTAATTTTATGTGTCCACTTGGTTAGGCTACAGTACCCAGTTGTTTTGTCAAACACCAGTCTAGATATTGCTGCGAAGGTATTTTCAGATATGATTAATACTGAAATCAGTAGAATTTAAGTAAAGAAGATTACCCACCATAATGTGGGTAGGCCTCATTCGATCATTTGAAGGGGTTAAGGGAAGACTGAGGTGCCGAATGAAAAGAGCAAGGAATTCTGTCACCAAACTGCCTTAGAACTCAAGACAGCAACATTGATTCCTGCTGGATTTTCCAGCTTGCCTGCAGATTTCAGATTTGCTAGCCCCTACAATCATGTGACCCAGTCCTTTAAAATAAAAATAAATCTCTCTCTCTCTGATAAATGGAATAAGCTCTTTGCTAAAAGGGAAAAGAAAATAATTTACAGTGGTAACATCACCTCACAATCATATCACAATTTGGCATTGGTCAGCTTCAGATTAAAAACCTAGTTCCATTACTTGCTGTATGACATTAATTAATTTATTAGAAACAAGGTCTTGCTCTATCACTCAGGCTGGAGAACAGTGTCACCATCATAGCTCACTGAAGCTGGAACCCATGGCCTCAAGCGATCCTCCTGCCTCAGCCTCCCACGTAGCTGGGACTACAGGTGTGGGCTACAACATATGGCTCCAACTTACTGTATGACTTTGGACACATTACTTAACCTGAGTCTCAGATTTTAAACTTTGAGGTGGGGATAAAAACAGTCCTTACCTCATAGGATTGTTTTAAGTATTAAATGAGATAACCCATGTTGTATTCAGCCAGTGCCTGACACAAGGGAATGTTCACTACAAAGTAGCAATCCAGCAACAAGAGCATCAAAATGACTATTCTGGCTGGGCACAGTGGCTCATGCCTGTAATCCCAGCACTTTGGGAAGCCGAGGTGGGTGGATCATGCGGTAAAGAGATCAAGACCATCCTGGCTAACATGGTGAAACCCCGTCTCTACTAAAAATACAAAAAAAAAAAATTAGCTGGGCGTGGTGGCATGTGCCTATATTCTCAGCTACTCAGGATGCTGAGGCAGGAGAATCGCTTGAACCTGGGAAGCCGAGGTTGCTGCAGTGAGCCAAGATCATGCGACTGCACTCCAGCCTGGTGACACAGCAAGACTCCACCTAAAAAAAAAAACCAAAAAAAACCAAAACTCTTCTCCTGGTAGGAATGAGCCTGAGGCATGGTTATTAAGGGACAGGGTAAAATAATAAGGCAATATTTTCACGACCACAAACTGGCTCTTTTAGATGCTTTGTGGTGCTAACACTGGATTGCAGTGGTGTGATCATAGTTCACTGCAACCTCAACCTCTTGGGCTCAAGGGATCCCCCCACCTTAACCTCCTGAGTGGCTGGGACTACAGGCATGTGCCACAATCCCTAGCTAATTTTTTTCTGGTTTCATTTTGCTTTGAGATAGGGTCTCGCTATGTTGCTCAGGCTGGCCTTGAACTCCTGGCCTCGAACTCCTGGCCTCAAGTGATCTGCCTGCCTCAACCTTCCAAAGTGCTGGGATTACATCACACCTGGCCCTTCCTCTTTAGTTTTTTTGGTGGGCGCTCTACCTCTAGGAACATAACAAACTGCTCCCAATCATTCAAGCAGAACAACCTTGAGGAGAGCCGAGGCTAACACAGTCTTCCTCAGAGTCTGCTCATAGACTAGGACTACTTCAAATGCATGATTGAAAAGGTTTCATGATCTGATAAATTGAGAAAATACCATGTAGTATGTAGAGCTCTCAAAGATTCAGAAGACACATTAGCCTAGTGAAAGCTGGGAGGTTCTGCAGTAGAGAACATTACTTAATTTGGCTTAACACAGAGGTAGCTTAGCTTATCTAGCCTTTCTCAGAGGAATGTCTGTTAATATCCTGTGGAATCCATGAATCACATTTGGGAAATGCATTTTAGTAAAAAACAATGAACTAGGAGTATGGAGTAGGAGTTCTAATTTCGGCTAAAATCTTGTGATTTGAGACAAGCCATGTATTCTCTCTGGGCCCCAGTTTCTCCATATATGGAATTAAGAGACTGGAATTAATGGTTTATCCTTTAAAATGCTTTCAGGCTCTTCTTATAGGCTCACAGTAGAAAACACTGGAAACTATTAATTTTAGCCCTCAACTTTCTTCTATTCTTAACTAGGGAAACGGCAGTTACTTAGCTGCTTTGGAAGTTAGTGTAGTGAAAACAGCCCTCAGCATATTTTGAGTTCCTGGCTTTCTCATCTGTTAAACACGTATAACAATACCTGCTTAGGCTGGGTGTGGTGGCTCACACATGTAATCCCAGCACTTTGGGAGGCTGAGGTAGGCAGATCACCTGAGGTCACCAGGATTTTGTAATCAGTGTGTCTCAAAATTTAATATGCATATGAATTACCTGGATAATCTTGTTAAATTGTAGAAGGGTGGGACTTGCATTTCCACATTTTATTTATTTGTTTATTTTTATTTATTTATTTATTTATTTTTTGTGACAGAGTCTTGCTCCGTCGCCCAGGCTGGAGTGCAGTGGTGTGATCTCGGCTCACTGCAAGCTCCACCTCCCGGGTTCACACCATTCTCCTGCCTCAGCCTCCTGAGTAGCTGGGGCTACAGGCACCCGCCACCATGCCTGGCTAATTTTTTGTATTTTTAGTAGAGACAGGGTTTCACCATGTTAGCCAGGATGGTCTTGATCTCCTGACCTCATGATCCGCCCACCTCAGCCTCCCAAAGTGCTGGGATTACAGGCATGAGCCACTGTGCCCAGCCTATATTTATTTTTTTGAGAGAGTGTTTCACTCTGTTGCCCAGGCTGGAATGCAGTGGCGTGATCACAGCTCACTGTAACCTCTTCCTCCCGGATCCAGGAGATTCTCCTGCCTCAGCCTCCTGAGTAGCTGGGACTACAGGTGCACACCACCACACACAGATAATTATAATTTTTTGTATTTTTAGTAGAGATGGGGTTTAATCATGTTGGCCAGGCTGGTCTCAAACTCCTGGCCTCAAGAGATCCACCCACCTCGGCCTCCCAAATGCTGGGATTACAGGTGCGAGCTACCGGGCCTGGCCTTGTTTATTTACTTTTTTTTTTTTGAGACGGAGTTTCACTCTTTCTGCCCAGGCTGGAGTGCAATGGTGTGATCTCGGCTCACCGCAATCGCCGCCTCCCGGGTTCAAGTGATTCTCCTGCCTCAGCCTCCTGAGTAGCTGGGATTACAGGCATGTGCCACCATGCCCAGCTAATTTTGTATTTTTAGTAGAGATGGGGTTTCTCCATGTTGGTCAGGCTGGTCTCGAACTCCTGACTTCAGGTGATCTGCCTGCCTTGGCCTCCCAAAGTGCTGGGATTACAGGTGTGAGCCACCGCACCCAGCTTATTTACTTTTAAGATGTTTTAAAATTGTTTTCAAGCAACCATTTGTTCCTTTTTTTCCCAACATTTATCTTAAGTTCAGGGATACATGTGCAGGAGGTGCAGGTTTGTTACATAGGTAAACGTGTGCCAGGGTGGTTTGCTGCACACATCATCCCATTACCTAGGTATTAAGCCCAACATCTATTACCTATTCTTCTTGATGTTCTCCCTCCTCCTACCCTCACCCCCACAGGCTCCAGTGTGTGTTGTTTCCCTGGATGTGCCCTTGTGTTCTCTCATCATTCAGCTCTTACTTATAAGTGAGAACATGCGGTGTTTAGTTTTCGTTTTCTGTTCCTGTGTTAGTCTGCTCAGGGTAATAGCTTCCAACTCCATCTATGTCCCTGCAAAGGACATAATCTTGTTCCTTTTTATGGCTGCATAGTATTCCATGGTGTATCTGTACCACATTTTTTATCCAGTCTATTGTTGATGGGCATTTAGATTGATTCTATGTCTTTGCTATTGTGGATAGTGCTGCAGTGAACATACACATGCATGTATCTTTATGATAGAATGATTTATAGTCCCTTGGGTATATACTCAGTAATGAGATTACTAGGTCAAATGGTATGTCTGCCTCTAGGACTTTGAGGAATTGCCACACAGTATTCCACAATGGTTGAACTAATTTACACTCCCACCAGCAGTGTAGAAGTGTTCCTTTTTCTCCACAGCCTTGCCAGCATCTGTTGTTTTCTCGAGTTTTAATAATAGTCATTCTCACTGGCATGAGATGGGATCTCATTGTGTTTTTGATTTGCATTTCTCTAATGATCAGTGATGTTGAGTTTTTTTTTCACGTTTTTTGGCCGCATGTATGTCTTCTTTTGAGAAGTGTTTGTTCATACAGGTTCTTTGCCCACTTTTTGATGGGGTTGTTTTTTTCTCATAAATTTGTTTATGTTCCTTGTAGATTCTGGATATTAGCCCTTTGTCAGATGGATAGATTGCAAAATTTTTCTCCCATTCTGTAAGTTGTCTATTCACTCTGATGATAGTTTCTTTTGCTGTGCAGAGGCTCTTTAGTTTAATTAGATCCTATTTGTCAATTTTTGCTTTGTTGCAATTGCTTTTAATGCTTTCATCATGAAATCTTTGCCTTTGCCTATGTCCTGAACGGTATTGCCTAGCTTTTCTTCTAGAGTTTTTATAGTTTTGGGTTTTACATTTAAATCTTTAATTCATCTTGAGTTAATTTTTGTATAAGGTATAAGGAAGGAGTCCAGTTTCAATTTTCTGCATATAGCTAGCCAGTTCTCTCAGCACCATTTATGAAATAGGGAATCCTTTCCCCACTGCTTGTTTTTGTTAGGTTTGTCAAAGATCAGATGTTTGTAGATGTGTAGTTTTATTTCTGAATTCTCTATTCTGTTCCATTGGCCTACGTGTCTATTTTTGTACCATTACCATGCTGTTTTGATTACTGTAGCCTTGTAGTACAGTTTGGAAGTAGGTAGCACGACACCTCCAGCTTTGTTCTTTTTCCTTCGGATTATCTTGGCTATATGGGTTCTTTTCAGTTCCATATATATATATATATATATATATTTTTTTTTTTTTTTTTTTTTGAGATGGAGTCTCACTCTGTCACCCAGGCTGGAGTGCAGTGGCATGATCTTGGCTCACTGCAACCTCTGCCTCCTGGGTTCAAGCAATTCTCCTGCCTCAGCCTCCTGAGTAGCTGGGACTGTAGGCACCCACCACCATGTCTGGATAATTTTTGTAATTTTAGTAGAGATGGGGTTTCACCATATTGGCTAGGCTCGTCTCAAATTCCTGATCTCAAGTGATCTGCCTGCCTTGGCCTCCCAAAGTGCTGGGATTACAGGTTTGAGCCACTGCACCTGGCCTGGTTCCATATGAATTTTTAAGTAGTTTTTTTCTAATTTTGTGAAGAATATCAATGGTAGTTTCATGAGATTAGCATTGAATCTATAAACTACTTTGGGCAGTATGACTATTTTCATGATATTCATTCTTCCTATCCATGAGCATGGGATGTTTTTCCATTTGTTTGTGTCCTCTCTGATTTCATTGAGCATTGGTTTGCAGTTCTCCTTGAAGAGGTCCTTCACTTCCCTTGTTAGCTGTATTCCTAGGTATTTTATTCTCTTTGTAGCAATTGTGAATGGGAATTCATTCACGATTTGGCTCTGTGCTTTCCTGTTGTTGATGTATAGGAATGCTAGCAATTTTTGCACATTGATTTTGCATCCTGAGACTGCTGAAATTGCTTATCAGCTTAAGAAGCTTTTAGGCTGAAATGATGGAGCTTTCTGGACATAGAATTATATTATCTGCAAACAAAGATAATTTGACATCCTGTCTTCCTATTTGAATATGCTTCATTTCTTTCTCTTGCCTGATTGCCCTGGCCAGAACTTTGAATACTATGTTGAATAGGAGTGGTAAGACAGAGTACCCTTGTCTTGTGCTGGTTTTCATGGGGAATGCTTCCAGCTTTTGTCCATTTGGTATGACATTGGCTGTGAGTCTGTCACAGGTGGCTTTTATTATTTTGTGGTATGTTTTTTAAATACCTAGCTTATTCAGAGTTTTTAATATGAAGGGATTTAAATTTTTTCAAAGCCTTTTCTGCATCTATGGAGATAATCATGTGGTTTTTTTTCTTTAGTTCTGTTTATGTGATGAAGTGCATTTATTGATTTGCATATGTTGAACCAACCTTGCATCCCAGGGATGAAGCCAACTTGATTGTGGTGGATAAACTTTTTGATGTGCTGCTGGATTTCATTTGCCAGTATTTCATTGAGGATTTTTGCATCAGTGTTCATCAAAGATGTTGGCCTGAAGTTTTCTTTTTTTTGTTGTATCTCTGCCAGGCTTTGGTATCAGGATGATGCTGGCTTCATAGAATGAGTCAGGGAGGAGTCCCTCCTTTTCAATTTTTTCAGATAGTTTCAGTAGGAGTGGTACCAGCTCTTTGTACCTGTGGTAGAATTCTGCTGTAAATCTGTCTGGTCCTGGGTTTTTTTTTTCTTTTTTTGGTTGGTAGGCTATTTATTAGTGCCTCAATTTCAGAACTCATTATTGGTCTATTAAGGGATTCAGTTTCTTCTTGGTTCAGTCTTGGGAGGGTGTATGTGTTCAGGATTTATCCATTTCTTCTAGATTTTCTAGTTTACGTGCATAGAAGTGTTTATAGTATTCTCTGATGATTGTTTGGATTTCTGTGGGGTCAATGGTGATTTCTCCCTTATCATTTATGATTGTGTTTATTTGATTCTTCTCTCTTTTCTTCTTTATTAGTCTAATTAGTGGTTTATCTATTTTACCTATTTTCAAAAAACCAGCTCCTAGATTTGTTGATTTTTGAAAGTGTTTTTCTTGTCTCTATCTCCTTCAGTTCAACTCTGATCTTAGTTATTTCTTGTCATCTTCTAGCTTTGGAATTTGTTTGCTCTTGATTCTCTAGTTCTTTTTGTTGTGATGTTAGGTTTTTAACTTGAGATCTTTCTAGCTTTTTGATATAAGCATTTAGTGCTATAAATTTCCCTCTTAACACTGCTTTAGCTGCATCCCAGAAATTTTGGTACTTTGTCCTTTGTTTCAGTTTCAAAGAACTTCTTGATTTCTGTCTTAATTTCATTATTTGCCCAGGAGTCATTCAGGAGTAGGTTGTTCAGTTTCCATGTAGTTGTGTGGTTGTGAGTGAATTTCTTAATCTTGAGTTCTAATTTGATTGCGCTGTGGTCTGACAGACTATTATTATTTCAGTTCTTTTGTATTTGCTGAGGAGTGTTTTACTTCTGATTATGTAATCAGTTTTAGAGTAAGTTCTGTGGGTGATGAGAAGAATGTTTATTCTGTTGTTTTGGGGTGGAGAGTTCTATAAATATCTATCAGGTCCACTTGATTCAGAACTGAGTTCAGGTCCTGAATATCATTGTTAATTTTCTCTCTCAGTGATCTGTCTAATATAGTCGGTGGGGTGTTAAAGTCTCCCACTATTATTGTTTGGGAGTCTAAGTCTCTTTGTAGGTCTCTAAGAACTTGTTTTATGAATCTGGGTGCTCCTGTATTGGGTGCATATACATTTAGGATAGTTAGCTCTTCTTGTTGAATTGAACCCTTTACCATTATGTAATGCCCTTCTTTCTCTTTTTTGATCTTATTGGTTTAAAGTCTGTTTTGTCAGAAACTAGGATGGCAACCCCTACTTTTTTCTGTTTTCCATTTGTTTGGTAAATTTTTCTCCATTCCTTTATTTTGAGCCTATGTGTGTCTTCACACATGAGATGAGTCTCTTGAAGACAGCATACTGATGGGTCTTGGCACTTTATCCAGCTTGTCATTCTGTGTCTTTTAATTGGGGCATTTAGCCTATTTACGTTTAAGGTTAGTATGGTTATGTGTGAATTTGATCCTGTCATCATGATGCTAGCTGGTTATTTTGCAGACATTTTTATGTGGTTGCTTCATAATGTCACTGGTCTGTGTACTTCAGTGTGTTTTTGTAGTGTCCGGTAACGGGTTTTCTTTCCATATTTAGTGCTTAATATGGAAGCTTCAGGAGCTCTTGCAAGGCAGGCCCAATGGTGACAAATTCCCTCAGCATTTGCTTGTCTGCAAAGGATCTTATTTCTCCTTTACTTATAAAGCTTAGTTGGGCTGGATCTGAAATTCTGGTCTGGACATTCTTTTCTTTTAGAATGTTGAGGCCAGGCATGGGGGCTCACGCCTGTAATCCCAGCACTTTGGGAGGCCGAGGTGGGTGGATCACCTGAGGTCAGGAGTTCAAGACCAGCCTGACCAACAAGGTGAAACCCCATCTCTACTAAAAATACAAAAATTAGCCAGGCATGGTGGCAGGTGCCTGTAGTCCCAGCTACTCGGGAGGCTGAGATGAGAGAATGGCTTGAATCCAGGAGGCAGAGGTTGCAGTGAGCTGAGATTGTGCCACTGCACTCCAGCCTAGGTGATGGAGTGAGATCCTGTCTCAAAAAAAAAAAAAAAAAGTTGATGTTGATTATTGGCCCCAGTCTCTTCTGGCTTGTAGGATTTCCACCAAGAGGCCTGCTGTTAGTCTCATGGGCTTCCTTTTGTAGGTGAACTGGCCCTTCTCTCTGGCTGCCCTTAATATTTTTTCTTTCATTTCAACGTTGGAGAATCTGATGATTGTGTGTCTTGGGGTTGATCTTCTTGTGGAGTATCTTACTGGGGTTCTCTGCATTTTTTCAATTTGAACGTTGGCCTGACTTGCTAGGTTGGGGAAATTCTCCTGACTGATATCCTGAAGTATGTTTTCCAACTCGGTTCCATTCTCCCTGTCTCTTTCAGGTACCCCAATCAGTCATGGGTTTTGCTTTACATAATCCCATGATCCTTTTCATTCTTTTTTTCTCCATTCTTGTATGCCTGTCTTATTTCAGAAAAATAGTCTTCAAACTCTGCGATTCTTTTTTCCACTGGTCTATTCTGCTCTTGATACTTGTGATTGCATTGTAAAGTTCTCATAGTGTGTTTTTCAGCACCATTAGGTCTGTTATGTTCCTCTCTAAACTGGCTACTCTGGCTGTCAGCTCCTGCATTGTTTTCTCATGATTCATAGCTCCCTTGCATTGGGTTACAACATGGTCCTTTAGCTCAGTGAAGTTTGTTATTACCCACTTTCAGAAGCCTAGTTCTGTCAATTCAGCCATCTCAGCTTCAGCCCAGTTCTGTGCCTTTGCTGGAGAGGTGTGCAGTCATTTGGAGGCAGAGACGCACTCTGTCTTTTTGAGTTTTCAGCATTTTTGTGTTGAATCTGTCTCATCTTTGTGGGCTTATCTACCTTTGAGCTTTGAGGTTGCTGACCTTGAAATAGGTTTTTGTGGGGTCTTTTCTGTTGATGTTGTTGTTTTCTGTTTGTTTGTTTTTCTTTTAACAGTCAGACAACTCTTCCACAGGGCTGCTGCAGTTTGCCGTGGGTCCACTCCAGACCCTAGTCACCTCGGTTGTTCTCATACCTGGTGGTATGCTGCAAAACATACCACCAGGTATGCAAAACAGCAAAGGTGGCAGACTGCTCCTTCCTTTGGAGGCTCCATCCCAGGAGGATACTGACCTGTTGCTGGCCCAGACACACCTAGGCCACAGACTCCTTTTGGGAGGTGTCAGTCAGGAGGAATGGGATCAGGGACCCACTTAAAGAAGCAGTCTGGCTGCTTTTTGGTAGAGCAGGTGTGCTGCATTGTGGGGGCACTGTTCCTTGTCCAGACTGTTTGGACTCTCCAAAGCCAGCAGGCTGGAATGGCTGAGTCAACCAAACTGTAGAGATGGCGGCTGCCCCTCCTCCTGGGAGCTCCATCCCAGGGAGAAATCAGAGCTCTGTCTGTATAACCCTGGCTAGAGTGGCTGAAACCCCCACATGGAGGTCCTGCCCAGTGAGGAGGAATGGATCCAGGTCCCACTTAAAGAAGCAGCCTGGCCATGATCTGGCAAAGCAGCTGTGCTCGTTGTGGGGGACCCTTCCTTGTCAGGACCATTTGGACTCTCCAAAGCCAGCAGGCTGGAACAGCTGAGTCAACCAAACCACACAGATGGCGGCTGCCCCTCCCTCTGGGAGCTCCATCCCAGGGAAAGATCAGAGCTCTATCCATATAACCCTGGCTGGAGTGGTTGAAGCTCCCACAGGGAGATCCCACCCAGTGAGGAGGAATGGATCCGGGTCCTGCTTAAAGAAGCAGTCTGGCCGGGTGTGGTGGCTTACGCCTGTAATCCCAGCACTTTGGAAAGCCGAGGCAAGTGGATTGCTTGAGTTCAGGAGTTTCAGACCAGCCTGGGCAACAGGGTGAAACTCCCATATCTACCAAACACACACACACACAAACACACACACACACGAGCTGGACGTGGTGATGTGTGCCTGTAGTCCCAGCTACTCCACTCACTTGGTCCTATTGTTTGACCCCATCCCTTCTCCCGTGCACCCTTTGATTTCTTATTTCTGGGATCTGGTGTGGAGAGCCCCTCATCCTGGGAAACAGGGTGCGGGAGGCTGAGGTGGGAGGATTACTTGAGCTCAGGAGGCAGAGGTTGCAGTAAGCCGAGATTGCGCCATTGCACTCCAGCCTGGGTGACAAAGTGAGACTATCTCCAAAAACAAAACAAAACAAAGACAAAACAAGCAGTCTGGCCACCAACTGACAAAGCAGCTGTGCTTGCGTTGGGAGGGACCTTTCCTTGTCTGGACTGTTTCGATTCTCCAAAGCCGCAAGCTAGAATGGCTGAGTCAACTGAACCACAGAGGTAACAGTCATCCTCCCGCTGGGAGCTCAATTCTCTCTCAGGCAGACTCTGGCTTTTACTGTTGGCTGGCTGGAATTCCAAGTCAGTGGGTCTTATCTTGTGAGGTGCCAGGGAAGTGGGGCCTGCAGAAAGATGCTGCTTGGCTCCCTGGTTTCAGCCCTCTTCCTAGGGGTATGTGCAGATGGACCTCCCGCCTTGCCAGGGATCCCAGCGTTGGAGTATGTAAAACTGCTAGGTCTCCGCCGGGCACGGTGGCTCACGCCTGTAATCCCAGCACTTTGGGAGGCTGACACGGGCGGATCATCAGGTCAGGAGATCCAGACCATTCTGGCTAACACGGTGAAACCCCGTCTCTACTAAAAATACAAAAAGTTAGCAGGGCATGGTGGCGGGCGCCTGTAGTCCCAGCTACTCGGGAGGCTGAGGCAGGAGAATGGCGTGAACCCGGGAGGCGGAGCTTGCAGTGAGCCGAGATCGTGTCACTGCACTCCAGCCTGGGCGACAGAACGAGACTCCGTCTCCAAAAAAAGAAAAAAAAAAAAACCAACAAAAAAACCAAAACAAAAAAGCCCTGCTAGGTCTCTGTTTGTGCCTGAGCGGCTGCTCTGCTGAAACTCCGCACAGCTCTGTGTGTTGGACCTAAGGCTCTGCTGGCATGGGCTCACAAGGAGATCTCCTTTTCCATGGGTTGCAAAGACCTGTGGGAGAAATGTGGTTTCCCCGGTGGGGTCGCACAATCACTCACCGCTTCCCTTGGCTGGAGGTGGGGGTTCCTTTGGCTCTGTGCTGCTCCCAGGTGGGCCGTCACCCCACCCTGCTTTTCTTTGTTTTCTGTGGGTCAAGTTGTTTGCCCAATTAGTCCCAAAGCGAGAACCTGGATATTTCAGTTGAAGGCGCTGTATTCACTCACACCTTTCATTCCTTTGCATGAGAGCTGCGGGCTGCCGCTGCTTCTAATCCGCCATCTTGGCCATATTTCACAATTGCACATTTCTGAAAAGCTCCTGAGTATTCTTGATGCTACTGATCCATGTACCATATTTTAAGTTGCAAGGCTGAGAATGATTTCCTAGGTTCCTAGAAAAGGGGAATGATCGTTCACAAAGGGGCTGTTAAATTGGAATTTTCCAACTGCAATGTGCAGTAACATTTGAATCCCCCTCTGCCTTCCAAAATCACTTGAGTTAAAAAAATTTTTTTCTCCTGTTCGAAATTAATATAATTAGCCTTTAGAGATTTTCTGCCTTCTCTTTTTCCCGTTTTTTTTTTTTTTCCTGCCTCACTTTTTGGGAGAATAACTTTTCCTGATTCCTAGGCTGCTGGACAGATCTTTCCACAAAAAGATTTGGAACATAAGGTAGGTTCCACGGCTGATGGATTGATTTATTTTTTTGGATGATAGTTGAGTATGAAAACTGAGTTTCCAGCCTGAATGTTTTCCACAATAAACTTCTTAAATCATTGATTATGTTTTTGAAAGGGTAACTTATTTTTGAGGAAAGTTGCAGAGGCAAATGAAATATAAGTGGTTATCTGGGAGTGTGGATCCTTTTGAGCTCTTCCCTGATTACTCAAACTTTAACAGTTCCCATTTTTCATCCCACCATCTAGAGTATGTTTATTTTTAGGATACCAGCATTAAGAGAGAGCAGTAATCATCTCAGGTTTATTTTCTACCACTACATAAGACAAAGACTCCCACAGTAATAAAAGCCTCTGGGTTTCCAACCTTGGCCGATTGTTTCTTGTTCTCTGCTGTCAATACATTACAAATGAAGCAAAGCAACATAAAAATCAAAGAAGGTAACCCTGTGTACCAAATGAATTCCTTTTCTTGTCGAGTGGACTTGCCAACTTTTGAGGCTTTTCCTAAGTGAGGTTAGGCCTTCGTTTTCTGAAACACCTTTTTTTTTTTATGAGAAGCTTTATGCCTGAACCTGTCCTTGTTACTCTTCATTGTTTCTATAGCAACTACAGTGGAAAACTTTAATGGCATCTACAACCCAGTGATATTGGGACATCATGATAACCAGCTCATATTGTTATGTAGAATATTGATGAGTGACTCCCTCCTTCCTTTTCAAGGACAAATCAAGACAAAGTAGGCTTAAAGCACATGGGGTACCACTGTGTTAGATATGAGGAAGGACTTGCAGTGAAAGAGCGTGTGAATGAATAAGGGAGGTTCTGGACTTGCATTTTTTTGGTGAATATTTTAAAGTAAGATATATCTAACTCCTTTTGACTGGTAGAATCAAATTGCTGACTGAAGATAAGGTGGTGATTAAGAAATGACCTCTTAATACCTCTGAAGCAATAATATCCAGAGCAGGATTTCAATGTGACATGTTCTTTAGAACATACTTTGTGTTCACTAGTGTGCCAGCTGCTGTGGGGCATATAAAAGAGATATACGATAGTCCTTGAACTGAAAGAGTTCATCTTTATAGCTCTAAGAAAAAGAGAATGTAAGAATAAAGTTGAGTTTTTAGACCAAATTCAGGTGACAGAGAGGTCTGTTACTGAGGTCATTAAATTACTTTATTTTTTATTATTATTACTAATTTTTGAGACAGAGTCTCGCTCTGTCGCCCAGGCTGGAGTGCAGTGGCACGATCTCGGCTCACTGCAAGCTCCGCCTCCCAGGTTCATGCCATTCTCCTGCCTCAGCCTCCTGAGTAGCTGGGACTACAGGCACCCACCACCATGCCCAGCTAATTTTTTGTATTTTTAAGAGACGGGGTTTCACCCTATTAGCTAGGATGGTCTCCATCTCCTGACCTCATGATCCTCCCGCCTCGGCCTCCCAAAGTGCTGGGATTACAGGCATGAGCCACCGCGCCCAGCCAAATTACTGTATTGCTATAGGACAGGAAAATAGGTGAAACTGCTTCACATGAAGGCATAAACTGGACCCATTTAACGCATACACTGTCGACTCCTGCCACAGGCTATGGGGTTGGCTAGGTGGGTCCCCTTCTGTTGGGAGCAGTATTGTCTTGTTATTCCAGAGTACTGGGAAAATATTACCATTTTCTATGTGTGCCAAGACATGAAGAAGTCTGGGAAGTACTGTCATAAACAAAGTTATGTGAGAATCTGGAGGTACAGAAGCCCTTGACTGTTGCCCAAGTCTTCCCCACAAACCTAGGGCAAGGATTATATATATCTTTAAATTCCTAAGGGTAGTGTATTGTTCTGGAAACAACAACAATAAAATGTTTCAAGGAGGAAGGAGTAATCAACTGTATCAAATGAGACTGATAAACCAAGTAAGATTAGGCCAGTGACCTGACCATTGGATTTAGTTACATGGAGATCACAGTGAAACTTGCTAAGTTGTTTTGGTGAAGTGGTGGGCACAAAAGGCTTGAGGAGTGGATAAAATAGCGAATGGGAGAAGGAGAATTGGAGACAGTGCTATAGATGACTCTTCTGAGGAACTTTGCTATAAAAAGGAGTAGAGAAATGATGCAGAAGTTGGATTAGGGTGTAAAGCCAAGAAGTTTTTTTTTTTTTTCATTTTTTTTAAAGGGCGAAAATACAGCATGCTTGTATGCTAATGTGAATGATTCATTAGAAGGTACCAACTGATGTGCAGGGGAGAGTGGGAGCATTTGCTGGAAAGACGTCCCCAAGTAGGTGATCACAGATAAGATCTAGTGCAGTAATAGAGGCCTTGGCCTTGGACTGGGACAGAGACCCCTCTATACTAACAGGAAGGAAGGCAGACAATATAGGTACAGATACAAGTAGGCTGGGAGTTGTGGTAATGGCAACACTGGAAATTCTTTTCTGGTTGCTTTCATTTCTTCATGAAATAGAAAGCAAAGTCAGCAGCTGAGAGTGAGGGTGGAAGGAGAGAGGAGAAGATATTGTCATGTATTCTGTATTTTGGGAGTTTGCTCCATGCATTTTCAGGAGTTCTCTAATCATGACTCCAGCCCTTCAAGTCAAAGTACCCTTATGACTTATGACCTGGTAAGCTCTTCACTTTCCCTTTTCTCCACCAGAGTACAGGCTGTGGATTCCAGGCTGAAAGAATAGCTCATGCCAGAGTCTCTCCCCCTGTAGCTGGTGAGCACCCTCAGTAGTAGATGGAGCTGTTCAAAACAACATAGTAAATAAAGACATCTTTCTGAGAAACTTATGTGTTTTCCAGTTTGCATTGTTTATATATTAAGCACGAGAAACTAGCTAAACTATAGAAAATCTGCTTGCCTATGAAGAGAAGAATCAGGAAGAGGTACTTTCCCCACAAACTTTATATTTGCAAGAGGACAGTGCATTTTTTTCTAAGTCCTATCATAACATCTACTTTTCGTCAAACAGTGAAAGCCTATGAGATCCATAGTCTTTTTTTTTTTTTTGAGACGGATTCTTGCTCGGTCGCCCAGGCTGGAGTGCAGTGGTGTGATCTCGGCTCACTGCAAGCTCTGCCTCCCAGGTTCACGCCATTCTCCTGCCTCAGCCTCCCAAGTAGCTGGGACTACAGGCGCCCGTCACCATGCCTGGCTAATTTTTTGTATTTTCAGTAGAGACGGGGTTTCACTGTGTTAGCCAGGATGGTCTCAATCTCCTGACCTCGTGATCCACCCACCTCGGCCTCCCAAAGTGCTGGGATTACAGGCGTGAGCCACCGCGCCTGGCCAATCCATAGTCTTAGACTAGGAATTACTGGGTTTCTTGTGATGTTTGAAGGCTCAGATGCTACCTTGACACAGTAGTTGAGGATGCATCAGAATCAACTGGCAGGTTTATTAAGACACAGATTACTGGGCCTCATCCCCAGAGTTTTAATTCTGAATTTGCATTTCTAACAAGTTCCCAGGTGATGCTATTTTTCTGGCCTACATTTTGAGAACAACTACCTTAAGGAATTGGCTACCATTTTATTTAAAAAATAACTTAGGTTGCCGGGCACGGTGGCTGTTGCCTGTAATCCCAGCACTTTGGGAGGCTGAGGCGGATGGATCACCTGAGGTCGGGAGTTTGAGACCAGCCTGACCAACATGGAGAAACCCCGTCTCTACTAAAAATACAAAAAAATTAGCCGGGCGTGGTGGTGCATGCCTGTAATCCTAGCTACTCAGGAAGCTGAGGCAGGAGAATCGCTTGAACCTGGGAGGCAGAGGTTGTGGTGAGCTGAGATTGCGCCATTGTACTCCAGCCTGGGCAACAAGTGCGAAACTCCGTCTCAAAAAAAAAAAAAAAAAAAAACTTAGGTCATGTATGTATTAAAAATATGCAAAAAGTACAGTTTCGTTTCTAAGGAGCTACCTATATAATTCAGCACTTTGGTTTTGATACTCATGAATTCTCATGAGTCCTACCTAAGGGAAAACTGAATTTTTTATTCATGCAATGGCATATGTTTAAAATCAGGACTATCAAGCAAAAGCAATACCAGAAAAGATTCCTTCCCTTTGTTATTTATGCAATCCAAAGGTCTCTGGTTGCTCAAAATGCAGGAGGTACTTGTGTGGTATTTTTAAACCTTAATAACACATTTTTGGACCAGAATCACACGAGGACAGCATATACCGTATCCTTGTTGAAAGAACTTTGGCTAGTTGTGTCCGCTAATTAGGAAGTGCTAGAAGGGGGACCTCAGAATTTTCCTATCCTAAACACTCTTGGTTGAATTGAGAAAAACAAGATACGCCTTGAATGAACAGATGGAGAGTAACATACCCCCGGACTTCTGAGGGCATCTGCAGAATAGACTTACAGGCATGGATTCTGGAATTAGACTGTACTGGTATAAATCCCAGTTCTGTTACTTACTAGCTTGAGCAAATTATTTAACTTTTTTGCAACTCAGTTTTCTTATCTGTAAAATAGGAATAATAATAGTGTTTATTTCATAGGGATATTTTGAAGATTTAATGAGTTAGTACGTGGAAAGTGCTTAGAATAGTATCAGGTGCAAAATAAGTGTTAAAAAAACTTGGCATCATCCACAAACCAATCTCTCTCTAAAATGGCATACCTTTCAAAAGTGTTACTGAGTCTTACACTGACTAGTTGAAAGTATCAAGCATAGTGAATGTGCCCTAATAACACTGGCTTAATCTGCAAGCCACTGATCTTTTCAACCTCATAATTTTGGAGGCTTCTCAAGGGATAGTTATATAGTTCCTTAAAGCCCTATTTCCCACTGGTCTCGTCTCTCACTACATTGGAGATGTACATATTAATCTCATACCAGACATTTGCCCAAATCAGGGTTTCTCAATGTTGGCAAATTTAAGGCTGGATAAATTTTTGGATAAATTACATCGGTAGCTCCTTAGATACTAAAACGTACCTTTTGCACCAATCTATCTGTGCTAGTGGTTCTCATCCAGGGTGATTGCCTCTCAGGGAACATTTGGCAATGTCTGGAGATGTTTTTGGTTGTCTTAATGAGGGGGAGAGGGGTTCATTCTGGCATCTAGTGGGTAGAGGCCAGGGATGCTATTAAATATTCTACAATGCACAGGATAAGCTACCGCCACAAAATGTTACCCAGCCCTAAATTTGCCAACATTGAGAAACTCCGATTTGTGCAAATGTCTAGTTTGAGATTAATGTGTGGATCTTCAACTTGGTGAGAGGCCAGACCAGTGATATGCTGGTAGATATTTAACCATATTCTTCCATGCCCCTTCCCCACTGCTATGGTCTAAATGTTCATCTCCCTCAAAATTCATGTTGAAATCTTTTTTTTTTTTTTAGACAGTCTCCTTCTGTTGCCCATGTACAATCACAGCTCACTACAGCCTCAACCTCCTGGGCTCAAATGATTCTCTATCTTAGCCTCCCAAGTAGTGGGACTATAGGCATATACCACCATGCCCAGCTAATTTTTGTAGAAATGGGGTTTCACCATGTTGCCCAGGCTGATCTTGAACTCATGTCTCAGGCAATCCACCCGCCACAGCCTCCCAAAATGCTGGGATTACAGGCACGAACCACACACCTGGCCTGTAACTGTGTAATCTTGGAAGTTACTTAACATCTGTTTTAGATTCCTGATCTGTAAAATGGAGACAACACTAGCTTACCTCGTAGGCCAGCTATTAGTCCCAAATGAAGTGATATGAGAAGTATGTAGAATAGTGTTTGGTGCATATAAGTGCTCTACAAGTGTTACTATTTTTAAGACTGTTTCTCTGGAGTTGACAATCCTTCAATAGTTCCCCCTGTCTGGAAGGCGCCCCTACTCCCATTTACCAACCAGGCAAACTCCTACTCAACCATTAGGCTTTAGCTCAGGGGTCTATTTCTCATGAAGCCTTGGGTAACCCGTTTAAATATAATTTAACTTTTCTTCTTTGGACCTTGATCTTGAATCTCTCACTGCACTCAGCAACACGGTACTGTAATCATCTATTCACACGACTAGATTATCTTCCTTGTGGGCAGTGAGCTACTTGAGGGCAGGGGCAAGGTTTTTTTTTTGTTTTTGTTTTTAATTTCAGGACATAGCACTGTGCCTGATGCAGAGTAGGCAATTAGAAGCAATGAAAAGTATTAACTATGTATGGATATAGGAAAGAACCAGAAAGTACTGAGGGGGAAGAAAACACTTATTCTGCTAGGCTGACATTTTAGCCCTTGCTTTCATTATTTTCAGGTGGTTTCAGTCCCAAGTTAAAAACTGCTTTCATGCATCTGTGTAACCAACTGTTCCCCTTCCTGTTTTCTCCTTGGTTGAAAGAAGGGACTGGAGTGAGACCGCCTTAGAATGCCAGTTCCACCACTACCTAGTTATTCACTTTAGTCAAGTTTTTTTTAACCTTTCCAAGGCTGTTACCTCACTGCAGAATAAGGATGACAGTCATCCCTACCTCATAGAGCTGTTATGAGAATGAAATACTCATGTGCTCAATAAATGTCAGCTGTAGTAGTCATTTCTACAGAAATTCTGCTGAGGACTTTGACGCCCTTTCTAGCCATCTCCCAGTTTCGCACTGTTCTCTCTCCCACGTGCTGCAGTCCACCTCTCACCAGACACAAACTCTTGTCTTTACATCCACACCTCCTGAACCCTGACTTCGGTATAGTTTTAAAATGATACACATTCGTTGCTGAAAATTAGATTAAACGGAGGAAAAAAAATTAACTCACTTCAAATCTCAGCAGTTAACCACTAACATTTTAGTATGTATTTGTTTAGACCTTTTCTTATGCAAATACATACGTTTAAACTTTTTTTTTCCGAGAGTTCACATCATACAAATTTTATTTTATGACTCGTCCTTGCACTTAGCACGGTCTCTCCCCCAACCTATCTCTGATGCCTTGAGAATCCCCCCGCCCCGCTGCAGACCCCCACCACTTCCAGCTCCCAGCGGTCCGGCCTTCCCGCGGTCCCGGTTCCGGCCCCACCTGCGGGACGCCGGCCGCCCCGCCCCGCCCCGCTCCGCTGCGGCCGGCCTCGATCCCTAGCCCCGCACCCCGCGCCTCGCTGCTACCGGGCGCCTTTCGCTCGCGGCTCCTCCGTGCGGCCCGCTTCCGGTGGGGCCAGGGCGTCTCCGCCGCAGCTCGGCTCCCGCGCGCTCAGCACCGCCAGCGGCGGCCAGATGCAGGCGGAGCGAGGAGCTCGGGGAGGCCGTGGGCGGCGGCCAGGCCGCGGCCGGCCTGGCGGAGATCGCCACAGCGAGCGGCCCGGAGCCGCAGCGGCGGTAGCCAGAGGCGGCGGCGGAGGCGGCGGCGGGGACGGAGGCGGACGCCGGGGCCGTGGCCGTGGCCGGGGCTTCCGCGGCGCTCGCGGAGGCCGAGGAGGAGGAGGCGCCCCGCGAGGCAGCCGCCGGGAGCCGGGAGGCTGGGGCGCAGGGGCCAGCGCGCCGGTAAGAGGCGACGGCTGGTGGGGCTGGGACCGCGTGTAACTGGGGCAAGTGGGGCCGAGGCCGCCAGTCAAGAGCCGCAAGAGAGCGTGCCAGGCGCGCGCCAGACGGGCGGCGGCGCCGGCGCCTGCGCGGGACGGGCGGATGGTGGCGCGGGGGCGCGCCTGGTGGCGGGGGCGCGCCTGGGTATGCGCTTGGCCCTCGTGGCCTCCTGGCCGGGCTGGCGCGAGACAGTGGGGGTAGGAGGGCTTCCCAGCCTGCCCCAGGGTCCGGGTTAGGAACCCAGAGGCCAAGGCCGTGTGTCAGGGCTGCAAGTCTCGGCGGCCCGTGGGCCGGCTGGGCTGTCTGTACGAGTACCACTATGGGACGGAGGCGCGGCCACGACGTGGTCCCTCGGCAGCCTTTACGGGCACGCTCCTGTTATTAGGAGGGAAAGGATTTTTTGGTCTGTTTTGTTAACTGTCTGTGCAATGCCTAGTACACAGTAGGCGCATAATAAAAAGTTTGTTGAGTGAAAGAATGACCCCTACGACTGGACTCTAGTATTTGGGGGCGGGACCAGATGCATAGTTCTTTGTAATAGCGTAGTTCTCTTTTATTATGCCTGTATGTGTAGAAATCAGCGAGCACTGGGCTTTGTCGTTTTGAATTTTCAATTTATAAATGAGCAGTCAAGTTCTGAGTTTTAATAGCAATATCATCAGTCTTATTGACACATTCATAGAAGGAAGTTTTTGGAGATTGGAGCAGGGGATGATATATATGGGGGCAAAGCTAACCATATCTCAGCTAAAGGAGTTAGAGGACTGTCTTTTTATGAGTTGTTCTGTTACCTTAACATCTGTAGGACAAGACCATCTTTATATTCTGCATTCTTATGCACACTGATTTAAAAAATTCTTTTTTGCATGAGGCAAAATTTGCTCTTACTGAAGTATTTACAATATCTTGAGGGCATAGCAGATAAGATATCCCTAAAGAGAGTAGTTGTATACAGCAATACAGAGCTGGAAAAAAAAGTATAAAACTTAAATTTAAATGTAACAAACTTAAATCTTGTTAGGATTAAGATAGGTAATAGGCAAAACTTGAATGAGATATAAAAACATTTTTAGGGTCAGTTTACCTCGTGTAAACTGACAGAAACTAAGGTAAATGACAGAAACTAAGACCAACCTAGTGCCCACTATATATCACATTTTGTTCTTATAACTCTATTATATATATATAATATATATGTAATGTAGAATTATGTAATATAATAGTATGTAATTATATATTAACTACAATGTTATATATTATTTATATATCCATATATAGAGAGTAATCTTTATTTTTACAGGTTAACTGACTTGCCTAAGCTTTCACAGCTAGTGGCAGAGCTGGGATTTATATCAAGCTGCCCTTGAGTCAACAGTATTTTATCTCTTACTTTTTCGTGAACCAGTTACCACTTTATTGAGAACAAAGTAGATATTCCTTAGCTGCAGGGATCGTGCTTTAAGAGTAATTGTAGTAATGGTACATTTGGTGTTAACTATGGTGTCTGGCGCACAGGACTTTACTAATAAGTGTCTTTAAGTTGAATTGAGTGAGTGAAGGTGCTTCTGTTTTGTTAATCTCTGTTGAATTAAATTGGGTGAAATGATGGTATATATTTTTTTTTTTTTTTTGAGACGGAGTTTTACTCTTGTTGCCCAGGCTGGAGTGCAATGGCATGATCTTGGCTTGCTGCAACCTCCGCCTCCCGGGTTCAAGTGATTCTCCTGCCTCAGCCTCCCAAGTAGCTGGGATTACAGGCATGAGCCACCTTGCCCGGCTAATTTTGTATTTTTAATAGAGATGGGGTTTCACCATGTTGGTCAGGCTGGTCTCGAACTCCTGACCTCAGGTGATCCACCCGCCTCGGCCTCCCAAGGTGCTGGGATATGGATTACAGGTGTGACCCACTGCGCCTGGTCATGATGGTATATCATTAAAAGAAAGAATAATACAAGACTTTAAAAAATTTAAGATAGTATTGTAACACATTCTGTTAAAATTTTAGGCTTTTTCTTTTGTCGAGTTGGTCTTATCCCTTCATCATCATGTTTTCAGCCAAAGCTGGAGGGAGGGATGTTGGGCAGATTGTTCCTTAATTTTGGTTTGGATTGGTCATCTCTAAGTTCCTTCCATTTCTCAGATTCTGAAGTACTGTTTGTATTTAGTCTTGCTAGGACACCATTTTTGGTGCTTAACCATTACATGAGACAAGATTGATTGACTTTCCTGAAGCCTTCTTGTTCTCATATCCCATGGTGCATTTGTGCCCCAAGGAGAGAGTAACCGAAATGATCAAAGGAAAAAAAAATCATAATAGACTCCTAGCCATGTAAAGACCAGTTGTCCACCTTCAGAAACCAATTTTGTGTACACCTTTGCTTTCTATTTTGGACCACTGCATACAAATGGAAAACAAAATCAATCTAACCAACTTCTACATAGCTATGTAATACTCCAGGGTAACTTAGTTGAGTACTAAGTTGAGTACATCTCTTAGTCTCTTGCTCTTAAATCATTCCTTCTGTAAATGGTCTGAGCTCTAAGCTTACTGATTATGGGTGAGCATAATTATCTTCACGGAATACTCACTAGAAGCATTATTGTACTAGATACAATCATTAACTTTAAAAAAAAAACACAAAACTGGCTGGGTGTGGTGGCTCGCGCTTGTAATCCCAGCACTTTGGGAGGCTGAGGTGGGTGGGTCACTTGAGTCTGGGAGTTCGAGACCAGACTGGGCAACATAACGAGACCCCCTCTCTATAAAAAAAATACAAAACTGCCGAGCATGGCGGGGTGCATCTGTAGTCCCTGCTACAAGGGAGGCTGAAGCAGCCGGATTGTTTTGAGCCCCGGAGGTGGAGGCTGCAGTGAGCTGTGATCCTGCCACTGCACTCCAGCCTGGGCAATAGAGTGAGACTCTGTCTCAAATAACTAACTTACTAACTAAATGAATAAATAATCCCCCTATCACTGCCCCCAATACTAGGATTGTTTAGTATTTATCTTTGTGATGGGCTGTTAGCAGAGAGGAAGACAAGGCCAGCTGGTAGTCTTTGGAATTTTTTTTCTTTTTTCCTTCCTCTAGTAATAACAGTAATTCACATTTGTCGAGTACTTAATATAAGATGAGACAGCTGAGGCACCGTTAAATAACTCACAGTTAGGAGAGGTGAAATAACTTTTTAATATCACTCAACCAGAAAATTGCTGAGCCTGGATTCCACCCCAGCATTTTCACTCCAGAGCCTGTTCTTTCGACTGCTGCTCTAAACTGCTCCTGGAATGACTTTGAGATTTGAAAAAGGGGTGTGTGGAGGACTGTTGAGTGATTCTTTCACATGCCTGATTATTTTTTTAACTGATATGTTAGTATGGTTATAAGGTTTTAAGGTAACATTGGTACCATCTTCAGTTATTGTGGGTGTTACCAGACCTTTGCTTTCTTGCTCCATGTTTATATTGCAGCTTTTCATATTCCTTTTAAAATGATTTATATTCAATAAAAGATGAGACAGCTGTTTATAGTTGTACTAAAAAGTAGAATCTGGAGGCATTTAATTCTGATCAAACTTTTGCTTTGTAAACAAAGCCTGAGTAGTAATTAATACCCGATGGCGTTGACATTTTCATTTCACTGGGTAAAAAGGAAATCTCTAATTTTCTATTCAAGTTTAGTGTGAACCTGGAGGGAAGAAATGGTGTCAGATCAGTTACAGGCAGGTGTCTAAGGACTTGCTCCTTCATTGTTGCTCAGAGTAGCCACCAGCCGCTTGTCAGCCAGCTAGAGACTGAGAGCCTGTTAAAAGCTCAAACTGAAATGACAGCCTCTAGACTTTATTTTCCTTTTTTTCCAGAAAGCCTGAAGCAAATTTGGTTAGAAACTGAATGTGCTTAAGTGTCCCAACAGAAGATTGCTTTAAGATTAGTTCTTGGTAATCCATGAAATTGACCTCTCCTCCTGCTGCAAACCATTGCACACACACTGTAATTATTTTGGCATCCTTATCCTTGTTAACATATTCTGTTTTTAAGTTGCTTTTCTCACTGACCACTATTTCACTTACATATTTTCAATATCAACACAGACAACTGAACTTTTTTGCTTGTATTCTGCCTAAAAAAATTTTGGGAAACCATGTACAATGTACTTTAAAGTTTATATCTAACATTTTTATCAATGGATCAGAGAATTTCAAAATATAAAATTTCCAACATATTGTATATATTGACTTTTTAAATAAAAACACAATTTTTATAAATTGATTTTTTCTTTTCCTTTTTTTTTTTTTTTAAAAAAGAAACTGGGTCTCACTTTGTTGCTCACGCTGGAGTGCAGTAGTGTGAGCAAAGCTCACTGCTGCCTTCAACTGCTGTACTCAAGGGATCCTCCCATCTCAGCCTCCTGAGTAGGTGGGAGTACAGGCGTGAACCACCATACCCAACTAATATTTTTATATTTTGTAGACATGGTCTCACTGTCTTGCCCAGGCTGGTCTCAAACTCCTGGGCTCAAGCAGTCCTCCCGCCTCAGCCACCCAAAGTGCTGGGGTTACAGATGTGAGTCACCACACTTGGCTCTGGATGGATTTTAAATACTAGAGTGATTTGATATTTGCCTTTAGCCATTTAAAAATCACATTAATAAATTATTTAGGCTGGGCGCAGTGGCTCATGCCTGTAATCCCAGCACTTTGGGAGGCTGAGGTGGGCAGATCACAAGGTCAAGAGATTGAGACCATCCTGGCCAAAATGGTGAAACCCCTCTCTACTAAAGATACAAAAGTTAGCTGGGCATGGTGGCGCGCACCTGTAATCCCAGCTACTTGGGAGGCTGAGGCGGGAGAATCGCTTAAACTTGGGAGGCGGAGGTTGCAGTGAGCCGAAATTGCGCCACTGCTCTTTACCCTGGAGACAGAATGAGACTCCATCTCAAAACAAAAAACAAAAAACAAAACCCAACTCTTTAGTAGTGTGAAGATTTCCATTGTTTCTTATTCTTTTTTACTTGTATTTTAATTCCCCATCTCCCACAGAACCTTATTCAACAGAATATATTTCATACTTGAAAGTTTTTTAGTGGTTACCATTTCATGTCTTCCTGTAATAAATGTTGACTTAAAAAATGTTATATAACTCTACAGGCTTGGGTGCTACTTTTTCTTTTAGATTGAATTAAGATTACATTGATTAATATATACAGTTATTTTGATTTGCAATTTTTTTTTTTTTTTTGAGACGGAGCCTCGCTCTGTTACCCAGGCTGGAGTGCAGTGGCACGATCTCGGCTCACTGCAATCTCCGCCTCTTGGGTTCAAGCAATTCTCCTGCCTCAGCCTCCTGAGTAGCTGGGACTACAGGTGCACACCGCCACACCCGGCTAATTTTTTGTATTTTAGTAGAGACGGGATTTCACCGTGTTGCTCAGGCTGGTTTTGAACTCCTGAGGTCAGGCAGTCCGCCCGCTTCTGCCTCCTGACGTGCTAGGATTACAGACATGAGCCACCGCGCCCAGCCTTGCAGTTATTAAACATAAAGGTAAAACTTCATTGTGAATGAGTCTCATTTTCCCTAGTGAGTTTGAGTATCCGTGGATGAACATTACTTATTGCCTGCACGAGATAGGATTCAGTGTCAATTCTTTTCCTAATTTTTGATTTTATAGATGTAAGGATTGAGAAACATTGTTCACATAAATAGGTAGATGGGAATGTTGGAGTTTTGCCATATCAATGTCACTCAGTTCATTAAATATCTCTACTTGTATGCCAAAAAGTTATTTTTAAAGTATTTTAAGAATCTGTCAAGTGATGACTGTATTAGGTTCTCCATCACTTTGATTGAAAGCAAATAATTGGAACTACCTGATTTGCAAAAGGACATATTACATGTTCTTTAGAGTTACACATCCTCAACATCTATATTTAAAATTATCCTATTGTTGAGGCTTGGGGAATACAGCCAGATTGAGAATGGCTGAAAAGCAGTTGTGCTGTCTTCAGGTGCCTTCTAGGGTAGACTGCTTTTGGGAAAGACCGTGGATCTTGAATATCTGGAAGTTGATTCCCTGAAAAACATACTGCTCATATACTCCTTGGAAAATCTTTCTGAACCCCTAGGTATGTGCACACTCCGTTTTGAGGACAGCTAAGATCATAGCCCCTTTGTTTCTTAGTAAGATGGTTCATTGCATGAATTCATTCAGAGCTTTTTTGTTTTCTGGCTATCCATCATTTGCAGAATATGGTTTCCAGGTTTTGTCATTCTTAATAGTGTTACTCTCTTTGTTTTAAACTGCTGCTAGGATGGAAAATAGCTCGCTCATAAATCGATACCACTGGCATGTGTTTTCTGGAAGAGTAGGTACTAAGTCATTGTTGGTTTTCTTATTTTTTTTCCAGAAAAAGTAGTGATTACTTTTTACAGCACTGGGCAAGTGACCTCTAGAGAGGTTACGTAGGTCATTTGATCCTAACCACACCATAGCATGACTTAACTAGCCTTTTTCTAGAAATTAGGTGGTTGCAAAGGTGTTTTCTATTCAGATGTCACTATTTCTTGATGCACTTTGAAGTATCAAAGGGAGCAATAAAGACCATAGTGACACATAGTAATTTCTATTTGATAGAAGCTACTGACTAACTTATTACGGCACTGGATTAGTTCTCTTTGATTTTTTTTTTCTTTTGTTAGAAGCCCTGTGTGTGTGTGTGTGTGCGTGTGCGCGCGTATGTGTGTGTTGAGGTGCCAGAAATAAGTACTTTAATACTTTTTCTCTTGGATGGAAATAATTAACAGCTTTGTTAGTCTGAAAATTTTCTACAAAGGTGTCATGGGGCAGTGCATGGATAATGGTTATGGAGAATATTTCACTTTTGAGTGGGTTTTGTCAGAGGATGCTGAAAAGAAATACAAACTGATGTGTGTGTTTTATCTTGATGCTGCTAGGATGCTGTTGTTATAATCTGACCAACCTGATTTTGTAAGCCTTAAATTGCTTAAAAGGCAATTCCTGTGAAGAACAACACTGCCAAGGATGCTGTTTCCTACCGCCCATATCACATCATTGGTGTGTGTGCAAACAGCACAACAATCCAAAAAAAAATAGGAGATTAATGGAATGCATTCCCTGTTGTAAAAACTTAATTCTACCTTTGAGTCCTCTTGCCATTAAGGACTGATACGAATCTGTCTGATCCATATTTCTTTAGTACCAAGTCAAACTTACATTGAGGGATAGCAAACATTTTAATATTAACCTAAGCAGTCTGGGCATGGTGGCTCATGCCCGTAATCCCAGCACTTTGGGAGGCTGAGGCAGGCAGATCACCTGAGGTCAGGAGTTCGAGACCAGCCTGACCAACATGATGAAACCCTGTCGCTATTAGAAATATAAAAATTAGCCAGGCATGGTGGCATGCGCCTGTAATCCCAGCTACTCGGGAGGCTGAGACAGGAGAATCGCTTGAACCCGGGAGGCGGAGGTTGCAGTGAGCTGAGATCGCGCCATTGCATTCCAGCCTGGGCAACAAGAGCAAAACTCAGTCTCAAAAAAAAAAAAAAAAAAAAAAATTAACCTAAGCAAAGCATAATTGGGATAATAGGCTGTTACAAAAAAAAACTCATATGTATTCTTTTGGCTTATTATCAGTGTTGTGATTCCTCTATTTTTGTATTTAACTGTGTCAAGTTACTGACACCAAGAGTTTGTTAATAGATGTATATTCTGTGAAACGAACATAGTCATCTATTTTGGATTTCTGTAATTTCTGGCTTGAAAAGACCATTCACAGTTACATTTGGGGAAAATTAAAAAATATTTAGGCCAGGTGTAGTGGCTCATACCTGTAATCCCAGCACTTTGGGAGGGTGAGGTGGAAGGACTGCTTAAGGCCAGGAGTTCAAGACCAGCCTGGGCAACAAAGCAAGATCCCTGTCAACAACAACAACAAAAAATTTAGCCAGGCACGGTGGTGCACGCCTGTATTCCCACCTACTCAGGAGGCCGAGGCAGGAAGATTTTTAACCCAGGAGTTGGAGGTTGCAGTGAGCTATGATCACTCCAGCCTGGATGACAGCCCGAGACTCTTTCTCAACAAAACCCCCCAAACCAGGCTGGGCGTGGTGGCTCACACCTGTAATCCCAGCATTTTGGGAGGCTGAGGCGGGTGGATCACAAGGTCAGCCTAACACAATGAAACCCTGTCTCTACTAAAAATACAAAAAAATTAGCCGGGCGAGGTGGCAGGCAGCTGTAGTCCCAGCTACTTGAGAGGCTGAGGCAGGAGAATGGCATGAACCTGGGAGGCGGAGCTTGCAGTGAAGCGAGATTGCGCCACTGCACTCCAGCCTGGGCGACAGAGCAAGACTCCGTCTCAAACAAAACAAAACAAAAAACCCCCCAAAACCTAGTATTCTCAAAAAGTTTCATGCAATGTGAATTTTATTGACATAGTGGATTTGGAATTCATAGTTCTTTTTTTGAGATGAAGTCTCACTCACTCTGTCACCCAGGCTGGAATGCAGTGGTGTGATCTCAGCTCCCTGCAACCTCTGCCTTCTGGGTTCAAGAGATTCTCCTGCCTCAGCCTCCCGAGTAGCTGGGATTACAGACATGTGCCACCATGCCTGGCTAATTTTTGTATTTTTAGTAGAGATGGGGTCGCACCATGTTGGCCAGGCTGGGCTCGAACTCCTGACCTCAAGTGATCCGCCTGCCTCGGCCTCCCAAAGTGCTGGGATTACAAGTGTGAGTCACCATGCTCGGCTTGGAATTTATAGTTCTATTGTGAATCTAGAGTTCACATTCTAGTGAGCTGGATTCATGATATTGAGGACTAGAATGTTTCAACATCATTTTTTCCTTTTACTACAAGGCTGATAATAAAATAGAGTGTCTCTGTTCAATATTTGGGCTAATTGAAGATTAGTCTTATATTATTAAAGAAGTCTTAATCCCTATTACAGATACATTACACTTCAATTCCTTCCAAGGAAGTTATGATTTTTCTGGGAGCAAACCTTGATGAAAAAATGAGTATTATTCTGAAGACAAAGCTTGGCTTCCTATTTTCCCTTGGTGTCCTTCACTCCATTCCCAAGTGTTGTGTTTTGTTTTGCTGCTTCTTTTCTTTTTAAAGTCAGTAGTACTATGAATATGTAAACAACTCCTAAAGTTTTAAAACCATTTCCTTTTCAATTTTTTTTTTTTTTTTTTTTTTTTGTAGAAATAGGGTCTACCTATGTTGCCCAGGCTGGTCTTGAACTCCTGGACTCAAGTGATCCCCCTGCCTCGGCTTACCAAAGTGCTGGGATTACAGGCATGAGCCACCTTGCCCGGTTCCTAAAACTTTTTTTTCCCCCTCTTATTCTGGTAGTCAGCCAAGGGAATTATTGAATTAAGATGTGGCCAGGTGTTATTTTATGAGCACGTATTTTACATACCTTGGAAAGAAAAATTAAACATACATGTTGAATTGTTTTTCATTTTTACAATATGGAAGTAAACTTAAAGTAGAGGGTTTTTAGAGTTGGCAGTGGCGGTGGTGGGGGTGATGGAGGGTTCAGGTTTGAGCCTCAGCTGTTTTCTGTCCCTGGATGGAGAGGGGAAGGTGCTGTGGAAGCCTGAGAATGAATGTCTACTCTGGTGGGTAGCATGAACGTCTGCAGAGGGGAATCTCTGAAAACTTGAGGATTAGAGGTGAAGAGTTGTGGACAAATAGTAATTGTTATTTCAAGGTAGTAAATAAATTTATAGACAAATGAATAACTAAGATATAACCTCTCAAAACCAAGTAAGTGTTCTGCTTTTTGCCTTACTTTCTCTCCCAATTTTTTTTTTTCTGGCATCTGTGTGTTTTTCCTCTTTCTTTCAGGTGAAGGTACAATGTGGTGGCCGATGATGGTGGTGTGTTTTGCAGTCTAACAGACTGGTTAGAATCCTATCTTCTCACCCCCCATGTGCTAGTTGTAAAATCTCAGGAAAGTTACTGAAACTTCCTGAGCCTCAGTTTCCTCGCCTGTGAAAGGTGATTAAGGATATCTACCTTACACAGCTGTTGTAAGGACTGACATTAGATGAACACAATATATTTACTATATTTATAGTCACTTTGCCACTTTGCTGTCCTCTCTCATTCAGGGTCTTCTTTTTTGTTGTTGTTGTTGTTTGTTTTAAGACAAGATCTCACTTTGTTACCCATGCTGGAGTGCCCATGGCATGATGATAGCTCACCAAAGCCTTGACCTCCTTGGCTTAAGTGATCCTCCCACCTCAGCCTTCTGAATATGGGGACCAAATAGATGTGTGCCACCATGCTTGGCTAATTTTTTTATTTTTATAGAGACGGGATTTTGCCAGGTTGCACAGGCTGCTCTCGAACTCCTGGGCTCAAGTGAACCACCTGCCTTGGCTTCCCAAAGTGCTGGGACTACAGGTGTGAGCCACTGCACCTGGCCTTCTCTTGTTACAGTGTGTAGGTCAGATGCAAACTATATACTCATTCATACATACACATGAACATATGTGTATAGAATATTTAGAATCTTATTATTTATGGAATATGTATTATCTTTCTTCATTAAAAAATTTTTTAAATGGCTTGAAGCATGAAGTCTCCCAGCTTTTGCTGAGGGGGGGTCTCTCTGTGTGTGGGGTATGCTTATGCTTTCAGTGCTCTGCTAGGAAATTTACACCTCTGCCTTAGTGTTTACTTCCTGCCTGTGCAGAGCCTTAAGGGCAGCCAGAGGTGAGATATTAGGGCCTTCTCAGATCTTTTCTGCGCATGACCACAGCCTTGGACATGTGTATATCTTCCAGATTCCCAGTAATGTCAACGTTCTACAATGCCCTCTTGAACATCTTGTTCCTCAGTTTTTTCCTTTAAGGTTTTTGTCAGTTTTTTTTTTTTTTTTTGAGCCTCACCTGATCCTTGCCTCAGGTAGCTGTGATTTTAAACCCTTGTTGCTGATTGTTTTTGACAAACTCTCTGGTAATAGGACTGTTTGCACAGAGTGAAATGAGTCTGGTGGATAACGTCAAGGCCTGAGAATGGAGTTTTTCACAGAGCTGTCAGGGAGGTCAAATGGTGTCAGCCTCCTGGGAATGGGGCTTTTGGCAAACTTTTCTGCCCCTTTTAGTGGATCCAAGGATGCTGGTTTTCACAGTTACCATAGTTGTGAGGCTGTTCGTTTTCTTTCTTTTTTTTTTTTTGAGACAGAGTCTCTCTTTGTCATCCAGGCTGGAGTGCAGTGGTGCAATCTCAGCTCACTGCAACCTCTGCCTTCCGGGTTCAAGCGATTCTCCTGCCTCAGCCTCCTGTGTAGCTGGGATTACAGGTGCCCACCAACACGCCTGGCTGTTTTTTTATTTTTATTTTTTGTATTTTTAGTAGAGACAGAGTTTCGCCATGTTGGCCAGGCTGGTTTTGAACTCCTGACCTCAGGTGATCAGCCTGCCTCAGCCTCCCAAAGTGCTAGGATTACAGGTATGAGCCGAGGCTGTTCATTTTCAAAGCAACTGCAGACCAGAGTAGAGTGGAATGGGAATGGGGCACGTTACTGTTCATACTGAGATTTAGCTGTTTTAAATAAACACTCCTTGGACTTTTGTGAGTCTTTGGCTACTTTGCAGAGTTTTGAAAGAGTATATGTTGACAATTTTTGTCAGTGTTCTTGTTGCTTTTGTAGTAGAGTGGGTTTGCAGAGGTCTTTATCATTCTGGAAGTACTTCTATTCTATTTTTTGAAGCAGCCATTGCCACTCTTGGGCATCTCTAATTGTTAGAAACTTCTTCCTTTGGGACAAAACACATCATGTCACTCTTTAATTCTATTATACGTAGGCCACAGTTCTAGTCTTTGGAACAACAGAGTTTTTGGCTCAGCCAAAGCACAGAACTCTCTTAAGGTTGAACAAAAGACCGCAGGGGAAGTTTTTAATATTTAATGTGAGCGACTTACTTTTTCTGAAACTGTCAATTTGGAATTGATCACATATCCATATCAGTGTATTAAGAAGGCAAAAACTAGTGATTTAGTTACTTAGTGAAATGTGATAGTCTATCATTTTTTTTCCTCTTGTCCTCAGTGATCCTTGTTCTGATTGTCTATCTTTTCATGGGCCTGTTTTCATCATTCCTTGGAAAATTTGAGTACCTGATTTATAGTTTATATTTTTTACTACATCCTGGGTGACGTCAGCTTATATGTGATTGACACACATTACCTCCTGATTTCCTTATATGATTTCTTCAATTCCAAACTCATCTCAAGTATGACCTTTCTCAACATATCTCCCCTTGTCATCAAAATTAATCCGTGTTTCCTTTCCTCCCCTTTAATATAAAAGGTTAAAAGTTATATCCTAAGGTTAAAAGTTACACCCTGAGGTTAAAAGCTTCATCTATTTTGCTGTCACATAGTAGGAAAAATACCAAGAAGAAAATAAAAGTGCCCTTTAGTATCATCATCCAGAAATAACCACTGTTAACATTTGATGTATATTCTTTTCTCATAAAACTGGGAAGATGTCATAAGACTTTTAAGTAAAAAAAAAATGACAATATGTGGAAATTATAAGGTATATGTATGCATTTAAAACTCTGAAAAGGGTAGAAGAATATCAAACTTAATCTGTGTTTGGAGTAGAGAAAATATAGGGATTATGTAGAACTTTGTCTTTCCTTTATTCATATTTTTTACTGTTGTGTATTATCAGAAACATAGATATATTCCAATTTGAAAAGACGATTCTACAAATATATTGTGATTATAAAAATAGGGAAGACAGGTAGGCAAGACTGCACATAAAAACTGTAAGGATTATCTCTGGGTGGTGAGATTATGTGGTATTGTGTGTGGTAAGTGTAAACACGGGCTTTGTGGGGCAAGATGATCACTTGAGTTTGGACAGGTCCAGTGCCTGTCTTTTTCTCCTTCCTCCGCTTTACACATGCGCACACACACACAAACACACACACACACGCAAAACCAAACCAAAACAAAAACACACACACACAATTTTTTTTTCTTCTGAACCTTTGAGCGGTGGATATGATGCGTCTTTACCCCTAAACACTTCAATGTGTATTTCCTAAAAGCAAGGAAATCTTTTATAACCATTGCACAATTATCAAAATCAGGACATTAACATTGCTACAATTCTATTTAACCTTACAGAGGTTTCACCAGATGACCCAATAACGTCCTTTATTAGGCTTCGAGTCTTGAGCAATGATGTATGGATGAAGGGACACTTAAGAGAGTCTTCACTATGGCAGTTACCATGGCATCCTAACCACTCTAGTCTACTTCTCTGATTGTTCCTGTGGCTGGGTTCTCAGCTGCCTGCTTCCTGCTCATTTTTTATTCAGCCTATTTCTCTAAACTTCTTGTCGATTTTATAAGCTACTAGAAATTCTTTTAGTAAATTCCTTTTCTACCTAAATTAGCCAGAGTTGGTTTCTATAGTTTGCAACCAAAACTCTAGTAAATTACATTTCCCTCCCACACTTCATATTTCAGAATCTTATTCATTTTCACATGCTCACCTCAAATGCCACCCTTTTTTTTGAGATGGAGTCTCACTCCATCGCCCAGGGTGGAGTGCAGTGGTGCGATCTCTGCTTATTGCATCCTCTGCCTCCCGGGCTCAAACGATTCTCCTGCCTCAGCCTCCCAAGTAGCTGGATTACAGGCTCCTACCACCATGCCCAGCTAATTTTTGTATTTTTAGTAGAGACGGGGTTCTCTACTGGTCTCAAAATCCTGACCTCAGGTAATCCACCTGCCTTGGCCTCCCAAAGTGCTAGGATTACAGGTGTGAGCCACCATGCCCGGCCTCGCCACCTTTCTTTCTTTTTATTTTTTCCTTTTTTTTTTGAGAAGGAGTCTTGCTTTGTCGCCCAGGCTGGAGTGCAATGGCACGATCTCGGCTCACTGCAACCTCTGCCTCTTGGGTTCAAGCTATTCTCCTGCCTCAGCCTCCTGAGTAGCTGGGATTACAGGCGTGTGCCACCATGCGTGGCTAATTTTTGTATTTTTTTTTTTTTTTAGTAGAGACGGGGTTTCACCATGTTGGTCAGGCTGGTCTCGAACTCCTGACCTCATGATCCGCCCGCCTCGGCCTCCCAAAGTGCTGGGATTACAGATGTGAGCCACTGTGCCTGGCCTTCCTTTTTATTTATAGTAATTTGTAGTTTTAATTTGATAGTTTTCCTTAATGAATATTCTGTGAGCAAAGTGCTTCTTTTTTTTTTTTTTTTTTTTTGAGACAGGGTCTCATTCTGTTGCCCAGGCTGGAGGGCAGTGGTGCAGTCTTGGCCTTGGCCTCCCAAAATGCTGGGATTATAGGTGTAAGCCACCACGCCCAGCCTTCAGAGGTTTCTTCATAGAGATTGCCGCCCATCACTCTTCATCTCATACCTACTTTATTTTGATACCATTTATCACTACCTGAAGTGATGGTGTCTTATGTATTTATAATAGCATTATAAAGTATTCCTTTTTTGTTGTTTGACTCCTCTGGTGGAATGCAAACTTCATGGGTGCATGGAATTGGTCTTGTTCACTGCTATAATCCAAGCACACTGACTAATGCCTGGCATAGTATCAGCTCTCAGTAGATATTTGTTGTGTAATTGAATAAAGGATTTTGTGTTTAAGCAAGGGATTACTTGCAGTATTCTGGAAACATTCACATTTATTTTCTGGTAGCAGGTTTTATGCTTTTCCTGTTACGATTAAAACCAGTGAAGGGAGAAGAGGTTTAGCTTACATCTGAAATCAAATCCACTCTCTGGGCTCCTCTCTGGATAGAGTCCTCTATTTTGCCATCAATAAAAAGAGCCAGAATGAGTTTAAATTTCCCTGGCCAAAAACGTGGCATCTGTCAGAATTTCTAACACATGTTTTCTTTCTTTGATGCCCTTCACAGCCTGAAGGTGTATAGATTAGGTCTTTTTAGTTGCTAGCAGCACACAATAAGCAGCTGTTTACTTTTAATATTTAACTGCTCACCTGGCCTTTTAAGCCTGGCGTGATTGAAGGGATGGCAAGCAACAGAGGCTTACAGAGTAGGGGCAAGAATAGGACAGTGTTCCAGAGGTCAGAGAGTTTTTTTATTTTCTTCCATCTTTTGTTAGAGTCTGAAATAAATGGTGACACCTAAGAGGAGGTTAAGAAATTGTGCACTGAATCTCAGGTTTTGCAAGAATGAATGACCAGGCTTTCTCTACCCTGACAGCATCATCAAGAGGAAGGTGAGAGGTGGGCTGCGCCTGAGCTCTGGTGTGTATCGGCTATCATTATGTGATGTGGCCAAGAGAGATGCTGCCGCAACAACTGTTACTAAGATTACTAGGGAGGACTCGGCCAAGATGAGGTTAGCCCACCACAGCCTATTTCTTTTGCTGATAGCAACCAAACTCAGTGGGCAGATTACCTGAGGACTCAGAAAAGTAAAGAAAAGCTGGCAGATTGTGAAGTGAAAGCCTGGAGTAGCAACCTGAGTGGGGGATGAGAGGGGTAAGTTTCTCATTGTTCTTTTCCTTTTTTTTTTTCTGAGACCGAGTCTCGCTCTGTTGCCAGGCTGGAGCGCAGTGGCGCGATCTCAGTTCACTGCAGCCTCTGCCTGGGTTCAAGCAGTTCTGCCTCAGCCTCCTGAGTAGCTGGGACTACAGGCGCACACCACCACGCCAGGCTAATTTTTGTGTTTTTAGTAGAGATGGGGGTTTCACCATGTTGGCCAAGCTAGTCTTGAACTCCTGACCTTGTGATCCGCCCGCCTCGGCCTCCCAAAGTGCTGGGATTACAGGCGTGAGCCACCGCGCCCGGCCTCATTGTTCTTTTCTATCTGGCTTTGAGCCAAAGGCAAGCTTTCAGCAGAGCTGCAGTGGTGGTACAGAGGTAGCAAAAATCCAAGAGAAATCTCATCCTTCCAGCCAGAAGGTCAGGAAAATGTAAGCTGGAGAGTGTGTGTGTGTTGGGGGAATGCTTTCCTTTTTTAATCACAGTGGGCAGAATCCTTGGAGTCTTTAAAATTCTGTGAAGCAGAGAGATAATCTCATACTTATGCAAAAGGTGTAAGGCAACCATAATGTTAGTATTCTAACTCCAAGGGAATTTTACCAGCATGCAGATGTTCAGGCTTGCATGTCAGGCTGTGGCCCAGCCTCAAAGTTTGTGTACCCTTCCTGCTGCGTAGTCCTGATCCTGGGATTTGCATTTTGTTCTGATGGATGGGGAGCTTTGAGAAAATCCACCTTTCTCTAATACAAGGTAAAAGCTTTCTCCCTTCTGTAGGCGCCTTTGCTGCCCTTTCTTTTAATTAAATATTTTTTCCTCCCTAATGTTGGGAGAGCTTCCTAAAGGTCACAATTGAAAAGAGCTGCAGAAGGGAGATGCAGATTATAGTAGTATTCTGTCTTGTCATGGGGAAAATTGTCTTGTTAATTGTTCTGCCTCTGAAAAATGTTTTCTTATTTCTCCATTCTGGTTAAAATTGTCAGGATTGGAAAGAAGGAATTTTTGCTAACATGGGGCCATGATGCCATTCATTTGATGTCTGAGGAGCAATAGAAAGCAGTTCAGCTAGAAAAGAAGGGCATGCCAGCCAAACAGCTTTCAAATGTCATGCATTGTGTGGCAGGAGTAGGTTTTAAATATAATGCATGTACTTGTCCTTATTGCAAACAATGCCGTCTTATTCCATCTACAAAATATTTGCACTTGAATTCTCTAAGTACAAATTTTGCAGTAGTTGTCATTTGCTTTCTATGGACTTTAAGAATGCTGCTTGCACAAGTGCTGTGGGTGCTCACTTCTTTTTCATGTTAATGTTGCCATGTGGAAGTGCTCTTATTTTATTTTATTTTATTTTTATTTTTGAGATGGAGTCTTGCGCTGTCCACCCAGGCTGGAGTGCAGTGGCGCAACCTCGGCTCACTGCAACCTCCACCTCCTGGGTTCAAGTGATTCTCCTGCCTCAGCCTCCCCAGTAGCTGGGATTACAGGCACCTGCCACCATGTCCAGTTAATTTTTGTATTTTTAGTAGAGACGGGGTTTCACCATTTTAGCCAGGCTGGTCTCAAACTCCTGACCTCAAATGATCTGCCCACCTTGGCCTCCCAAAGTGCTGGGATTACAGGCATGAGCCACCTTACACGGCCATGTGTAAGTGCTCTTAAAGATACAGAAAATAAGCCAGGCGCGGTGGCTCACCTGAGGTCAGGAGTTCCAGACCAGCCTGACCAACACGGAGAAACCCCGTATATACTAAAAATACAAACTTAGCTGGGCATGGTGGTGTGTGCCTGAAATCCCAGCTACTCAGGAGGCTGAGGCAGGAGAATCACTTGAACCCGGGAGGCAGAGGTTGTGGTGAGCCAAGATGGCGCCATTGTACTCCAGTCTGGGCAACAAGAGTGAAACTCCGTCTCAAAAAAAAAAAAGATACAGAAAATATTTTTTAGCTGAGTGGGGTGGTGTGTGCCTGTAGCCTAAGCTACTTGGGAGGCGACAGAGCAAAACTCCATCTCCAAAAAAAGAAAAAGAAAAAGATGCAATTTTTTCATAGAAAAATTCACCCAGGCCACAAATGAGAAAAGATAGGCATTTTATAGACTCTTCATCGGGGAAGAACTGAAAAGGAGAATAAATTCAAAAGAGGAGCTTCAGATGCTGGAAAGCTAGAGAAGCATACATGAAATCATTTTCTGTCAGGTAAAGTGTATATGCAGAAAAAGACTTTTCAGATGCATGGCCCAGTGATTCATTCCTCACCATTTGGTCAGTGTGTGCATATAGACTGTCTCCATATAAGGTAGGTGCTTAAAAGGAAGAGAATTTTGGTAGGTCCATTTGTTTTTTAATACAAAATGGCAAATCAAACAGCTTTTACTGGTTAGGGCTGGAGTTTGGCCCTTTTCTTATAAAAACAAGTAAAAAGTTATGTGGAGATTATATCTTGTGTCTTACGAAATTTGGCCTAATTTCATTTACAGCTTTTCATGACAAGGAGAGTAAGGTCGTAATTCAGTCAAGGGGCTTGAATGATGTGATATGAGGAGCTTTTATGAAGGCATACATAGCTTTATGAAGTTACAGCTGCCCATCTGTAAGTCAGAGCAAGTACTAATGAAAGTGCAGTGAGAATTGAAATCCATTTCAGAATTGTGAGGTGGTGTGAGAAGAGGGGATGTTCTGCCAGATGATGGCATTAACCCTTTAGTTAACAAGGATAGGTGCTTAGAGGCTTAAACCAGATGATCTACATGCTTTAAGAGAAATAGTATTGTTTCAACCAAATTTCTAATTTGCCTCCTTGGATTTATATTGTGCAACCAACTTGTAAAGGCATCAGTAAGAAAGTTCTAAAAGCAGAAAAGAACACTATCCTTTTAAAACCTCTATTTTTTTTTCTTTTTTTTTTGAGATGGAGTCTCGCTCGGTCACCCAGGCTAGAGTGCAGTGGTGTGATCTCAGCTAACTGCAAGCTCCGCCTCCCTGGTTCACGCCATTCTCCTGCCTCAGCCTCCCGAGTAGCTGGGACTACAGGCACCCACCACCACGCCTGGCTAATTTTTTGTATTTTTAGTAGAGACGGGGTTTCACCATGTTAGCCAAGATGGTCTCGATCTCCTGACCTTGTGATCCACCCACCTTGGCCTCCCAAAGTGCTGGGATTACAGGTGTGAACCACTGCGCCCAGCCTAAAACCTCTATTTTGAGGCATGGAAAAGGTGTTTAAAAAATCAAGACTCTTTTGAACTTGTTGTATGCATTAAAATGTAATTGCATACAAAAGAACTGCTTAAGACTTTGCAATTCTATTTTTCTAAGTTTTGCTACAATAAATAGTCATGTATTGCTTAATGGGGATATAGTCTGAGAAACATGTCGTTAGGTGACTTGTCATTGTGCAATACCATAGAGGGTACTTACATAAACCTAGATGGTGTAGCCTACTGTACACCCAGGCGGTATGGTATAACATATTGCTCCTGGGCTACAAACCTGTACAGCATGTTACGGTACTGGATACTGTAGACAGTTATATCACAATGGTAAGTATTTGTGTGTCTAAACATAAAAAAGGTACAGTAAAATTACTGTGTATAGGATGAGAAATGGTAAACCTGTATGGGGTGCTTTCCATGAATGGAGCTTGCAGGACTGAAAGTTGCTCTGAGTGAGTCAGTGAGTGAGTGGTGAGTGAATAGGAAGGCCTAGGACATTACTGTACACTACTATAGACTTTATAAACACTGTACACTTAGGCTACACTAAACTTATGCTTTTTTTAAATAATTAGCCCTAGTTTACTGTAATTTTCTTACTTTATAAACTTTTAAATATTTTTACCTTTTTGACTCTTGTAATAACACTTAGCTTAAAACAAACACATTGTACAGCTGTACCAAAATATATCTTTATAAGCTTTTGTTTTCTATTTTAAAAATACTTTTCTACTTTTAAAAGATTTTTCTTAAAAATGAAGACACAAACAATTACATCCATTAGCCTAGGCCTACACAGGGTCAGGATCATCAATAGTAAGCGGTGAAGCCAGCTGGACTTACTGGGTTGAGTGGGGACTTGGAGAACTTTTCTGTCTAGCTAGAGGATTGTAAATGCACCAATCAGCACTCTGTGTCTAGCTAAAGGATTGAAAATGCACCAATCAGCACTCTGTAAAAAAAACGCACCAATCAGCGCTCTGTGTCTAGTTAGATTGTAGATGCACCAATGAGCACTCTGTAAAAACACACCAATCAGCACTCTGTGTCTAGCTGAAGGATTGTAAAAAACACCAATCAGCACTCTGTAAAAATGCACCAATCAGCACTCTGTGTTTAGCTAAAGGATTATAAATGCACTGATCAGCACTCTGTAAAAATGCACCAATCAGTGGTCTGTGTCTAGCTAAATGATTGTAAATGCACCAATCAGCACTCTGTAAATGGACCAATTAGCACTCTGTAAAATGGACCAATCAGTAGGACGTGGGCAGGGCCAAATAAGGGAATAAAAGCTGGTCACCCCAGCCAGCAGCAGCAACCCACTGGAGTCCCTTTCCATTCTGTGGAAGCTTTGTTCTTTCACTCTTCACAATAAGTCTTGCTGCTGCACACTCTTTGGGTCTGCACTACCTTTATGAGCTGTAACACTCACCACGAGGGTCTGCGGCTTCATTCCTGAAGTCAGCGAGACCACGAACCCACCGGGAGAAACAAACAACTCTGGACGCACTACCTTTAAAAACTGTAACACTCACTGCGAAGGTATGTGGCTTCACTTCTGAAGTCAGGGAGACCACGAACCCACCGGAAGGAAGAAACTCGACACATCTGAACATCTGAAGGAACAAACTCTGGACACACCATCTTTAAGAACTGTAACACACCGCGACGGTCTGCGGCTTCATTCTTGAAGTTAGTGAGACCGAGAACCCACAAGAAGGAATAAATTCCGGACACAATATCACTGTCTTCCACCTCCACATCTTGTACCACTGGAAGGACTTTAGGGTCAGCAAAATGCATGGAGCTGTCATCTCCTATGTAACAATGCCTTCTTTTGGAATAGCTCCTGAAGGACCTGCTTGAGGCTTACAGTTAGCTTTTTTAAGAAGTAAGTAGAATGACTGTACTCTAAAATAATGGTAAAAAGTATAATATAGTAAATACATAAACCATTTAGTATCATTGTCAGTATTATGTAGTGTACATAATTGTATGTGCTGGACTTTTATATGACTGGTAATGTAGTAGGTTTGTTTACATCAGTATCGCCACAGACCTGTGAATAATGCTGTGCACTATGACATTATTTTCAGCTCCATTATAACCTTATGGGACCACTGTTGTAAATATGGTCCATTGTTGACCAAAATGGTATGTGGTGCATTACTTAGTTGCTAGACAATGGAGTTTTTAATAATTTTAGAACCTTAGGCTTACTGGCCAGGCTCAGTGGCTCAATCCTGTAATCCCAGCACTTTGGGAGGCTGAGGTGGGTGGATCACTTGAGGTCAGGAGTTCGAGACCTGCCTGGCCAACATGGTGAAACCCTGTCTCTACTAAAAATACAAAAATTAGCTGGGTGTGGTGGCATGCACCTGTAGTCACAGCTACTTGAGAGACTCAGGCAGGAGAATTGCTTGAACTGGGAGATGGAGGTTGCAATAAGCTGATCGCAGTACTGCACTCCGGCCTGGATGACATAGCAAGACCCTGTCTCAAAAAAAAAAAAAAAACAAAAAAAAAATCATACTGAAATCACTTATCTTGGTTAATTGGCATCTTACGAGAATGGGTAGTTATGTGGGGATAGGGACATTACCTGAAAAATCTTAGGTGATTGATATTTTCTCTTTTGAAATGTCATTCTTTGGGGAATCTGCTTAACTTTATGGAACAGGGATGAGATCTCCATGCTGTTTAAAATGGGGTGGTGGTGTTTGCTTTGCTTTGTTTCATTTTGTATGAGAGCTCAGTTCTAGGCTTTTGGATGAATTGTTAATAGGTGAACAGAGTGGGTGGATTTGAGACGGGTGGTTGGATTCATTGTAGGTGAGAAGCTTTGTCAAATGATACCTTTTTTTTTCCCCCTTGAGACAGAGTCTCATTCTGTCATCCAGGAATGCAGTGGCATAATCACAGCTCATTACAGCCTTGACCTCCCCAGGCTGAGGTGATCCTCCCACCTCAGCCTCCTGAGTAGCTTGGACTACAGGGATGTGCCACCATGCCTGGCTAATTTTTGGTACTTTTTTGTAGAGATGGGGTTTTGCCATGTTGTCCGGGCTGATCTTGAATTCCTGGGCTCTAGTAATCCACCCACCTTGGCCTCCCAAAGTGCTGCAATTACAGGCGTGTGCCACCACACGTGGGTGTTGGCAAGTGATATTTTGGTGAACCTGAGTTATTTAGAAGGTAATGGTCTAGAACTCTGAATGTGAAGAAGAAACAAACCTTTTGTTTTTGACCAAACGGTTACGCTGGTTTAAAATGGACCACTCACCAGAGAAGGGAATTCTCTGAGTATTTAATTTGTTTCTGATTACATACTCCATAGCATACAAGCAGGCAGAGACACTTGGCTTTAGTTAGTGGAGAAAAGTTTGTTGACTGGATCAAAAACTCCTGTTGGTAATATTTTTTAAAGATTCAGGTTACATTTTGTAGCCCAGGAGATAAATATTGCTGAGATACTTTTGACTGAAGTGTGGTATGAAGGGAAAGGGGGAAATTTGTAAGAAAAAAGAGTCATGTGGCCACATGCAGAGAATCAAGTACCAGGAAGCAGATAATTGACCAGGTGAGATGGAGAGGTCAGTACCCATGCGAGCCCAACTCAGTGTCTATTAGTATTGTAAGTTTACTACATAATAAGATTTTTAAAAGTCTGTTGTTTTGTTGATCTGATAGTACTGTGCACTTCATTCTAATGCAGAACCTAGGAGAGATAAGTTGCTTTCCGGTTTTGTTTTTGTTTTTGTTTTTTGAGATGGAGTTTTGCTCTTGTTGCCCAGGCTGGAGTGCAATGGCACGATCTTGGCTCACTGTAACCGAGTAGCTGGAATTACAGGCGTGCACCACCATGCCCAGCTAATTTTGTATTTTTAGTAGAGACGGGGTTTCTCCATGTTGGTCAGGCTGGTCTCGAACTCCTGACCTCAGGCGATCCGCCCACCTTGGCCTCCCAAAGTGCTGGGATTACAGGCATGAGCCACCGCGCCCAGCCGCTTTCCAGTTTTATGTCACATAATGGTTACTGTTCAGATCTGAGGGTGTATTATTTGAAGGAAAGTTAAGAGTGCATCTAAGGAGCCAGGAATGTACTGTCTCCAATTGTTGATTCTGCTAACGAATGGTAATTACTCTTTCATGCCTCTCATTTTTATCATTTTATCTTTGAAATAAAATAACACCTATGAGAAAGATATAAGGACTTGGAGAAGGAAAGGGATGGAGTGAAGATCCGTGTGAGACGTGTCATTGAACATTAGCTTTGTGGGTTGGTTTACCTTTTTGTCTGTTAGAGTCTCTCTACCCACTTTTTTTTCCCTCATGTGTTGCTGTTTCTGAGCAAGACTGAGAGCTGACAACTGTTACTTTTTTATTCTTAGCTCCTAAAGACCGAGGGTGGAATTTTTAGTTAGTTTAATTTCCCAAATTATCCTAAAACAGTGAGATTGTATTATAATAAAACATTTTTGGATATTTTGTGGAATTTTTTTATTTTTTTTTATTTTTTGAGATGGAGTCTCGCTCTGTCACCCAGGCTGGAGTGCAGTGGTGCGATCTCGGCTCACTGCAAGCTCCGCCTCCCGGGTTCACGCTATTCTCCTGCCTCAGCCTCCCGAGTAGCTGGACTACAGGTGCCCGCCACCGCACCTGGCTAATTTTTTGTATTTTTAGTAGAGGTGGGGTTTCACTGTGTTAGCCAAGATGGTCTCGATCTCCTGACCTCGTGACCCGCCTGCCTTGGCCTCCGAAAGTGCTGGGATTACAGGCGTGAGCCACTGCGCCCGGCCTATTTTGTGGAATTTTTTAAAAAGTGCTCCTTTGTTATCTTTTTCCTTATGATAACAGCTTTGAATGGGATTTGACTGTGATCCTTTGTTGTTGCTCATCTTCATGGAAAGCCAGTTTTCCCAGCTTTTAGAAGGGAGACACACTGTTAAGGACAGCTTTTCAGGCTTCAGGACTCTAGAGTACCAGAAGTCTTCTGTTGTCTTGAAGTGATTAAAAAGATGGTCCCTGCTTCTCAAATCCGGCACCCCTCACCCCCTGTATCTGACCCTTCCTTTCTGTTTATCTTTTATTATTCCTCTTCTGCTCAATTTGAATTCTGCCCCCAGGAGTTTTTCTTCAGAGTGGAGTTTTGTCTGGCAAAAGAGCTTTTGGCCAGTTAGTTTTGAGAGGTCAAGGGGCCACATTCTCAGCTCCTTCAGCCTTAGCTGCAAATTCCTTGAACTCACCAGCTGTTGGAGTAGACCCAACATATTTAGCCGCTGTTCCCAGATGGGCCCGCTGAACTTTCCAGTTGAGTGCCTGTTGTTTGTTTTGGGATGCCCAGGTCTGTCAGATGCTGCATTGATCCCATCTCTGCTTCCTCTCACAGACACTGGTACCTACCTTACAGGTCTTGTGACTATTGGTGATTTGTACCTGTTCATCTTTGGGACTTTGTGGAGATACTTTGTCACCTAGGCTTTTGTGGCTGTTTCCCATGGATTTTTGATTTTGTTACCCTAGTTGCTCTTTGTATTTTTTATCAGGGGACCTGGGAAAACCATACTGCTGCTGCTGCCATCTTCCCAGAATCCTCAAACGTGGTTTTTGTTTTTGTTTTTTTTTTTTTTTTTAATGAGATGGAGTTTCGCTCTTGTTGCTTAAGCTGGAGTGCAATGGCACAATCTTGGCTCACTGTAATCTCTGCCTCCTGGGTTCAAGCAATCCTCCTGCCTCAGCCTCCCAAGTAGCTGGGGTTACAGGTGCGTGCCACCACGCCTGGCTAATTTTTCATATTTTTAGTAGAGATGGGGTTTTGCCATGTTGGCCAGGCTGGTCTCAAATTCCTGACCTCAGGTGATCCGCCCATGTTGGCCTCCCAGAGTGCTGGGATTGCAGGCGTGAGCCACTGTGCCCAGCTAAATGTGTTTTTCTTTTTTAAAATTTCCCATTGTTGATCTCCCCGGGTTTTGTTTTGAACAGCTGTTATCTCTTGGTTAGAAGCACGTTCTTTGCTAATACCAAGGCAGGGGATAATGTGAGTTCCCTCTGTTCTTGAGGTTGGGAAGAGTCAGCAGGCGGAAGATAGCAGCCGTTCCTTCAGTAGGCTCATCTCAGGCCGTGAGTCTACATCTAGAGCAGAACTGTTTCTCGCTCATGGGTCCTCGTACATACTCTTCCCTCAGCCTGTGATGTCATCCTCCTGCTTCCCACTGGCTCACAAGCCTGGTCCTGAAGATGTCCCCCATTCCCCCTTCTCCCCCATTGGTGATGTTTTTTCTGTGCTTCCGTAACATCTTGTGAATGTTTTATAGTAGCTGATATCACACTATATATGTTTACTTCTCCGTGTTTCCCACAGCACTGTGAGTTCTTGAGGCCTGGGCCCTTGGCTTATTGGTCTTTGTATTCCCAATGCCTGATCCAGTGCTGGAAGTCAGTAACTACTCAGGAAACACTGTTAAATGAATATTGGCAATTTAGTGGTGCAAGGAGCAAAAGTAGCTCTCTGTGGACATATTGCAGGACAGACAAATGTAACAATAAGTGCCACTTAGAGTTGTACTTAAAGAAATAAGTTTATCCTGGGAAGGAACTATCAAGGTGACTGTTTTTATTTTCATTTTATTTAAAACATTTGGCCAGGCCCAGTGGCTCACACTTGTAATCCTAGCACTTTGGGAGGCCAAGGCAGATGGATTACTTGAGATCAGGAGTTTGAGACCAGCCTGGCCAACATGGTGAAACCCCACCTCTGCTAAAAATACAAATATTAGCTGGGCGTGGTGGCGCGCGCCTGTAATCCCAGCTACTCAGGAGGCTGAGACATGAGAATCGCTTGAACCCAGGAGGCAGAGGTTGCAGTGAGCCAAGATTGCGCCATTGCACTCCAGCCGGGGCGACAGAGTGAGACTCTGTCTCAAAAAACAAACAAACAAACAAAAAAACCACTGTGATAGGAGGAGACACTGGTCAGGTCCTTAGTATGCTACATTCATTTTGATTATAACCATTAAAAAAGCTGGTGGGGAATTTAGGAAATTTAAAACAGACCATGACAATGATTAAGAAATTGGAAATTTGTGCTTATAAAGGAAAAAATAATGGTTAACTTAGGTGAAGAGTAAACATAACCCCAGAACCTAGCCGTAGGACAGACTGGTGCAATGTGATTTCTGCATGTTCTTGCTTGAGGGCAGAGGCTTGACCTATCTAGGTTCCTTCTAGTTCAGTAATGCTTTACTTGTTAAAGTTCTCTTCCTCTGGCGACTTGAGAGTTTGGAAAATATCTTCAAGTGGGCCAGAAGACAGCTATTTAATGGTCTGATTTTTCTGGAAAGTGGAATGTGATGACATTAAAACCTGAGTGACTAAGGAAACCAGACTTACGCTGGTAGATAAGAGAGTTGAAAATTTAACTGAGACAGAGACAAAAGAAAATCTGGCCATTTGCAGCATTAAGCATATGCAGTGAAATCCCAGCAAAAATGGAACAGAGAGGCAGATGTACCTGAAGCATCCCTTTCCGCCTTCAGAAAAACAGTAAATGGTCAGTGGCAATGGTTCAGGTAAATATATTTTGCACACCAAGATCACCCAGAAATGCTCAGGGTATTTATATAAAGATATTTTTTATACAGATGACCTTTAATCATATGATTTAACAAAGGAAATGTTTTACTTATAGGCCTTCTAGTTGTGTCACTACTTATTGTGTGTGTCTGTGGATTAAATAGATTGGCAAAGCAAAACGGTATCTTTTCTCTCAGATCATAACCACGTCAAGAAGCAAATTGTCTTTATATAGGACCATTTAATGCCTTCTTTACTAGAAAAGTTGTTGATGGTAATCTAGCTCATAGACTTTACCTGGGAGTTGGGACTTGCAAAATGGCTTAATTTGGTAATTTCCAAACCTTGTTAAAAAGCTTCAGAAGTCCCAAATTCTTATAAGAAGCTCATTTTTTAAAGCAGATAAAATGAAACTGATTCTATTGCCATTTCCCCCTTCCTTTCTACAAGGACTCCCTAAAAGGACCTCCACAAACTGTAGTTTAAAATCACTAATTAGTCCAATAAAAGTTACTCCAGTCTAATTTCCCAAATTATCCTTAAGTCATTGAAGCATAGAACTCGCAAGGTCTTGACTTTGAGAAATCCCATAGTCTGTCCCTGGTGTGGGCTGCCTACAGATGCAAATTACCTTCCTGTGCCTTCCAGTTTTAGCCGACTTGGAAGCAAAATGACACACATGAGAAAGATATAAGGACTTAGGGAAAGAGAGAGATGGAATGAGAGGCCTGTGAGATGAGTGGTTGAACAGCTGCACTGAGGGTTGAGTTCCCATTTTCTTGGTTGTGGGATGCCTCTCTCCTCCCTTCCCCTCTGCTTTTTCCATATACTGACCACAAGGAAGGACAGCTGTATATACTTCTTTTGCTAGAGAAACAGTTGAATTTGACTATCATGTGGATCATTTTATTCCCATTCTTAATGGCCACAGTATTTTGGAGCCCAATTATTTATTATTATGTACATTGTTCTGGGATCAAGAGATAATTCACATATATGCCATATACTGCATTTATTAATTTTTTCAAATATGATCATGCATATCTTATTTAATATACAACATATATTTTATTTAATACACAAAGACAAATGGAAACGCCCTTTTTTGTATATCCGTATCCTTTTTTATTCAATGTTTTATTGAAATTTCACTTCTTGAAAGAATTGTTTTTGCTAGCGTAGTTCCCCCTGCCTTTTTTTCCTTTTTCGTATAGGCCTAGTAAACAAAGTTTTTTTTGAGACAGAGTCTTGCTCTGTCACCCAGGCTGGAGTGCAGTGGCATGATCATAGCTTACTGCAGCCTTGAGCTCTTGGGCTCAAGTAATCCTCTTGCCTAGGCCTCCCAAAGTGCAGGTATTATAGGAATGAGCCACCATGCCCGGCCCTAGCACACTTTTCAAATATCGAAAACTGTCATTGAATTCTTTAATTATGATGGTTTATGAGTTTTTCTATTGTTAAAAAGATAATGTTTTTTAATAGTGAAAAAAGTAGTGTAAGTTGTTGCTTATGGTCCAAATGATTATATAAGATAAAAATGACCTTAATAGGTTTACAAATATAAAAGTTGGCAATTAACTATTAATCAGTTATATATTTTAAAGCTCAGTAACATTAAACATTTTGAAATGGGCTGAATTAGTATTATTTTTCAGTTATACACATTGTAAAATTTTAATTGAGAATATTTGACATTAGTAATCACTGTGATTAGTTTTTGGTGACTTTTTTGTTGGAGGGTTTCCTTAAATGTGTTCTTTCTCATTTCTTTCTATTCTACCTATTCACCTCTATGATATAATTTACCTTTTGTGAGGAACATAGGAGGTGGGTGAAAAATGGTGTGAATGTTTTTGAACTCCTTACTAGCTTCAAAACAGGAAAGCCTTTTCTATACCTTTTTGCTCCAGAAGAAAGTAGAACCAGGGACCTGCAAAAACTAGGTTCTTAAACATAAAAGGCTTTAAATAGGATCTGTTGTCTGGTTGTTATATGTTATTAGTATTAATAACTTCTGAAATTTTACTGGCTCATCTGAAGGCTCTTGGTGATAGAGATAATCTGTAAGTATTCTCTTGGCAACTTCTTTTATTTATTTATTTATTTTGGAAAGAAAAGGTAGGATATTTAATGAATAAGGTTGTCCAAATATACTGTTCATAGGTGGGCCAGTTAAATTAAGCAGATTATAAATTAATGTAAATTATTGTTTATTTATTGTAAGTTAAATAGGATGGTAGCTTCAGTAAGTAAATCTTTTTATTGTTTCTGTTAAGCATATGGTTCCTTTTGTCTAGTCAGTCTAATCCATATTAAAGGTAGGGGCTTGAAGTTTCTAACTATTATTGTTAAACTTTCTATTCTCCCTTCTATTCTGTCAGTTTTTGCTTCATATATTGTGAAGCTGTGTTCCTAGGAGCATATGTTTATATGTTCATAATTATTATGTTTCTTTTTTTTCTTTTAAGAGACAGGGTTTCACTCCATTGCCCAGGCTGGAGTACAGTGTCATGATCATAGCTCACTGTAACTTCAAACTCTTGGGCTCAAGTGCTAGGACTACAGGTTCATGCCACCATGCTCAGCTAATTTTTTATTTTTATTTTTGTAGCAATGCTCTCTATGTTGCTCAGGCTGATCTCAAACTCCTGGCCTCAAGCGACCCTCCCTACCTTGGCCTCCCAAAGCATTGGGATTACAGGCATGAACCACTGTGCCTGGCCCTATTGTTATATCTTTTTGATTGACCTTTTTATTATTATGTAACAGCCTTCTTGGTCTTTATAACGATTTTTGTTTTAAAGTCTATTTTGTCTGATATTTATGTAGTCATGCTAGCTCTTTAGTGTTTGCATAGAATTTTTTTATGCTTTTTCTTTATTTTACTGCTACTTGTATCTTTGAATCTAAAGTGAATCTCCTGTAGACAGCTGTAGTTGGATATTGATTTTTTAAAAAAATCTATGTTATAGGCCCAGCAATACAATTATACACATATTGTTTTATAGAATTGCTTTTAAAATCAGTAAAGGGAAGACAAGAGAAGAAATATGCATTTATGTGATATTTTATAGTTACATAATTACTGGTTTTTTCATGTGGATTTGTTTTTTTCATGTGGATTTGAATTGCTGTTTAGGACCACTTGTTTTTAGTTTGAAGAACTTTGTTAGTGTATCTTGTAAGGTGGGCCTGTTAGAGCAAATTTTCTTACGTTTTGTTTATCTGGGAATGTCTTTTTTTCACCCTCACTTTTGAAAGATAGCTTTTTTGTATGTAGGATTCTTGGCTGACAGTTTATTTTTTTTCCTAGCAACACTTTGAATATGTTATATTATTGCCTTCTGGCTTCCGTTGATTCTGATGAGAAGTTAGCCATTAATTTTCTTTGGGTTGCCTTGTGATGAGTTGGTTTTTCCTTTTTCTTGATTTTCAGTGTTTTCTCGATGGTCTGTGTGTGTGTGTGTGTGTGTGCGCGCGCGCACGTGTGAGTGTGTGTTTTAATTTTATCTTAACAAAATGGAGTGGGTCTGCAGAATCCTTGTTTTTGGCTTTTAGCTTTTTTATTATGTATCTATGAATCTCTTTGCATATACACTAGAAGTTCATTGAGCTTCTTGGATGTATAAAGGTTTTTCATCGGCTAGGCACGGTGGCTCACGCCTGTAATCCCATCACTTTGGGAGGCTGAAGCGGGCAGATCACGAGGTCAGGAGATTGAGACTATCCTGGCTAACACGGTGAAACCCTGTCTCTACTATAAATACAAAAAATTAGCCTGCCATGGTGGCACACGCCTGTGGTCCCAGCTACTTGGGAAGCTGAGGCAGAAGAATGACTTGAACCCGGGAGGCGGAGGTTGCAGCGAGCCGAGATTGTGCCACTGCACTCCAGCCTGGGTGACAGAGCAAGACTCTGTCTCAAAAAAAAAAAAAAAAAAAAAAAGGTTTTTCATCAACTTTGGGAAGTTTTCAGGCATTATTTTTCTTCTTTTTTTTTTTCTTTTTAAGAGACACGGTCTTGCTCTGTCCCCCAGGCTTCAGTGCAGTGGCACAATCACAGCTCACTGCAGCCTCAAACTCCTGGGTCAGCTGATCCTATCACCTCAGCCTCCTGAGTAGCTGGGACAACAGAGGTACACCACCATACCTGGCTAATTTTTATCTTTTTCGTGGAGATAGGGTCTTGCTATGTTGCCTAGGCTGGTCTTGAACTCCTGGCCTCAAGCAATCCTTCTGCCTTGGCTTCCCAAAGTGCTGGGATTACAGAAGTGAGCCATGGTGCCAGGCCCACCCATTATTTTCGACTATTTTTTTCTCCTGTGATAGGTGATTTTTTCTTCCAAGAATTTTGATAGGTTTAAATTCTAATCTGCAGTACCTCTGAGTGTGATCTTATTTGGAAATAGGTTGTTTGCAGATGTAATCAAAGATAAAGTAAGGTCTTACTTGATTAAGGTAGGCCCTAATCCAGTATAACTCATGTCCTCATAAGAATGGAGAAGATGCACACCCATAGAGGAGAAAATGCCATGTGAAAATGGCAAAGGAAGGAATGCTAAGGTTGCCAGCAACCACTAGAAGCTGGAGAAGGTCATGGAATAGATTCTCCCTCAGAACTTCCAGAAAGAGCCAACCCTACCAATACCCAGATTTCAGATTTCTAGCCTCCAGAACTGAGAGAGAAAAACATTTCTGTGGTTTTAAGCCATCTAATTTGTGATACTTTGTTATGGCAGCTGTAGGAAAGTAATACGGTACCAGGAAATGGGGTGTTGCTCTAACCAATACCTAAAAGTGTGGAAGTGGCTTTGGAATTGTGTAGTGAGTAAAAGCTGGAAGAATTTTAAGGTGCATGATAGAAGCAGCCTACGTTGTCTTGAAGATACTGTTGGTAGAAATATGGACATTAAAGGCGACTCTGGGTAGGTCTCAGATGGAAATGAGGAACATGTTAATGGACACTAGAGGAAAAGCGTGCCTGGTTTGAAAGTGGCAGAGAATTTGGCTGAATTATGTTCTGTACAGTTCTAATATGAATATGTAAGGGGCCGTCGGCTCTTCTGTTTGGAGAATGACATGGAGTTATCATGACAATTCTTATTATTAGAAAGTTGATTCATTTTTTTATTTCATTTTTTCATTTTCATTCTGCAGAGCAGGTGAGGTCAAAAATGACCCTTGCCTATTGGAAAAGCTGCAAAACATTAAGCTACTCTTTCTAGTTGAAAATCTCAATTTGTTTTAAATGGATTTGTGTGTGTGTGTCATTGGACAAGATAATAGCTCGGCAGTAGTTTGATTATATAATAGGTCTTCAGCTTATTAATCTAAATGGATTCCTGTTAATCTCTGAACAATGCAACCAGTGACCGATGTCCAGGTATGAACTATTACAGTGAAAACCACCAGACTAATTTTGTAACAATATTTATATGAAAATGATGCCTTTATCTTTATAGTTTTCACCTTGTTTTCTGATCAGTATTTTATTTGCTCTGTTCTTTTTCTCCATATTGAGGCTTTGCATATTTTTATTTTGTCTCACATCTTTGCACAATGAACCTATAAAACCTCTAGTTTTTAAGATACATCTTTCAGTTACATCAAATGTCTTCTAAACTTTTTTATTATTATATTACTTCTTACTACTCTCTTGTGAATGAAGGCTAATGACAACTCTGTCTCTGCATTTGTGTAGGGGTAATGAGATCCTTGTTCAGTGGTTCTTCTAATTTGGGGACTGGTGAGTTATTCATATGCATAAGGATCAGCCTATTATAAACACTTGGCAGGACCATTAATTCGGTTTAGGTCTCCCACTTTCCATTTCAGTGCTTGTTTCACTGCATTAATCGTTCCTTAGGTGTTTTAGATCATAATCCTCTTTTAGATCAAGGTAATTATTTTGCCCAGATTTACATTTTTGCCATGTGTTACAGCTGTGTTCAGAGGTTTTATAGGTTTTATACTGACTGGAGAAGCCTCTCTGAACTCTGTTCACCCAATGGGCCAACAAAAGAATATTGAATTTTCCCAGACAAAACCCTGCTGGTGTTTTCAGCTCTAGTTCTGTCCCGCAAATTCTCATCAGTTACAAGGCTGTTTTTTTTTTTTTTGAGACGGAGTCTCGCTCTGTTGCCCGGGCTGGATTGCAATGGCGTGATCTTGACTCACTGCAAACTCCGCCTCCTGGATTCACGCCATTCTCCTGCCTCAGCCTCCTGAGTAGCTGGGACTACAGGTGCCCGCCACCATGCCCAGTTAATTTTTTGTATTTTTAGTAGAGATGGGGTTTCACCATGTTAGCCAGGATGGTCTCGATCTCCTCACCTTGTGATCTGCCCTCCTCGGCCTCCCAAAGTGTTGGGATTACAGGTGTGAGCCACCGTGCCTGGCCAAGGCTATTTTCTGTAGAATGTTCCTGGTATTTGTTATTTACATAGCAGATTCTATTATATCTCTTTAATCTGCCAGCATCTTTTGGTTCTGAGAAACTTGCAGGAATGCTCTAGTTTTCAGGCAGTCTTTGCAGTCCCTAGATCATAATGTAGAACGCCATCTTTTTGTTTTGACAGGGAGGCTTATGATGATATTTGTGGGCTGAACGTGATCTTGAAAGGCCAATTAGTCTATTTCATGAAAGTGTATGAAAGTTGATTCAGGTGAGGATTATTGACTAGTGTTAAATTTGTTAAGTGAATGGTTGGGGAACTAGAAATTTACAGTGGATCAAATAACACTGCACAAACAATTTCCTCGATGAAAGAGGGAAGACATATCTGTACAGTGGGTGAGTGGATCAGACTTCATTATCCAAACCCTGTGGTCCATCTTAGTTATTATATATAGTGCTTATGTTTGTTCAGCCATCTTATGTGCTGTAACAAAGGGTTCAAAGCAGCATCTGTATTTTAGCCAAAAATATTTAGCTTGACTCCATTGAGCACTTACATTTTTAAGATTAGTTTATAGATAATATTGGAGATAAAAAAAATCTGTAAATAATACCATGAGGAAGCAAACAGACCTAGCCTGGCCTTGTCAATAAGTCAGGGTCGTAAAAATAGGGACTGTGCTAGATTCAAAGAGACTTAAGGAATAAACAATTAGATACAATTCCTGGTCCTGGATTGGATACTGTCTTGGAAAAACCAGCTGTATAGGACATTTTTTGGGTTACGGAAATTTGGAACTAGCCTGGATGTTATATGAAATGAAATTTATTAAGTGGAGAGATGAAGAATATTTTTTAAAAATCTAGTGACCAAAAAGAAGTATATATAAATATATACATAGAAAAAGATCTGGAAGTATGTGTACTGAGGGGTTAGTGGTACTCTGTGGGTGAGGGAATTTGGGGTTTTTATATATTTTAGTTTTGCTTGTCTTTTCCTCCTAATTTTCTCCAGTGCATATGTCCTGCTTCTGTGTTAATAAAAGCTCATTATTTTTTTTAAGTCCACACTAACCCATCCTATACAGATGAGTTGTTTTAATAATTTTACTCATTTTTTTCTTGATAAGGATTTTGTAATGTTTGGGACACATCTTTGAACCATGTCTTTAGATTCTACATGCATCTCTGTTTTAAAAATTTAATATTCTATTATGAAAAAATTTAAATACATGCAAAAGTAGATAGAATAATAATACAGTGATTTTCCATGTACCCATCATCCAGCTTCAGCAATTACCAATTAAGTATAGTATATTTCATGTCTATCCACCATTCCTCTCCACCCACTATTTTGGAGCAAACCTCACATGTCCTATCTTTTCATCCATAAAGAGTTCAGTGTTTATATCTAAAAGTTAACAACACTTTAAAAAATTGCAATACCAGTATTATAACAAACAAACAATAAATTAGTGGTATTTCCTTAATATAATCAAATATCCAGTCATTATTTACTTTTTCCCAGTTGTCTCATAGTCATTATTTTCTCTAGATTGTTCAAATCAGTACAAATAAGTTCCCTACATTACAACTGATTATGCCTTAAGCTCTTTTGGTTTATAGGTTTCTCCATCCTCTCCCACCATTTTTTTCTCTTTCAGTTTATTTATTGAAGAAACTGGGTTCCTTATCTTCTAGAATTGTTCACATTGTGCATCTTTCTGCATGCTCTCTTAACCTTTCAGTGCCCAATACTGGAAACTGTTCTCTAGCATGCATCTGAGCAGGGTTCCTATTTAAAAATCTATACAACATAGTCAGTTGTAATACAGGGAACTTTTTTATACCCAAGCTTTTCTATTGAATTAAGATTTTGTGCTAGCTTTTTTCTAGGAGCATTGTGTATGTGTGTGTGTCCACATGTATACAACTAGTTGCTCACACAGACGCTACCTGAACAATCACACAGGCAAGTTGTAGAAATTGAGCCTGGAGAGTGCTAAGAGAGTACCTGAGAGGGCACTCACAGAAGGCTATCAAGGGCAAATGAAGTGGCCTTGACTTTGTCAGTAATTTGTCTCCTCTCAATATTTAAAAATAGATTTGAGTCAATATATAACATCAGAATGTTCATTAATCACCTATCTGGATGGTTCTGGTCATAACATGTATTTATTTCAAACTCAAGTTGTTAATAAGAAGTACTAAAACAAATGTAGATGTGGAATGGTTTTCATTATTCTAGAGTATGGAATCTTATGTATAAATGTAGTACCATGTAAATTCACACTCCATTTCACAAGTCATTGTCCCTCACTATATGTAATAGTGTTTTCCTAGTAATATATGTTTAAGTTAAATAGTTTTAAATAATGTCATACTTTCATTGCTCTAAAAAATTAAATAAAGCTTTTAAACATGTTTATGGAATGTGTTTGTAAAATCCATATCCATAAATTGAAAGGGAGAGTTGATTTCCATCCTGAAGTCCTTTGAGTTTAAGATGCTTACAGCCTTGATTATTTCAACTGGATGAAGCAACTATTGAAATAGGATACATAGGGATAAATTTTAGAGATCAGCTACACAAATGTTTAGGCAGCTGCTTGCTAGATTTCCTTTTCAATGATTACTGGAAAGTTCACCCTAAAAGAACACTCTGGTATAGTGTGATTCTCTTAAAATAATATTTAATATCTTCAGACAGCTTGGTCTATTGCTTTTTATTGTTATGTCCATGTACTTTTTTGTTTTACTGGGAAGTCTACTAAGGTCAGGATTTCCACTGCTTACTTATTGATTTGTCTCTAATGATTGCAGGTTGAAGATGACAGCGATGCAGAGACCTATGGAGAAGAGAATGATGAACAGGGAAATTATTCTAAAAGAAAGATTGTCTCTAACTGGGATCGATATCAAGATATTGAAAAAGAGGTCAATAATGAAAGTGGAGAGTCACAGAGGGGAACAGATTTCAGTGTCCTCCTTAGCTCTGCAGGTATGAATTCCAGTTGCATGCATACTGTTTAGTGCTCTGAAAGTTGCACAGACATTTTATATATGTTTTTAAATTCTACTTTTATAACTAGCAATTTATCCTTTGTTCTTTGGATTTTTAATTCAAGTAAAGGACAGTGTTTCTAATGGCTTGTAAGGGAAAAAAATGAGTTTAAGTGGAAGTAAGGGTTTCCATGTACCGATGTAGAATGACTAAAGTCTTTGCGATAGATAAAAGGCTTTCTATAAGTGGAAAAAGCTGAGCCATGCTGCTGTAAATTTGATAGTCTGAGAAACATAAATGTTTTCTTTGATATTGGAGGAAACATTCCTTATATTTGTAGGAAGCATTATAAAGTTTCTAGAATATATGTTCTCTTTTTTTTCCTTTTTTTAAGTAGCCAGGTATATACATAGTAGTGGATATGCACATATTGGAGCTATATGCACTTGAACACCAAGTTTTTGTTTTTGCTTTTGGATAGTCTTCTCTGTCAATAAAGTGAAAAACCCAGCCTTTCCGTGATCAGCTGTAATCTAAGATTGATTGCACCTTGAGTGATGTGATGCTGGAGAGCAGTAACAGGGAAGAATGGAGGAGTGCTGGGTGTACAGATGGCTGCAGGGTCCCTACTGAGGTGTGGCGTAAGAGTTTAAAGAATAACTGGAAGATAGATTAGTGATTTCCAGGTGTTGGGGATGGGAGGGTGGGAGGCGGATGTGCTTATAAAGGGGCAGCGTGACAGATCCCTGGGATGCTGACACTGATTAGTATCTTGACTGCGGTGGCAGATACACGAACCTACGCAGGTGATAAAATTGTGTAGAACTTAATATACACACGTGTGCACAAATGAGTATGAATAAATTTGAATAAGATTGGCAGATTGTATCAGTTTCAGTGTCAGTCTTCTGGTTGTGATATTATATTATGGTTTTGCAAAATGTTATCATTGGGGTAAACTGGGCAATGTGTACAAGAGATCTTTCTGTATTATTTCTTTATAACTGTGTGTGAATCTGCAATTACGTCGCTAAATAATTATTGCCAGGTTAAAAAGATATAAAGGATGCAGATGTGAGAAGCAGGGAAGTAAAACAAAAATAATACTTTGGGACTGCTTTGAATTTTTTCTTCCTCATGACTTTGATGTTGCTGTTTAGTTCTACCTTTCTTCTTTATCTGCCTGTATTTTTGAATGCTGGCACCAGACTAAGAACAATAAAGTGATGCATTCTCTTCTAACTTAATAGAATGTGCTTTTCCGAGCAGGAAAGAAGTAGATCATAAAATTGTGAGTCAGGAGCACAGGATTCGTCATTACCGTAGATGATTCAAATAGCATAACTTCTTTAGGTTTGTGGATTGCTCTCAACTCATTGACTGTTCAAGAACTGGTAACACTAAATAATTTTTCCTGTAAAATGAGTGCTTCCCTCTTGGTACCTATATTTTGGCCAATTATGGGTTTATAAGCACTTTTCTTCAAGGTGGGAGAAGGGGAATGAAGGTAAAATATGAGCTGGTTAGTTTTAATTCTCAACAGCTGTTCTGCCAGAAGATCTAGGGGGAGAAAATTGAAGTAATACAATGAAATTAACTTGTGGACTAAAGTAGATTTAATTCAATCAGTTGTGTAGTCAGTTACTAGTATCTGTCAAAAAAAAGATACTTCATAAATGTTGGAAGGCAGTTAAAAATTCTAGTCCAGGCTGGGCATGGTGGCTCACGCCTGTAATCCCAGCACTTTGGGAGGCCGAGGCAGGTAGATTGCCTGAGGTCAGGAGTTCGAGACCATCCTGGCCAACATAGTGAAACCCCGTTTCTACTAAAAACACAAAAAATTAGCTGGGCGTGGTGGCGGGCACCTGTAATCCCAGCTACTAGGGAGGCTGAGGCAGGAGAATTGCTTCAGCCTGGGAGGTGGGGGTTGTAGTGAGCTGAGATCGTACCACTGCACTCCAGCCTGGGCAACAAGAGCAAAACTCCGTCTCAAAAAAAAAAAAAAAAAATTCTAGTCCAACCTAGCAGGCCTGTCCTCTGGTTTATGATTTTGGTTATTTATTTTAGCATTTTATATATAATTAAAAACCTGGCATGGATTGAGTCTCTCATGTATTTTTCTTGTAGTCTCTTTGCTTACTGATTTCTTCTGAAGTGGCTTGTTTATCTGTGATTGGTTTTGGTTTTTTTGGTAATTGCAGCTGTCTTGTCTTTTGATATGTGCTTACATTTCTTTCCCACTCTGTTGCTGATTTATCAGTTTCTTCTCAGGATAGCATAAGACTGAGAAGAGCTTCCATGCTTTCTTCATACTCAGTGTTTTGGTGCTATATTGGTTTACTTTCGAGAGGTCAACTTCATTCTCTGATAATAAAAATTCTAGAGTATGCAGTGTTTTCTAGGTAAGCTGACCATACTCCTTGAAACAATTCTGCTTTCTAGTGTACTATCCTTGTTTGTATAAATAAATAGACAACTGAGAAAAAATATTGTTGGTTCCTTAGGTGTGCAATCATAAACTTTTCTAGATATTGCCAAATTGCTTTCCACGGTAAAGATGAGAGAGTTCCTGGTGTTCGTCATCTCTGCAAATAGCTAGTACTGTTGGACTTTTAAATTGTGACCAGTTGATTGAATGGTATCTAGTGTAGTTAATTCAACAGATATTTAAGTACCCATTGTTCCAGCTATTGGCTTAGAGGCTGGACATAGAGTGGTGAACAGAACAGATATAGACACCTGTCTCACAGAGTTGACTTTCTAGAGGGTAGAGACAAACAAGAAGAGTATATAAAATGTTAAATGCTATAATTGCTTAGAATAGAAATAAAATGAGGAAGGGCTGTTAACCAGTTTTAGAAGTAGCCAGGGGTCTTACTGAGAATATAACATTTGAGCAAAGATCTGAGGAGGGTGAGGGAGCAAGTGAGGATATCTATGGGAAAAGTGTCCCAGGCAAAGGGAATAGCAAGCTCAAAGGCTTTGAGATAGGAGGATAGGGAATCGCAAGGAAGGCCAGTGTGGCAGAAGCAACGTGAGCGAATATGCGATGGGGTCAGAAAGGCATTATCCAGCCAGATCGCGTAGTATTGTAGACCATTGTAAAGATGTTTTCTTTTATTCTGAGTGAGATGAAAAACCAGCGGAGGGTTTGAAGAGAAGAGTGATATAACACTCCTGTGTTAACAGGATCACTCTGCTGTGTTGGAAGGAACTGAAGACTGGCAAGAGGGGAGCGGGTAGACTAGTTAGGAAGCCACTGCTACTACTAGTAGCAGGTAGACTAGTTAGGAAGCCACTAATAATAATCCAGGTAAGCAGCGGTGGTGGTTGCTGGGTCCAGAGGAGAGCAGTGGAGGTGGTGAAAAGTGGTTGGGTTAGATCTACGTAGAGAGAAGAGCAGAGAGCACTTGCAAATGCTGGGTATGAGAGAAAAAGATACGTAAGGATGACACTAGGTTTTGGGTCTGAACAGTGAGAAGAAGGGAGTTGCCCTTAACTGAGGTGTGTAAGTTATAGGAGGTACCAGTGTTGCATGTATTAAAAGTGAGATGTCACTTTGATACCTGTTGCAGTCAGAATTCCTTAATAAATGGCTGGCACACTCAATATAATTGAACACTTTGACAAAGGAATCATTTACAAAGGTATGTGTAGAGTCTAATGAAAGCACTGAGGTAGTGCTGTGTTGAGAGGGCAAGTAGCGGCAGAGATGTTACCACCCTAGTTACTGGAAATTTGAAGGGAGTCATAGAGAGTTGGCCTTGGGAGAATGAATCACCTTCGGTGAGGGGACTCAGCCAGTGAAGATGACCCCACTCTGAGAGAGTCAGAGGAATAAACATTCTCTTCCTCCCTCTGCCAAGGCTTCCATAAGTCTAACCTACTGGAAGCCAGAAGACAAGGGAAGTTGTAATCCATATTGGTCAACCTTCTAGGGTAGAACAGGTTGGAGAAGGGTGGAGGATAAATCTGCATTGGCACATGGAAGAGACCCAGCACAACATCTAATAGGCGACATGGAGCAGGCTGCTGGATAGAGGAATGTGGGGTTCAGGATCCAGGCCTGGGTTGGCAATAATACATTTGGGTGATGCCAGCCTATAGATGATATTTAAAGTCGTGAGAATGTATGAGATGACAGGGGGAGTTATTACCTAGAGAAGTACTGATTCCCAGGCACCACAGTGTCTAGAGTTTAGGGGAAAGAGAAGAGACCAGCAAAGGAGACTGAGCATGAGTGGTAGAAGAAAGAACCAGAGAGTGTAGTGTCTTTAAGTGTTTTGAAGCAGGAGGAGAGATCTGTATCAAATGCAGTTGATGACAATGAAGAATTGACTGTTAAATTTAACAGGAAGGTTATTGGTGATCTTCACAAGTGCAGTTTTGTTGGAGTGGTGGCATAAATTTTTTCTTGAATTTAAAAAGAATGTGGGAAGAGATGTTTGAGACAGCAGGTATAAATGACTTAATTTTAAGGAGTTTTGTTATAAAGGAAAGGAGAATAATGGGCTGGTGGGAGAAGTGAGTCAAGACTTTTTAATTTTTTCTTTTTTTGGCATTTCTTTTGTAGTGACAGGGTCTTCTTATGTTGCTTAGGCTGGTCTCGAATTCCTGGGCTCAAACAATCCTGCCTTGGCTTCCCAAAGTCCTGGGATTACTGATGTCAGCCACTATGCTTGGCCAGTTAAGACATTTTTTTAAAGGTGGGAGAAATAACTACATGTTTACTTGTTGATAGATCCAGAAAAGGGGACAAAAATCATAAGGGGAGGGGTGAGAATTCCTGGATCTGTGTTCTTTAGTAGATATGAGCTTGATAGGATCTATTGTGCAGGTGGAGGGATGGCCCATTGCTGGGGCTTGGGCAGTTTTCCAACTGTAATTGGAGGAAAGGCAGAATATATGGGCATAGATATGGGTAGATGGGTAGATGTCATGGAGGCTTGAGGAAGTGGTCTAAGAAAACCATGGATAAGTGTTGTGGAGGAGGTACTGGAAGTGGAAGGAGAGAGCAGAAGGTAAGAAATAGTTGTCAAGGAAGTGGGAAAGTATAGTTTCCTATTTTCCAAGTAGGAAAATGTGGTATAGATGTTGGGTGACAATAGGGGCCCACATGAAGTTGGTATTCATAAATTTAAGGTGAGAACAGGTATACTTTTCCCTGACTCATATTGTGCTGTATGGGTGCAGGCCCAGAAAGACCGGACGGAAGGGTAGGACTTAATCATGATTACAGTTTAGCAGAGCAAATGCAATGAAATGAGAGAGGGAAAAGGAGATGATTAGAATGATTGAAATGAATTTAAGTGGGATAAGGAAATAAGTGAAGATATGAGAGAAGATGAGGGGCAGTAAAAAGATATTGGGATCACAGGACTACAGATTTTTTCAGGGCAGAAGGATTATTGACCTTCTTGAGAAAGTGTGAGTTGGAGAGGTGGGAAGTGGTGGCTGTAGATTAGAATGTTTGACGTTGAGATTTGGTGGGGCAGGGGGTTGCGGATGACGGTAATGATATAGTCTTATATAAAAATACGGGTGTGCCTGGCTGTGAGTTGGTGTGGAGACCTCGTCTTTGGAGTTTTTAGTTTACATTTCCTTAGTTATTACTGAGGTTGAACATCTTTGTATTTGTGGTGCTTGCTTTCTTTGTGAACTGCTGCTCACATTCTTTGACCATTTGGCTATTTTGTTTCTTATTGATTTGTGGGTTAAAAAAAAAGTAGTCTTGATACTTATCTTTTGATATTTGTGTTTGCAGGTATCTCCTGATATGAGATTCACTTCTATAGTGTGTCTTTCAGTGCATTGTTTTAAATTTTAGTTGAATTTATCAATTTTCTATCCTACTGTTTATGCTGTTTTATGCCTTTAGAAATCCATCTTTCTCCCAAGGTTAAAGATGTTCTCCTATATTTTCTAGAAGTTCTAATTTTGCTTTTTTTCCTGAAGAATGTTACATTTTATTGTTTGCTACATTCTTGTGCCATGGTTTTCAGCCCCATCGGGTAATTTAAGGTCTTCTCTACGCTGTTTATTCTAGTTAGCCATTCATCTAATCTTTTTTCAAGCTTTTTAGCTTCCTTGCGATGGGTTCGAACAGCCTCCTTTAGCTGGGAGAAGTTTGTTATTACCAGCCTTCCGAAGCCTACTTCTGTCAGCTCATCAAAGTCATTCTCCATCCAGCTTTGTTCTCTTGCTAGCGAGGAGCTGCGTTCCTTTGGAGGACAAGAGGCGCTCTGGTTTTTAGAATTTTCAGCTTTTCTGCTCTGGTTTCTCCCCATCTTTGTGGTTTTATCTACCTTTGGTCTTTGATGCTGGTGACCTACAGATGGGGTTTTGGTGTGGATGTCCTTTTTGTTGATGTTGATGCTATTCCTTTCTGTTTGTTAGTTTTCCTTCTAACAGTCAGGTCCCTCAGCTGCAGGTCTGTTGGAGTTTGTGGGAGGTCCACTCCAGGCCCTGTTTGCCTGGGTATCACCAGCGGAGGCTGCAGAACAGCAAATATTGCAGGACAGCAAATGTTGCTGCCTGATCCTTCCTCTGGAAGCTTCGTCCCAGAGGGGCACCCGCCTGTATGAGGTGTCAGTCGGCCCCTACTGGGAGTTGTCTCCCAGTTAGGCTACATGGGGTTCAGGGACCCACTTGAGGAGGCAGTCTGTCGGTTCTCAGAACTCAAACACTGTGCTGGGAGAACCACACCTCTCTTCAGAGCTGTCAGACAGGGACGTTTAAGTCTGCAGAAGTTTCTGCTGCCGTTTGTCCAGCTATGCCCTGCCCCCAGGGGTGGGGTCTACAGAGGCAGCAGGCCTTGCTAAGCTGCAGTGGGCTCTGTCCACTTCAAGCTTCCCCAGCCACAATGTTTACCTACTCGAGTCTCAGCAATGGCAGACGCCCCTCCCCCTGCCAGGCTGCTGCCTCACAGGTCTATCTCAGACTGCTGCGCTAGCAGTGAGCAAGGCTGTGTGGGTGTGGGACCCACCTAGCCATGTGTGGGATATACTCCTGGTGTGCCATTTGCTAAGACTGTTGGAAAAGCGCAGTATTTGGGCGGAAGTGTCCAGATTTTCCAGGTACAGTCTGTCATGGCTTCCCTTGGCTAGGAAAGGGAAATCCCCTGACCCCTTGCGCTTCCAGGGTGAGGCAGCGCCCCGCCCCGCTTCAGCTCGCCCTCCGTGGCCTGCACCCACTGTCCAACCAGTCCGAATGAGATGAACCAGGTACCTCAGTTGGAAATGCAGAAATCACTGTCTTCTGCATTGATCACGCTGGGAGCTGCAGCAGCATTTTAAAAACCCAAATGATATAATGTCCCACTAATGGCTTATGACCTGCAGTTTGGTGTGGTCTGAAGCATCTGATTCATTTAGTCATTTCAGTAACTTCGAAAAATGTCTGAGCAGAAACTCTTTAGTTTAATTAGGTCCCACCTGTCAATTTTTGGTTTTGTTGCAATTGCTTTTGAGGACTTAAGGACTCAAAAGTTTTCCCTTGGTATCCAAGAGGGATGGTTTCAGGACGCCTGTGGATACCAAAATCTAGGAATGCTAAGTCTCTGATATAAAATGGCAAAATATTTGCATATAACCTATGCAAAAAGTATAGATACCTTCCTTTATATACTTTAAATCATCTTTAAATCACTTATAATATCTAATGCAATGTAAGTGCTATGTAAAGTTATACTGTATTATTTTTTATTTGTATTTTTATTGTTGTATTGTTATTTTAAAATAATTTTCTTTATTCATTTATTTTTAGAGAGACAGGGTTTTCCTCTGTCACCCAGGCTGGAGTGCAGTGGCATGATCATAGCTCACTGCAGCCTTGACCTCCTGGGCTCAAGCAATCCTCCTGCCCCAGCCTCCTGAGTAGGTGGGACTATAGAGGTGTGCCACCCACACCTGGCTGATTTCTTCATTTTTTTGTAGAGACAGGACCTTGCTGTGTTGCCCAGGCTGGTCTTGAATTCCTGGTCTCAAGTGATCCTCTCTCTTTGGCCTCCCAAAGTGCTGAGATTACAGGTGTGAGCCACTGTGCCTGGCCAGTATTATTATTTTTTATTTTTAAAAAATATTTTTGATCTATGGTTGGTTAAATCTACCAATGTGGATGGTTGCCTGTATGTTATTTTTTTCTTCCCAAATTAGCTGGACCTCTGGTCCAATTCTCAAATGTTATTTGGAAGATAGACCTTTATCTAAGAGTACACCTTTATCTAAGAGTAGAGAATATAGAACTTCAAGAGTAGAGAATATAGCTTAACATATATTCTCTAAGTAGATTTCCATTGTAACAGTGAATTTTTGAAGACTTGTAATTAAAAAGTGAATTTCTATTTCACACACACTGTATGTATATGTCGATGCTCACTTTGGAAGATAGTTTGCCATTTTCTGATAAAACTGAAGATCTAGCACTTTCACCCTTAAAGGATACTCTAGAGCAGAGGTCCCCAACCTTTTTGGCACCAGGGACCGGTTTTGTGGAAGACAATTTTTCCACAGACCAGGGTGAGGATGACGGTTTCAGGATGATTCAAGCGTGTTACATTTATTATGTGCTTTATTTCTATTATTATTACATTGTGATATGTAGTGAAATAATTATACAACTCACCATAATGTAGACTCAATGGGAGTCCTAAGCTTGTTTTCTTGCAACTGGATGGTCCCATCTGGGAATGATGGGAGACTGACAGATCATCAGGCCTTAGATTCTCATAAGGAGCGTGCAACCTGGATCCCTTGCATGTGCAGTTCACAATAGGGTTTGGCTCCTATGAGAATCGAATGCTGCTGCTGATCTGACAGGAGGTGGCGCTCAGGCACTAATGCAAGCAGTAGGGAGTGGCTGTAAATAGAGAAGAATCTGCTCACTTGCCCACCACTCACCTCCTGCTATGCAGCCCGGTTCCTAACAAGCCACAGACCGGTACTGATCCATGGTCTGGGGGTGGGGGACCCCCTGTTCTAGAGAAACTCCAGCACGTGTGTGCCCAAATGTTCACAGCTGTATGTTCAGAAGAGCCTCAGATGGAAGCAACGCAAATATTCATTAATAGTGGAATGAATACTTAAATAAGTGGATGAATCTTTTCAACATAGCATGAAGTAAAAGAAACATGCCCACAGAATTCGTTAGTATGATTCTATTATATAAAGTTCAAACACAGGAAAAAAAAACCCTATTTTTTAAGGATGTATATTTAAATACTAAAGTGACAATCAAGGAAATGATTATTCCAGATATCATGATTGCGGTCACCTCTAGTGGGGAGATGAGGTGTAATGATTGAGGAGGGCCCGGTAGCAGGTGTGGTGTTGGCAGTATTCTATTTCCTGGCCTGGATGATTGTTATTTATGTTGGTTTAATAATTATTCTATAAGCTCATATGTATTATCAATTTTTTATTTTACAGATCTCTTTATAAAAGGAATAAAACTCTTTAAAAGTGGATTTCTAATGGTAAAATTTCTGTTACCACCATAGAGGTGGGAACCATTTTTGGAGAGGCAGCCCTTTCCAGCCTGCCTCCTTCCACTTGTGCCACACGGGCATTGCCTGCTCTGTTTGTTTCTGACCACTGACAGTGACACTCTCATTTTTATTAGTGGTGGATATGGGAAAGGGGACGGTTGTTCAAAGTCATACTTTTTCTGGTAAGATTGTGAGTCTTTAGGTGTCTTTGTAGAACTCTTTCTGTTAGTCTCTGAAAGAGATAATCATGCCTTTGGCTTTTCTTTTTGAACAGTATTCTTGGCAGTTCTAAGTTACGTTTCAAGAGCTTTGAAAATGGCACCCCACTCTTACCTTCAAACGTAAAAAGTAAGATCTATGAGAAATTTCTTCTGCCCTTCATTTTTTTTCCCCAAAAGTCAAATCATTGAATTCATGCAATATGCATTGTCTGTTCCTTTCAAGATGTCACAGATAGCCAGAGTTAGAAAAATGTTTAACAGTGTGAGCAGAATGCACTGGATCAATATTGAAGAAAACGTGGGGAAAATATTATGTGCAAGTCTGTAAACACTATTTTTAGAGATACAAATAAAAACGAAATAACCAGACTGCAGTTTGGTCAGTATAGTTGTTGTCTGTGCATATTTTTGCTTAAAACTATTATATATTTTCTTCAATTTAATTTTATGAAAAGCTATTTTGGGTAGGAAATTTTAATTGTAATGACATTGGAATTTCTTCCCTCCTCTGTTCCTTGTGCCAACAATTAGACTGAAGGGAAAAGAAAGGATATTACTCTAGCAGCCTGTACTTTTAAATTAAACCTCGAACCTTTTCTTTCCATGAGGCAACAAGACAGTTTTATTTGTCCTCATTGATTCAGCTCATTTTTTTCCCTCTTCTTGTATGGTATATAGTTTGTGCCAATATAGTCTCATATTACAAAGGCAATATAGTAGAAGAAGATTCTTCCCTTTGATATTTAAAACATCTGAAATAACACAAACAGAACTATAAATTAAAAAATTTGTTCTGGCTGACAGGGCTAAAAAAATTTTCAATTGGATAACCAAAAAAATAAAAACAAGGAAAACTCCGATAACAAAAAAACTTTTCCTTGTAGCTGAATATTGAATATTGGGCCTAATTTGATTTTCTTTTTTCTTTTTTTTTGAGACGGAGTCCTGATCTGTCGCGCAGGCTGGAGTGCAGTGGCGCAATCTCGGCTCACTGCAAGCTCCGCCCCCCGGGCTGACGCCATTCTCCTCCCTCAGCCTCCCGAGTAGCTGGGACTACAGGTGCCCGCCACCACGCCCAGCTAACTGTTTTGTATTTTTTTAGTAGAGACGGGGTTTCACCTTGTTAGCCAGGATGGTCTCAAATCTTCTGACTTCGTGATCCCCCTGCCTTGGCCTCCCAGAGTGCTGGGATTACAGGCGTGAACCATCGCGCCCGGCCTGATTTTCTTTTTAAAAACCTTCAAAAGATAAGAGCAGAATTTGTGTGCTAAACTGCTAGTCTCCAGCGCCATTTTGTGTTTTCTGTTGTTTTGAAGCAATTCTTTGTTTTTGCTGGTCCAGCTGCATCATTTTCATCATCCTGAACTATCATTTTCCTGCCCTGAAGTTGTGCATTTCCTTTAGCAGATCCAGCCTAGGCAGCTTTATTTCCCTTTCTTTTTCCTTTAAATCTATGACCTTTTGATTCTCATTTGTTTAGAGATTCTTGGTGATTTTGCATGAGTTTTTTTCAGTGTTTCTTTTTCTACCTTTCTGTCTAGTAATTTCCACATCTCTTCCTTGTTTCTTAGTCATAGGTTACAATTGCTGGCTGCTTCTGCTTTATTTAGTGTTTCTTTAGCTTTTTTCTTACATAGAATTAATCTCTCTTTTGCTCTACTGATAAAGTGTATCCATTTTATTTCCCCATGATTTGAGAAAAGGATATGTGGGTGCTTTCTACAGGTCACATTATCTAAGTCATCCCAAAATTTCAGCAAACATTCAATCTAGACATTTCATTTGAGCATCCTCAGCACTTCTGTTTTTTTTTTTTTAAAGTTTATTTTTGTGGGTCCGTAGTAGATATATATATTTACTGGGTATATGAGATATTTTGGTACAGGTATGCCATGCATAATAATCACATCATGGAAAATTGGGTATCCATCCTCTCAAGCATTTATCTTTTGCAGCACTTCCATTTTTCTTCTTGCTCTTGCTTAGCTCTGAATTTAGTTTATACTTTGTTTTGCTTCATTCTTGTTTTGCAAAATAATCCTCCTTGAAAAGTGTTAGAAGGTCTGTATTTTTATACCAGGGTTCAGGGCCAGGGTCTCTATAAACTTTTTATTGGATTTAATACCGTCAAACACTGCACGTGTTGATTGCTTAAATGCTTTGTGTAATGTTTTTCTCATTTGAATATTTAGTGCTTGTCCTTTATCTTCTAATCTTTAAAAGATTAGACATAAAATAATTATGTCATCAGGAGTTGCATCCATTGGGAAGCCTTTCATATGAATGGATCTGGTTTTACATCATTTTTTTCTACTCATCAGTTGCCAGAGGGACATTTTGTACTAATCAGAGGGAGGTTTGTTTGGAAAAATCTTCTGATTTTAGTTTTATCTGTATTTTCATTAGTTCTGCCTTTGATTTGTTCAGTGCTTCTATTATATTAAAATCTGTTGTTAGGTAATTTAACCTGTTGAATTTTGTTATTTCCAGAGGTATCCAGCTTTCATCCAATTTAGTCTGTTCCTTTTAAAAATTCGTCTTACGGCAAATTAAAGTCATCAAAATGATACTTGATTTGATGGTGGTAGGTTTCGGTCCCCAGAGCAGCCATTGTTTTCACTATCACCATTTTTGGCTGCTGTGGTTATCTTTCCGGTCCCAGGCCCCCAGAGCCGAGCCATAGGATCGCTAGCAGAGACTGTACTTTCAAGTTCACATGAAGGACTGTTTATTTTTAAATGTTTATTATTAGATAATTTAAGCTAGTTATACTGGACATGGCTTAATGAGAGAACGTTAGTGAATCTTTTCTGAGTTTAAGTTGTATTCCAGATACTCTTCTGGTTATCAAATGACTTATATTCCAGTTACTCTTCAGTTAGACAACTGGCTGCATCATCAAATCATCTGGGTACTACATTCTTTTCTTTTCTTTTTTTTTTCAGACAGGGTCTCACTCTGTCGCCCATGCTGGAGGGCAGTGGCGTGATCTCGGCTCACTGCAGCCTCTGCCTCCCAGGTTCTAGCGATTCTCCTGCCTTAGCCTCCTGAGTAGCTGGGACTATAGGCACGCACCTCAACGCCTGGCTAAGTTTTTTTTGTTTTGTTTTGTTTTTTTTTGAGACGGAGTCTCACCCTGTTGCCCAGTCTGGATTGCAACGATGCAATCTCGGCTCACTGCAACCTCTGCCTCCCAGGTTCAAGTGATTCTCCTGCCTCAGCCTCCTGAGTAGCTGGGATTATAGGCGCCCACCACCACGCCCGGCTAATTTTGTGTATTTTTAGTAGAGACGGGGTTTCACCATGTTGGCCAGGCTGGTCTCAACTCCTGACCTCAAGTGATCCTCCTGCTTTGGCCTCCCAAAGTGCTGGGATTAGAGGTGAGCCACTGAACCCGGCCTCATCTGGGTACCACGTTCTAATAGCATCTAGTGTATCCGTCTCAATTGCTATTGTCTCTTCTTTGTATGATTATCTTTTAGACTCATACCTCTCCTTAAAAAAATTAAGATAATTTTAGGTGGGTTTTGGGAAGGAGAGCAAATAAATGCTTCTGATCAATGTCATATTTAATTGGAAGTTGATAAATTCTCTTTACTTGATCTGGAAAGATAATAAAAGGTTATTTTTGATAAAGTCCTTAAAGAAAATCAGGGTAGAAGCTCTTCTAAAATAAAACACATGAAACATGAATTCAGAGACTATGAAAAGGGACGGCTGTAGTGTTAGTATTGTGGTAGGAAAGGCATCTTTTCAGTAGTGTGCCTGAAGTGTAGTATATGTGTTTAGGTGGTGGAATAGAAGGAACACTTGGTGGGCGTCAGGGGATCTTAGTTTTGGTTTTGGTTGTCTTAGAACCTTTTTTTTTTTTTTAAACTCCAAACAAAACCAGCTGTTAGAAATAATACCTCCTTGCTTTAATCTAGGGGTAGTTGTGACGATCATGTGGAATTATTTTACAAATTATAAAGTTCTATACAAAAGCTAAGAATTACTTTTTAGGTGAAGAGAAACAAACTGTTGGGTTAGAATATACTGTGGGTCATATTTGAAATTAGGTCATTAACACGGGGCTGTCATGAAAATATCCAAGCATGGTACTAACATATATATGTAATTAGAAAAATAAATGATCATTAACTCATCTTCTCTTTTATTTAGCTTTTTTGTGTGTGTTTGTGTGGGATTTGTTGAACTATTTTAACTTCTGCAACTATAGAGGTGATACAGGGAACTTGAAAGATGATTAAAAATAAGAAAAAACAGGATTTATGATGAAAGGTTTAGGATGCTAAGCAAAAGAAGCCTGAGAAATGGTTTAATAATTTGTGTTTTCCAAGCTGTAAAGACAAAGGAAAAAAAAATCAAATGTGCTTAAACTAAAATACAGGGGATTTAGATTAGCCATTTGTGTTATGAGTGTTAACTGGGCATCCAAGGGATAGTTGGGAAATCACCTTTACTGAAAATCTTTCAAAATGGATTTGGTTTCATTTAATGGAAATGGGTTCAACAATGGTCCTTCTTGCTGCATGGGATAGAGCAAGGTCATTTATCAAGGAGTTTTTTCAACCCTGTAATTCTGTTCTCTTGTCTTTTAATTTTGCGATAATTCTACAGTGTTTTACTTGTGTGTTAAGTGAGCACACCCAGTGTCCTCAGAAGGGTTAGGCTTCATAAATAGGCAAGACGTGTGTGTGTAAATGAGCCCTGTGGCCACTAGTGACCCTGCAACCACAGGTGACCTTAAGCTAACAAGCTGATGGCGGTCATCAGTGCTGTCATTTCCTGAAACCTACCAGTTGCAGGCTGTGTGTGAGATGTGTTACACGGGCACATTCTCTATTTCATTAAATCCTAACTTTAACTTAATAGGGTAGGTTTCATTATCTCTATTCTATACATGTAGAAACTAAGCCTTAGAAATAAAGTTCAACAATTTGTACAAAATTCTCATATCTCTTAGGTAGCAGAATCAGGATTCAAACTTAAGTATGCCTGGCTTCAAGGTTGGAATTTTTTGCACTTGATACTGTTCATTAAAATCGAAATATATTGTTGATTATCTGAAACTAAAAAAAACTATGTTTATTGTATATCACTGTCTAAGATACACATTTTTTGTTTCTGCAAAAAAAGAAGCTGTGTTGTTTACACTTGGTCTGCAGCTTCAGAGAAGGTTTGTGGTTGGTTAAGAAGCTGCCTTTGGGCTGGAGGCAGGCACCTGGACAGAAGCCCCAAGGCTTGGGAGCTGCAGCCAGGCCTCAGGGCACTGCACTGTGAGGCTCCCAGTTGTGTTGGAGGGTGAGTCTTTTGGCCTATGGAAGTTGGTCAGGTGGTTTTCCTTCTTGATGCATTTCACCTCCTTGTGTAGACAGTCACAGAGAATGTGGGTCTGTGTGGCCATAACCCAGGGCATGCAGACCCAGCAGGACCTGGTTAGGGTTTTCCATGGGGCCAGAAAGCTTCCTAGGCATCCAGGGTGTGATCCCACTCATCTTGGGGCAGCTTCTGCATGCAGCGCTGATTATGAATCTTCTAGGCATGCTTGTTTGCCAACTTGTAGCAGAAGTGGTTCCTGCCTTCTGGGGCCACACTGTTGCAGTTGAAACAAAAGCCCAAAGAGAGAAAGAGAGAGATAAATAGAGGAGGCCTGCAGATGCAGGTGGACCAAGCAGCTGGCAGCAGCCTTGACCTCAGTGGAATAATTCTGGTAGATTTGGGAGCTCATGGTTGGAGAAAAAAACCATTGTTCGCTGGCCTGAGAAGAAGGGGATGGGCAAAGAGATGGTCCCAGAGGCTGCAGCTGGGGAGGAGAGTGGAGCGTAATCTGAGGCTGGAGTAGGGAAGACCTTGAGTCTGTGGGTTTATTCCATCCTAACACTGTGGAGGCAAGAGACTGTCTGGTGGCTGTCCATTGTTTTTCTCTTTTCCTTTCCTGGCCTTTCCCTTTCCCTTCCCCTTTTGTTAAATAAAAAGCAAGCCAGCATAATAAATGAATTTGATCTTAGTTTATCAAATGAAAAAACCTTCAAATGTACCTTTTCCAACAGAAAGGTGACATATGCAAAAGAATAAAGCACATATGGGATACTGCATTGTACATTCTTAGTCACTGTCATATGTGGAGTGGGATGGAAAGAATATCCTCACATAATTTGTTGTGAGAATACTGCACTGGTCTCAGAATTTTCAGTGACCTGAGAATGGAATTAATGCTAATGAATTATGAATATATACTGTTTAATTTAGAGGCATTGAGTGGTGAGGATGTCAACATACTGCTTTTCATAACCTGTGGTGAGAATTCCTCTTGGAAAAGTAAATCTATATTTTATCTGTTTATTTAGCACTTGAAAAGAACCTGGGCTGGGCGCGGTGGCTCATGCCTGTAATCCCAGCACTTTGGGAGGCCGAGGTGGGCGGATCACGAGGTCAGGAGATCGAGACCATCCTGGCTAACATGGTGAAACCCCATCTCTACTAAAAATACAAAACAATTAGCTGGGCATGGTGGCACGTGCCTGTAGTCCCAGCTACTCGGGCGGCTGACACAGGAGAATCGCTTGAACCTGGGAGGCGGAGGTTGCAGTGAGCCAAGATTGCGCCACTGCATTCAAGCCTAGGTGACAGAGTGAGACTCTGTCTCAAAAAAAACAAAAACAAAAACCTGATATAGAGCCTTATGGTCATGATCTATTATATCCTGTGTATTGCACATGAAGGAAAATATTGTCTTTAATAATATTACTGCTGGTTTTTAAAAAATCATTAAGTTTCAGAAAGCTTGCTTTCTTTACCTCTTACTTTCTAGCTAAGTAGATAATTAATGTGGTTTTATATTTACCTTTAAAATTCTGTAGTTGTAGAGTCTTCTGCCTTGTGTTTATACAGAGTTTATAAAAATTTACAGTGGGCCGGGCGCGGTGGCTTACGCCTGTAATCCCAGCACTTTGGGAGGCCGAGGTGGGTGGATCACGAGGTCAGGAGATCGAGACCATCCTGGCTAACATGGTGAAACCCCGTTTCTACTAAAAATACAAAAATAAATTAGCCAGGCGTGGTGGCAGGTGCCTGTAGTCCCAGCTACTCGGGAGGCTGAGGCAGGAGAATGGCGTGAACCCGGGAGGCAGAGCTTGCAGTGAGCCGAGATGGCGCCACTGCACTCCAGCCTGGGCGACAGAGCGAGAGTCCATCTCAAAAAACAAAAAACAAAAAACAAAAAAAAAAATTTACAGTGAAATGTGAGGTTTTCACAAATAACCCTGAGAAACAAAAATCAACTTAATAGAATCCTAAATTTGTTATGCCATCATGAATTTCTGCCTCCATGGGGGAATGCTATGTGAGTTAGATCTGTCAGAGAGATATCAGGCACCTGGGCTTTCTGGCATTCTGCCCTTGAGAGAATCATGAACCTTTCAGTATTAGAGAAGAATCCTTAGAGATAGTTTTTTCACTGAACATTTCTTGAACTTCTATTTTTGAACATTTCCTAGAAATTAATAGAATGAAGCTTAAAAAGATTAAGTGACTGCGTACATGGCCACAGAATTGGGAACAGTAGTCTTTGGCTTCAAACTCAAGATTTCTAGCTTATAGGTACTTACTTACCAAACACTAAGGAATCAGGTGTATCATGCATCATGTCAGGTGCTGAGGGTACAGAAATGCCTACAACACAGTGCCTGCCTTTCAGAATATTGTTGGGAGAGCTGAATTGCAGTGGCCCAGACTGCTCCTGATGGGTATGTCAAGAATGCAAGGCTCTGACTGCTCTTTGTCTGAATTTCTCATAGTTGTGTTTCCAGCAAGCAACCCTGAGGGATGAGGTAATATCTCCCCCAGGGTTGCTTCTACTTACTCAAGGAACTTACTCTTACTGAAAAAGGAACACTGAGCTGAGGGCATGCACTCAGCTCAGTGTTCCTTTCTGGTAACAAAGGAACACTCAGCTCAGTGTTCCTTCCCTGTAATAAAGCCCACAGCATGTACAGGACTCTTTGAATTACCACTCTGAGACGGGGGCAATGAGGAACCAACAAAAATTAACATGAAGTTTGACTACTCCTTTTGCCAGAGACACCTTTTGTCTCTGGCCCAGGTGTCTCATGTCTTCTGCTAGCACCCATGAAACAGTAACAGGCTAACCTGTTAGCTTACAGATAAGGTGGAATCTCAGACCCTGCATAGTTATTGGCAAATATCTCTTGTGAGGTGATATAGATGTGAGGAAACCAACAAATACAGTTCAGTGTGACAGGTACAGAGTGCTGTGGGATACAGAATGCTGTGGGATAACCCAGGAAAGGTTCAGCTGGTCAAGGTCAAGGAGGCTTTTCTGATTCCACTGCTCTTGAGGTGAAAATATTGGTTGGTTCATCTCTTGAGGGTAGATCTTTTCATTGTTAGTGTATGACACAGGACATGGCACATGGTTCATGATGACAGAGCTTGCTGAATGAGTGAATGAACTGTTATTTGTGGTTATTGGGTGTGATTTACTGCATCAAAGGTCCCTATGTTTGCTACTAACGTTTGTCTCATTTTTAAAGACCGAAGTCCTGGGAAGATGTTTGTTCTTCAATGAAAAGCAACTCATATAGAAACCTACTATGAATAGGCTGGGTGCAGTGCCTCACACCTGTAATCCGAGCACTTTGGGAGGCCAAGACGGGTGGATCACCTGAGGTCAGGAGTTTGAGACCAGCTTGACCAACATGGAGAAACCCTGTCTCTACTGAAAATACAAAATTAGCCGGGTGTGATGGAGCATGCCTGTAATCTGAGCTACGCGGGAGGCTGAGGCAGGAGAATTGCTTGAACCAGGGAGGTGGAGGTTGCAGTGAGCCGAGATCATGCCATTGCACTCCAGCCTGAGCAACAAGAGTGAAACTCTGTCTCAAAAAAAAAAAACCCTACCATCAATCTATTCTAACAGGTGAGGAAAGTGACTGAGTTTGCAGAATATCTTGTATGTAGATTAACTTAATAAAATGACATTAAGGTCCAATTACTTATTTTGTAAACTTTTTATTTTCTAATACTTTTTAGATTTTTCAGAAGAGTTACAAAGATAATACAGTGAATTTCCGTGTACTTTCTACCCAGCTTCCCTTAATATTATTATTTTATATAACCATGGTATCTTTATCAAAACTAAGAAATTAACATTGGTATACCACAGACTTTATTTGCATTTCTCCAATTTTTTCCACTGATGTCCTTTTTCTCTTCTAACTCAGGATACCACATTACATTTATTCTTTGTATTTCCTTAGTCTCTTCTTATTTGTGACAGTTTCTCAGTCTTTTCTGAAATTGACACTTTTGAAGAGTAGACCATATTGTAGAATGTCCCTTAATTTGGGTTTTTCTGATTTTTTTTTTTTTCATGATGAGGCTGAGATTATGGATTCTGGGGGAGAATACCCTAAGATGATGTACCTTTCTTGTTGGATCATGTCAGTGGACACAAAATATTTATAGGACTTACTGCTGATGATGTTAACTCTGATCACTTAGTTACTCTTAGTTACCACTTAGAAACCTCCGTCAGGTTTCTCCCTGTAAACTCCCTGTTTTTCCCTTTCCATTTATTGTTCACTAGCAGCGAGTCACTAAGTCCTGCTCACACTCAAGACGATGCGAGTAAGCTTCATCCATGGAAGGAGGAATTTCTGGGCATGTGTTAAAAACAATGACAGTAAATAATGTTTTGAGGCTATGCAAAGATACTGTTTTTCCTTAAAAGTTCAGGGGAACTAGTTCTCTCTGAAGCCAAGAATTGCCTTGGACAAGAGGTCAAGTTATAATGACTAAATACTTGCCCTTTTTATTTATGCTTTACTGCAGATCTATCTGTATTATAAATGGTGCTATTCTTGTGTCATTGACCCTTCTGTCAATTTCTTTGAAGAATGGAAGCGTTTATGTTAACTGAATGGGGTTAATGAGGGTACGTTTGTAAAACAAGGTGAAACATCAATAATTGATTTTAATTTCTTCCTCATTAATCAGTTACAAAAAGCTTATTTTATCTTTTGTCATTTGTTGGTTACCAAGAAGCCATATATATGTGTGTGTGTGTATGTGTGTGTATATATATGTATATATATATATACACACACATACACACACGTGTGTATATATACACACACACATACACACACACACACACACACACACACACACAGAGTATGGACATATATGTATATGGTTAGCTATATCCCAAGTGATTTATATATCCACGTCTAAAATCCGTTGCTCAGAAAAACCTGCCTTAATGTTGTGCTTCTTGTGCAAGAGACAGTCATGGTCCATGCAGTTAAGAGGTGCAGTCTTTCAAAAATTATCCCAACAGGAGTTGATGGGTAGGAAGGAGGCATGTCCCAGTGATCCAACAGTCATCCCAGGACATGCTAACCATTTGACTGATCTCCCTCAGAAGTTGGGATAATTCTAAGGTAGCCTTTGTTGCTTTAGGGGTGTTGTCCAGATGGGCTGGTCCAGAGAGAGAGAGAGAATGTGGTTGATGTGTTTTTCGATTCATAAGGGGAAAACATCATGGGGAAAGCATCATGGTATTTGGATGTACAACATAACTACATTCTTTACTGCTGTTCTTGGAAATGCCATAACCTAAACAAATTCTTGTTTCCATTACTAAATTCAAAAATTTTGAGTCAGTGCAGTGGTAGATATGGGTAAACATTTATAGCATTTAAAAAAAATTGTAAAATCTTAAAAAAGGATCAAGATTTGGCAGTGCTGAGTTAATAGCAGTCAATCAAATTGAATTTGACCATTGGGACTGAGATTTGGCCTCTTAACCATATGTTATTGCTTTGCTCCAGAAAATATTTTAGTAGTATTATCAGAAATACTTCCATTTATTTTTTTCCTTTTTTAATTTTTATTTTTGGCAGAGCATAGCATTTGGTAATTCTTGGGGTCATTACTAGGGTTTGGATTGGGATGGGAGAGGGTGTGATCTTATAGGAATTTGAAATTGAGAAGGCAGCACTGCTGAAAAATGCATTAGGGCCAACCTCTGAATTAGATTGGCTTAATTTGTTGGGGGCAGAGCTGCAGATGCAGCTCTACATCTGCAGAGATGTAGGTGTTAACAAATGTGTTAAAATAACTCTTATTTAGTGCTGGGTGTGGTGGTTCATGCCTGTAATCCCAGCACTTTGGGAGGCTGAGGCGGGTGGATCATCTGAGGTCAGGAGTTCAAGACCAGCCTGGCCAGTGTGGTGAAATCTTGTCTCTACTAATAAAAAAAAAAAGAAAAAATACAAAAATTAGCAGGGCATGGTGGCATGTACCTGTAGTCCCAGCTACTAGGGAGGCTGAGGCAGGAGGATTGCTTGAACTTGGGAGGTGGAGGTTGCAGTGAGCTGAGGTTGGAGTGAGCCAAGATCGCGCCACTGCACTCCAGCCTGGGCAACAGAGTGAGACTCCGTTTCAAAAACAAAAAAACAAAACTTGTTTATAGAGTACCTGGCTAGATATTTGGTATTTTGTATACATTTTGTTTAAATTCAAAATAGCCCTTCAGTGTTAGTATTAGACAATTTTATAGATGAGATAAATTAAGCTCAAAGAAGTTAGGTAACAAGGATCACATAACTAGTGTGTAATGGAACTGCAGTGTGAATTCCTTTCAATCTGATTCCAAAACCCATGACTATTCTTTATATTGCACTCTCGCCCCCTGTGGTATGCATACAGTTGGCTATGCAGCAGTAGGCCCTTTTGGTGTATTGTATAGAAAATGAGCCATTTCATTGTTTGGGAAACTTGTGTTTCCTCCCCTTCCCCCCATTTTTAGTATCTGTTAAAAGAAGAAAGCTTTTGGCTACTTAAAAAAACTTGGTTATGTTTAGTTTGGTGCCTTTTGATCTGGTCATGACAATGGGAGCAATACTCTTATGCTTGCTACTTGTTTCATTTAAACTGAAAAGTCCGGAAAAAATATATTAGTACGCAGGAGTGCTAACTTGCAAATGAGTTTTTCTTGACTGCTAATAACTCAAGCAAAAAGATAATTATGTGTTATAAACTGTGCATGCGGAAAGTGAAATGAAATTCATCCGCTTCATATTTTTTAGGAAAATTGATAAGGCATCGCTGTTAATATTTTTCACATTACCTTTTGGATTTCTTAATTCAGATATTTTCTCTCCACAATTTTGAGAGAAAATTAAGAGGGGTTGCTGTCCAAAACTGGGGAGTCTTGGAATCAAGTTGTGATTGTATGTTTATATAAAAACTCAGTGTGACCTCAGCAAGTCACAGCATTTTTTCAATTTGATGATCTCTATTTTAAAGTGAGAAAGTTTTTACTTGCAGAGTGTTTCTGAATCCTATGTTAATCTTTTTTAAGTTCTGATTGGAGGCTCTAGTGATACGATTTTTAGGGCAGGCTACATTTAGCTGTATTTTTTCCATTATATTTTGAAGTCAGAATGGTATTGCAAGTTAGTAATTTTCATACTCTTGTTGATAATGTTTTGCATATGGTACACATGGGATTTGGGAACTAGTTAAGGTCCTTGCCTACACTCTGCTTAGAGCAAGAAGTAATTTGGGGTTCTCCGTGTACAGATAATGATAAATGGGCCAAGTTGTGGGGCAGGTTTCACTTTAGACCTTGCCTCTCTTTTCTGTGTGTCACTCCCTTTTCTTTCTTATGTGCATGACTACCTACTGTAGTGCCCAAGGCTTTAATATACTCATTGATGCCTTTTGCCTGATCTCCCAGGATACCCATACATGTATATTTAATATTCGTAGTTTGTGCTCATGTCATATATGGCCATCAGCCCACAACAAGAGAAATCAGAGGACGTGTTGCCTGGGAGGCAGCACGTTTGGAGAGTTCATGTGTGGGACGGTACTATAACAGCCTTGCGTAAGTAATGCAACAGGTAAGGTGGAATCACGTTAGAGCAGGCTGTTGCACTGAGGTCTTGTCAAGTTAAGACATTACCAGTGCGATGATTCTTGAAAGGTGTGCTGCTGACAAAAAGATGTTATTAAATCTAGTCTGTGTGGGAGTGTGCATGTCTGTCAGCTATACAGTATAATTCCTAAATAAGAACTTGCTGCTCCTGACATACTTACATACTTTAATGTGTCTTCAGCTCTACATGTTTAGGTTCCTTGTACCTATTTCTTCTGTGCCTAGTTGCTCTGAGTCATACTAGTTTACTATGAGATAATGTTAAACAATATCATGGATTCAACCAGGATGTCTTAAATCTTCTCCCTTGTTATTCTCATTCTTTTTTTTCCTTTACAATCATAGTGAAAAAGTGAGCTGATTATTTTTTAAAACCCAGAAACCAGAGATTTAACAAATTCATAGCTAGAACAAGTTAGTGTTCACCTGAATGGTTTTCTCTAATACCAATCTTGAATCTCTTGGATTGCTCATGCTATTCTAATTAACCAGCAGTTGATAAAAGAAAAATATATAAGCATATATGCATTGCATTTTTCTTGACCACTGGAGCTCCTTAGTGTTTCTCTACATGTGTCCTTTACGATTCCTGAGGATGCCTAACGAACTTCTCTTAGTTTAGTAAAGCTGACATGTTATGAACCATTGGTGTCTTTTTTCTCACTCTTCAGGAACATTATAGAATGTTCATTCTGAAAACAGATAACATTTGGTCCAAATCTTTCATTTTTTAAAGGAGGAAACCGAGGCTCATAAAGGTTGAGGTTTAACTTAAGGCCATACAAGTATTTGTGGGAGATGAATTGCTCAGATAAGAGTGTTTTCTGTAGGTTCATAAATAGTGCAGTTTTATTTGCTTGCTTGTTTTTGAGACAGGGTCTTGCTTTGTTGCCCAGGCTGGAGTGCAGCCTCAACCTCCTGGGCTCATGTGATCCTTCCACCTCAGCCTCCTGAGTAGCTGGGATTACAGCCACACCCTAGCATGCCCGGCTAATTTTTGTATATGGTTTTGCCATATTGCCCAGGCTGATCTCAAACTCTTGGGCTCAAGCAATCCTTCCTCCTTGGCCTCCCAAAGTGCTGGGATTGCAGGCATGGGACACCGTGCCTGGCCAACCGTGCAGTCTTTAAATAATAGCCTAGATACCCATTTAAATTCCAATTTTTATTTTGAAGAGGGGTTTACGAGGTGACTCTTCTGTGGTTGTGTCCTTTGGAGTAAGCTATAATCAAATTGATATGCAGAGAGGAAGTAAACGGTTCTTTATTAGAGTAGACTTAAAATGTGGAATATTCTCAAGTATGTCAACCTTTCTAAACAGGATGAAAAAGAAACCTGGAGCATTATATGAGCCAGTAGGTCCCATTTATTGTCTGTTTTTTTATTTATCTTGTTCTGCTACCCCTACTCCTTACTTTTGCCTGGCATGGACATACATCTCTTTCCTCTGTCCATTTTTCACATGTTTGTTCTTGTTAGACTTGGGACTTCAGGGTGAAAGTGAACATTATTCTCTGGTTTCTTCTAAGTTTGTGGTTTATTAATATATCCTTCTAATATTTCTTGGGTGTAGGAACCAGGGGAAAGGGAAAAAGTAAGGCCGAATTCTGTTTTTCTCAAATGCCTGGGGACGAATTTGTACACCTTAATTTTATTTATTTTTATTTTTATTTATTTATTTATTTATTTTGAAACAGAGTCTCACTCTGTCACCCAGGCTGGCATGCAGTGGCGTAATCTTGGCTAATTGCAACCTCTGCCTCCCAGGTTCAAGCCATTCTCCTGTCTTAGCCTCCCAAGTAGCTGGCATTATAGGTGCCTGCCACCATGCCGGCTAATTTTTGTATTTTTAGTAGAGACAGGGTTTCACCATGTTGATCAGGCTGGTTTTGAACTCCTGACCTCAGGTGATCCTCCCACCTCGGGCTCCTAAAGTGCTGGGATTACAGGCGTGAGCCATCGTGCCCGGCCTGTACGCTTTAATTTTCATTTGATGTTTTATTTCCAATTATTAAATGTACTCCCCCACTCTGTTTTTCTCACTCAAGAGACTTCCTGTGTCTACAGTGGGTTTGCTGTAGTCTAGTACCACACATGTTCAGAGGATGCTCAGGAAATATTAGTAATACGTGTCACTTTGTTCAGAACGGCCAGTCTGCATTGGTTCTGCCTAGAGAGAAATTTCCTCTTTCTTCATGTACTTGGATCGCTAAGGTTTTCTGGTTGAATTTCTATGTTTTTAAAATAGTTTTATATAGACATAGTGACTTTTGAAATGGTCCTCCCTCCCTCCCTACCTCTCTCGCTTCCTCCTCCATCCTTCCATCCCTCCCTCCCTCCCTCCCTTCCTCTCTTCCTTTTCTTCCTTTCTTTTTCCTTTTCTCTTTCTCTTTCTTTTCTTTTCTTTTTTCTCTGTTTTGACAGGGCTCGTTCTGTCACCCAGGCTGGAGTGCAGTGGCGTGTTCACAGCTTGCTGCGGCTTTGACCTCCTGGGCTCAAGCAATCCTCCTGCCTTGGCCTCCAAAGTGTTAGAATTACACGGGTGAACTACCACACCTGGCCTGAAATAGTCCTTTCTAATTCAAACCTGGCTGTTTTGCCAGGGAGGACTTACTTGCTCTGAGACCATATTATTGGAAACTTAGAGTGTAATAGAGAACGTTTGATTCTTCACTTGTAGAAATAGTCAGAATTTCAAGGTTCAAAATTTCACAGACATAGACATAGGGCTGTAATGAGAAGGAAAATATGTATGTACCATCCTTTCTTCCAAAGTGTCCTTGGAGGAGAGCAAGCATAAGAATGGTGCTCAGTGAGGCCACGAGGCTGGGATACAACACCCTGAATCAAAGCACGCTGTCATAGCCTCCTAACAAAAGAGAATGTCAAGGTTTGAAACCGGAATTCATTATAATATGCAGTATTTTATGTACTTGTAAATAAAAGTAAGGGAGTATAGGAGGAGATGATAAGGGGAGGATTTGTTTTGAATCTGTCTCATCTTCTGCTTTGTTGAAGTGCTAATCAGATGATCTTTCTATCCTACCAATATATGAGAAAAAGTGTCTTAGAGTAAGAGTATTGGAGCTTGTTCTTGTTATCCTAAAGGCAAGCTTCCCTGTCTCATGTAAGAACTCCAGCTTTTTGTGTTCCCTTTAAATGTATATTTTGTGTTTTTTGTTCATTTTGTTGCTAAAAAAGGTAGTGCGGATTTTGTTAGTGAGGAGACAGCCTTTCAACCTTCCTATCTCCTTGGTACCAATTTAAGCCAAAAATTATTTTTTTCTATACAAGATATTAACCTTGCCATAACTAATTCATGCCATTGTGACCATGAGTTTAGCTATCTCTTTTCTATATAAGGAATCACTGCTGGGAATTGGTTTCCTTCCCAAGGGACCCTGTAATTTTGATTATTTTACTTCCATCCAGGATGTCACTATACCACAGGAGGCTGGCTGACTCAGGGATGGGAAGAAAAGGCATAGAAAAATAAAGTAGCTTATGTTTCTATGCCTAGGATGTTTGTTTCAAAAGTTCAGCTGGGGATCTGAGACAGGAAAGGTACAATAAATTTATGTTAAAAATTTCAGCTGGTCATCTGAGACAGGAGAGGTACAATACATTTATGTTAAATTTTTTTTTTGTTTCTGTCTTGCTGTTTACATTTATTTAAAATATTTTAAATGGAGATATACCATTATGCCTGCAGAAGGTCCTATTCCTGATACTTAAAAAGCCTAAATAAAGATATATAAATTTTAACCAGTTCCTAATACACTTACAGAATAAAAGTGTGTTGTCTACTGGAGTTTTTCTTCCCAGATCCATTTATGGAGAGGCCATAAAAAATCTGATGCGGGCATGGCAGAAATTTATATTAAAGCTGTGTAATAAGTCCATGGGTATTGGTTGTTGGTTTAAAATAACTCTACTTAAAATTGAATCTCAAGAATATATTTGAAAATATTTTAAAGTATTTTAGAGAAAAAAGCGACATTACTCACTTAGGAGATTGACTTCAAAGCAGGAATCATTTGAGATTTTGGATGAATAGTTATGAGAATTCCTTAGTGAACAGGACAGTGCTGGAGATGATCACTGAATGCAAATGAATACATTGTAATATAAATAGTATGTCATAATAATTGAAACATGGCTTTTTTAGATGGAAGATCATATTTCCTCTTTTAAAAGTTGATTTTATCCAATATATCCTGCTGGTTGTAATATTTAGTTATATATGGAGGTTCAAGCTTAAATACTTGAGCCCCATCTCACTTGCAAAAGCAAGTAAATTGCAGAGTTCACAAACCTGGAAACAACTCAGGACAACTCCAGTGTTTGGTATAATGTTGTTAGGTGAAATAATACTAGAATATTATGCAAGGGACCTGGTATTTCTTTCTTTTCTTTTCTTCTTTTGAGACATAGTCACTCTGTCACCCAGGCTGGAGTGCAGTGGCACAATCTAGGCTCACTGTAACCTCCGCTGCCCGGGTTCAAGGGATTCTTCTGCCTCAGCCTCCCGAGTAGCTGGGACTACAGGCATGTGCCACCACGCCCGGCTAATTTTTGTATTCTCAGTAGAGATGGGATTTCACCATGTTGGTCAGGCTGGTCTTGAACTCCTGACCTCATGATTCACCTGCCTCGGCCTCCCAAAGTGCTGGGATTACAGGCGTGAGCCACCGTGCCCAGCTGGGACCTGGTATTTCTAACAAATTCTGTTGTTTTCTCACACTGAATTCTGAGTTCTATTATGACAAATTCTCACTTTTTGTTTCTATGCTTTCTTGATTGCAAATAATTTTTTGAGATTTTGTTAATTTTAGTTACTTCTGGAATATTCCAACCCAAATTATAGATGTTTAGTCCTTTTTAAAATCAACTTATAATTTATTTGAATCCTAGGTCTTAGTTGCTTGATCAATGTTTAGGCAGCAGAATAATTGAGTAGCATTCCGCATAGCTAAGTAGCACTGTTTCGCAACCTGTGCCCTCTTGCTCTAGAAAATACTATTGCTTGACATATACCAGGAGTTTTAGGTTAGAGTATTTGGCAGTGTCTATATGGAATCAAAAACTTGCATTAAAATGGAGAAGAATATCTTTGTGAATCCTCTAGATGGCAGAACAATTACAACAAACATATCTTAGAAGGTGTCCAAGAAGCGTGTGGAGGAGAGAGTGTAGAAGAGATGGGGTGAGAAGGGGACCTGCGGGCTCTAAGCTTTCTGTCTCAACCCAACCAGGGCAGATCTGCTCTTATATGTCTTATATCTTGATATTTTATCTAAGATGGTGTTTGAAAGAAGGAACATGGCTAAAAACATGATAGGATGTCAAAACTCAAAATCTGTTGTTCTTTTTTTCCTTCAGGATAGAGTTTCGCCCTTGTTGCTCAGGCTGGAGCGTAATGGTGCAATCTTGGCTCACTGCAAGCTCCACCTCCTGGGTTCAAGCGATTCTCCGGCCCCAGCCTCCAAGTAGCGGGGATTACAGGCATGCACCACCACACCCGGCTAATTTTTGTATTTTTATTAGAAACGGGGTTTCAACATGTTGGCCAGGCTGGTCTCAAACCCCTGACCTCAGGTGATCCACCTGCCTCGGCCTCCCAAAGTGCTGGGATTACAGGCGTGAGCCACTGTGCCCGGCCCAAAGCTCAAAATCTTAAGTTGTGCACGCCAACATCAAATCACAGATTTCTGTGAGGACGTACACATGCATTATTCATGTACCCTGAGCATCTTCAGACTATAGCTGCCCCCACCCCAACACACATGTTGATGAATTCTAGAGTGATGCTGGCCTACTTCAACACTCTGCTACTTTAATTTCTATCATAGGGGTTGAGGCACAGCATAGTCTTTTAGCCTTTGTCCCTGCTTTTAAAGAAATCACCATTGTTGGTATATTGTATGTTGGCATAAGGAGAAGAGATGACTTGGGGAGATATAACATAGGTAACTTGCAAAGATTCATTCCTCACAGAGAGTGAAAGAGGGAGAGGGGGCAGGTAGAGCATCCAACAGAATAAATGTAAGATTTTAAGTGTGTCACTTTCTCCACTCATCTTTGAATAGAAAGATGACTGTAGTATCTCTTCAATTTCATTTGCAAAGTACTTATTCAAATTCCCCTGAAGTCACTTTTTAATAGCAAGACCAATTTAGATCCTTTTGGATTATCGATGAAATTCTAGATCTAGTAGTATAGCAAACGTGATTTCCATATGTCAAATAGAGCAAAAGCATAAGGGATAAATTTGCTATCCTGTATTTGCATACCTCATAATATCATATACTATCCCTAACAGATATTATCTCCTTATAGCTATTATTTCAGTATAAACTACTTTAAAAGACTCCTTCATTAGACTTTTCTGCAGTTACCTACTTGCCTATTATCAGTGAAATGCAGCTGAGGTATATTTTAGGATCACTATTCTTCTGGCTGTCTGAGATTGTACCTGAGAATGCATTAAGATACATTTTCACATTCATTTAACACATCTGCTGATTAACTAGTCCTGAGCTTACCTTGGGAATAGACAGATAAATTAGATGTGGTCTTTACTCTTAAGGCCCTCAACCATGAAAAATGCAATTTCGTATGTCAGACAACTATATAAATAGATTTTCTTATTTTTTTAACTTTTAGATTTTTTTATAGAGATGGAGTCTTGCTGTGTTGCCTAGGTGGGTCTCGAACTCCTGGCCTCAAGCGATCCTCCAGCTTTGGCCTCCCAGAGTGCTGGGATTACAGGTTGCGCTTGGCCATAAATAGGTTTTCAATGGAATCTAACAAGGTGTTATGAAAGAAGTATCCTCAAAGTGTTGGGGAAGTTCCTAGGCATGAGAAGCTCTTCTGTAGGTATTACCAGAAGTTACCCAGAAGTTACTGCATGTAGAGGACTGTCTTTGCAACACAAATGAAGGGAAGGTATACAGTTGATGAAATATTAAGAGTTGTACTATGTTATATACTGAGCCTGATAGATTTACACCAACAGCTTTCTAGGTTACTGTACCAAAAAATTCTATAAATAGCTAAGGATTTTTAGTTGATAACTGAACTGGAAATCATCTCTGGCTTTTGCTTCTTAAAGAACACATTATTCAGTGCTACATTTCTATAGTGATAATCAGGAAATAAGAAGGCCCACGTAGTCTGATGATGACAACAGTGTGACGTCAAACAATGTCTATAAAAGTGGTAATGTTTTCTGATTGGTCCAGATTCTTGAGTTATTTCACTAATAATTTCAATACAAAAAATGGAGAATGTCAGATCTTTAAACAACTGCTGAATAACCCATTGGTTGTAATGAACCAGTACATAGGACTGAATAAATGCTTTAAGAATTCTCTACACACCACTGGATCAAGCAATCTGTGTAACTGTAGATAATGAGACTTCAGCTTGACTTGTAATTATGCGTGGAGTAGTTAACTGTATTTTTTACACATCATCTTTGTATAGGCTCTGAGTCTAGGAGGGTCAGTCACAAATGACTGATACTCTGAATCAGGGTATTGCCACTAATCAAAGGACAGACTGCACATGTGTTCAGTGTGGAAGGATTAGTTGGTCTGCTTTGTCTTTTGGCTACTGTTGCAAACAAAGATTACAAAAAGAGGTCTGTATATGCCTATGTGTTTGTAAAAGGAGCTTTCATTTTTGTTTCCTTAATTGAACCCTAACTCCTGATTTATTTTTATTTATTTTTTACAAATATTTGTTGAAGACTTTCAGAGAACACAGAAGTTTTGCTAATTCAAGACAGTCCTTTGTTTTTTTGTTTTTGTTTTTGTTTTTGTTTTCTGTTGTTGTTTTTGTTTTTTAACAAATCCATGCTGTTTTAGAAAGGTGTTAACCAGCCCCCTCCCTGCCCTCATACTAGTCCATGTGTCAGATACTAATTAATCTATGTCATGGGATCACTTTATAATCTATATTTAGGGATCTCTTTCTCATTCAGAGACACCGTCTTTCTCATTTTGGGTGTTTTGGTAATTTTTCAATTTTCTGAGTAGCATCAGTATTTCTGCTTGAACCAAGGTGAAATTTTGCATCTATTTCTCAGTTCTCTAGGGGCCTCTTTCATGACTGTCTGCTTGCTTACTGGTATTTTCCTTACTCCCGTTTTATCATGGTCTGTGAATTTAACCAACATGATGTTTACTCCCGCTTTTGAATTATTAATGAGAAAACTGTGAGATGGTACTTTTATCTTTAATAGTTGATGCTGAAAAAGTGACAAATGCAATAAAAGCATCTTTCTCTAATTCAGTTCCTGTCATGCATCTCTTTAGTGTCTTGGTGATATGACTTGAAATAATAGTGCTTACATCTCTCTTTTAGCTAGTTCACACTGAAAGCATATAATCATCTGTTTGATATCAGAGCCACTTCCCAGTCACAGATTGTGATGTCACAAACCAAAGATTGTTCTCTCTCAGCAGGAAGAAGCTGGAGAGGAGATGATCTTCATGGTGAACTACATCCTTATTCAAATTTGGTCACTTCATAAGGAAAATTAACCATAATAAGGAACAAATATATTGGCTAGTTGAAATGCCCAGTTGAATTAAGCTTGAAACACGGTGCCATTATAATGGAATGAAAAAAATTCCTTATGAAAACTTAAAGTTATAATAATGAAGATATAAGTAAATATATATTTAATGCATTTAAAAATATTATGCAATGTCCCTTTAAGTTGAATGCTAACACAGAAAAATGAATTTTAGGTATGTTTCTAATTTTATATACAAAATTATGTTGCTTGGTATTTCAGACAAAAATTACTTTTTAAGATTGTTATGTCAACATACACGAAATGGATGTGTTCATTTTGACCTAGATGCCATTTTTATTTTATCATAGTTTAAATAAAAAGCTTATAGCTTTTGGATAATTTAAAATGACCAGAATTTAAGGATATAGCAATAGGTATTATTATAAGGATATGGCAGCCAAAATATTTGCTCCATTTCTATGAAAGGAACTAATGATACACAATCACATTACTTTTACAATATAATACTTTTATATAATATGTGTGAATGAAATACATTCTAAATTGCAGAAACAAGTAGGCAGGTCATTGACTACATCCCAAGACTGTTCAGAATCTCTTTAATTGTTAAATCTATCAATAACAGGGAAAAGTTGTTATAAATAAACCAAATCTTCAGGTACTAGCATAAAATCCCTCATCCATTTGTACCCATGAGATGTAAACTTGAAGCAGTTTTCAATTTTTTTTTCACCCTACATGAAGAAAATACAGATTATTCCAAATTGCTGTAGGGTATTTTTTTGAAAGCTGTTACCAAAACTTCAGTAATCACTTTTCTGAATGGGTTATTATAGAGCAAAGCCTTGATTTGGAAAGGAAAGAAAGTGAAAATTCACTGGGATTGATGCTGACAAGGACCAAATTGGGGTGGAGCAAGGTAGTATTCATTTGCCCAGCCATTGTCATTAGAAGGTGAGTTATAGAAACAAAGCCCCCAAATTAGTGGGATATGAGTCTCTGTTTACATTACAATGAGTAAATAAAATCCAGAACACTTAAGGAATATTGTTATCTGCCCCCTTTAATTCCATTTATTGGAAGCAAATTGAGCATAGTAGAAATTTCATACTTTTGTCCAAGTTAATTAAAAAATCTTTAATTATAATTTAAAATATTGATTAATATTCTTCATTTAAAATATCTACATATTTTTGAATCATGTCTGTTTACAAACTGTAATACCATAATAAGGAGGGAACAGATGAAAAGAACCCTTAAGGGTTCAGCTGTTTCTCAGTGTAGGTAAACAACAACAATACCACCCTTAACTTTTAGTTATGTCTGGTATGCATAAGAAGTATTTTGAGATTTCTAAATAAACATTTTTTTCTCTGAAACAAATTGTTGTATTAGATAATCACTACTTGTATTAAATTGCTGCTTTCCTTTGGTACTGGAAAATGACAGGTAAGTTTCTGTAATGACTTCAGATGTAAAAGACTTATGATATTTAAGGTTATTTATAGACTGTCTTGAAAAGCCTGAAGGGATCATATAATTTACTCCCTTAACTAAAATTTGAAAAAAGGAAAGAATTCAGTGAAATGGAAGAGAATTTCTAATTTGACTACTTTTAGACAAGTATTGAATACTTACTTCTGATAACTTTATGTATATTACCACAAGATCTCCGTAGTTAGGTGTGATATGCTCTTGTTTCCCTGTCTCCTCTCTTCTAAGATAATATAAATATTATTTGTTGTAGGACTTCTTTATGATAAGGTGCTTTGGACCTAAGTTTTCCAATGAAACTCATGAAAACCAATGTGGTTGGGATTTCTGCTAAATGATAACGTTTTGTTGTTTTTACATAAGATTGTCACTCTAGAAGTCTCATTATGCAGTGATTTCTAGGGAATTTCTTAAAGGCACTGTATCTTTTAAAATCCTTTGATGGCTTCACTAGTGCTTTGCATTTTACAGTTTGGACCACTGACCTGAGTCAAAGCTTTTGAGGTTTTAAGGTACCAGACATCTTTCATCTTTTTATCCTCTTGTTGAATCAGAAAAATGTCTTCATTTAGTCTGTTATAAAAATGTCTAGTATCTTTAGGATAAATTAGCCCTATCCTACAAGAGTGTTATACCTCGATTTAGTAGAGATTATTTTTCTTTAGTATGAATGAAATGACATCACAGCTTTTTTTTCTTAGTAACAATAGAAATCAGTCATTGAGCTTTTGTTCCTTTATATGAATAAAAATATTTAAAATGCTTATTAATTTTTCTTTGTTTTATCAAGTACTCTGGGAAACTAAGTTCATTTGAATATTGTTGGTAAACATTATCTGTGAATGGCTCTTATGCACCATTCAGGGCTCTCTTCATGCATTTTTTTCAAGCTATTAAATAAAACAAAATTGGGATAAAAATAAAGACAAAGATGAGACAAATTCAATGAAAAATGAATGGGAGTTTTGGATGCTTTATTATCTAGTTCTGAGTGACTTGTTTATGCAGCATAAGTAAAAACAAGCGTTTACCTCAGCTTAAATCTGCAAAAGCTTAAGGAAGGGTTGCAAGAAATTCAAATCCACTATCTCATTCACAGCACGAGCAGATTTAATTTCAGTAGACAAGATATAAATTAAGGTTATAAAATTAAATCTTACCTGGCAGTGGTTTGTTTGAAGCTCAGTAATTTGAACTCTGGCTGGAAATAGTAAGCTTCGAGACCCAAAATGCCTTCTCTACTTTCCTTTCATGTTTTATTTTGCCAGTGTTTTATTTCTTGCAGTGTCTTTATATCTGTATTCCTGATAATCCTGTAGCATTAGTTAGGATAGTATGCGGTAGATGAAGACTCCATTTGGATAGGATTATAGAACCAGAAGGGTGAGTTTTGCCTTTATCTGGTAACAGCAGTTGATCTGATCACAAACAATCTGAGTGTTGAGAACTTATTAAAGATTCATTGAATGCTTCAGCAATGAGAAATCCTGGTTGTTCCTATATGCATTTGACCCCCTGGAAAAGTTCTGCTTGTTCGTATTTCAGAATTACACACGCTTCCAAATCAAGCTGCTTTAAAAAACATTATCTGGACTAGAAGCATGGATGTTCTTGCACTCTTGCTTTCCTTTCTCCATACGAACTTTTCAGTCCATCAGCTTCCTTTCTGTAGAAGATGAAGGCATTTCTTCTGTCCTCCTCATGCTTTTGTAACCCATGCTTCTGGTACCCTGTTTTTTGAATAGTGAGGTAAAAATCCAGAAGGAAGTACGGCTTTATCATGTCTCTGGACGGTGAGCGTACTTGGCATGAATGAAGAGCTGATAGGAGCTATTCAAACCAGACAGCAAACTGATGGGATGACGCTGCCATACATAAAAAACTCATTAATTACTTCCCCTGCTGGACAGCAGTATATCCTGAAAGGAAGAAAGAAAGGAGCAGATGATGATATTCGTTTTGATAGGTGTTCTCTGTTTGAACAGCTTGTCATTGAGAAGAGAATCCAGGAAAAGCTGCAGCTTCAGAGTGTGATCAGGTAGAATGGGCAAGAGTTATTTGACAGACAGTTAAGTGACGTATTTTGGGAGGAAAAAGAGGGCTTAGCATGGAGGTAGCTGGAATAAGGTTCCAAAATGCTTTTGAAAATGTTCATTTTTTCCTGTTAGTCTTTTTGGCTAGAAGCTTTTTTTTTTTTTTTTTTTTTTTTTTAAGCTTTGCTAGGCATTATTCACAGACATGTTGCTGAGTTATTTTCTCATATGGTTTTCCCTAAAGATGGAAAATAATTTTTAAAAGTCTTTGAGATAGAAAGAGTATACTGTGAGTTTTAAATATTTGTAGCAGAGAAAAGGCTGCCTTTTTTTTTTTTCCTAAATGTATGCCTGTTTTTATACATCTTTTGGGCATATGCGTTTTGTTGCTTTGGAGTAAAGCATTATAAGTCCTCATTTGATACAAACTTTTAACAGGGTCTTCATTAAAGCTTTTCCTTAAGTTAGATGAAATCCATATTAGCTGTATAAAAGAATAGATTTTTAAATGTCAATTTCATAATTTTTGCACTTCAGTTTTTAAATTTAAAATTCAAATTTTTAAAACTGCACTTCAGTTTAAAATTTAAATTTTAAATTTAAACGTTTTTTCCCTGCCTGAGTTCTTTATGAGTGTATCTAGACAATATAATGTTTTTAAATTTTAAAAAATTATTATGGAACATTTCAAACTTACACAAAACTCTGAAAAATAATACAAAAATAATACATGAACCTCCAGAAACTCATTACCAAGATTCAACAATTGTCAGATTCAATTCTTTGCTAAAATATTTTAAAGCAAATCTCATTTCACCTATTTGTACTTTAGTATGTATATTTTTAAAGTATGGACACTTTTTCACATGACCCTGTGCCATTATCACACCTAACACATTGGCTATAATCCTCTGGAGTCATATAATATCCAGTTCATTTTAAATTCCTTGTGTCTCAGAAACTATGTCTTTATGTAGGTTTTTTCTGAGTGAGAATCCAGACAAAGTATACACTTTAATTGTTAGCCAATAGAATTTTAAACACTGACAGATGAACATGTATGAGAAAGAAGTGAATTTTAGTTTTATAGTGGTCTTTGACACACATTTGTAATAGGAATATTTATGCAAGAGAACATATCTTTAGAATATTTTCTTGAACTTTTCCCACTTAACATTGCATGATACTGAAAAGGATTGTAATTTCATATGGTAATGATTGGTCATTATATACTGGTCACTTCTATAATAAATACCCCAAGTTTTAAGCCACTGATTATTAAGCCATTTCAATGATTGAATGTGACTTAGAGTTCAGTGGAGATCCAAAATGAGAGAAGTAAAAATCTATCAAATGGGGCCATTGTGTTTATGAGGATCGATGACTATAATATTATATATGTTTTTCATTAATGTCAAGGTTTCTTCCCAATGGATTTTAATTTTTCTATGAAGTTTGAACTCCTAGCTCCTTTCTGGTAAAGCATAACATTTGGCTGTCCACTTAACTTTTCCAAGAATACAATAGCATGAGGTCCTGAAAATAACTTGTGTGCCACACCCTCACCTGTCGAAATTCATTCTCATTCAGGTTCTCTGTCTCTTCTCACTCTTATCTCATCTTTCAAATTGGCTGGATGAAAGAGAATGGGGGTGGTGAATATGGGGAGCCATTAAAGGGGTGTAGATGGAAATTATAATTTTCTGTTTCCATCTAAGCTCAAAGCCACTGCTGAGGACCGTGCTCCCATTTTTTATGGAGGGCAATAGAATACTTCTCTCCCAAGGTGCTCACTCTTGAGTATCTCTTGTCATACGTCATGTTATGGCATGAACATTTGGGAGCTTTGTGTTACACTTTATGTTCTCAAATTATACCTTGTCCTTTAAATCTTGCTGAATAAGGACTATATGTGCCAATCACTTTTTGAAAGCTTAGTAAATAGTTACTGATTATCACCATTTAATACAGATAAGCTGAATGGGAAAAGGTGAGCAAAAATGCTTCCATTCTCTTTCCAAGTTGTCTCTGAAATTTTTCTCAGTCATTTATAATACAATGTCAACATAGGAGAACACTTTGCAAATATGCAGGTTCTGCTGGAGAACTTTGTAGGGTGGGTGAAAAAGTGGTTATAGAGGGAACTGGAATAATAGATTATGAGTGTATTTTGGGTGCAAATATTTCATATCATTATCTCTCAGTACTTTAGCTATAAACTGAATTAATGGAAAAACATTGACTTAAGTACTGGCCTGTACAGTTCCAAATTATACTTCAGCCATTGTGGAAAGTAATTTTCTCCAAGACTTTGCTCTTGGTATTCCTGATGTTGTTCTTTTTTTTTAATAAAAAGCTGTATTTATTTTTACTTTCTACAGGATGAACTTTCTGCTTTGAAGCAAGGAGTTGTCTACATGAACTGTATTGTTCAGAGATCTAATAGGTTGAGTAGCTAGTTGGGTGGATGGCTTGTTTTTCCACCCTAAATATGAGGAGGAGGAGGAAAGTCTTAGGGATATGGACTTTTATGTTTTCTTTGATACATATAATAAAGCACATTTTTCTTTTGTTCAGATGTCTCAACTCTCATCTCCCTTTTTACAACTCTATGTATTCTCATATTTAAACTGAACTCTCCCATTGCCCACTGTAAAGTTGGCTAAACAACTTCAGAGGCATCACAGACTTTCAAATGAATTTATGTATAAGATAAATGATTTTTTCTTTTACAAGGTCCTTTTTTGCTAGAACATTTGGTCCATACCTAGAGTTATGCTCATAGCTGTTTACAAAATTATAAATACTTTTATAAAGAAAAAAAGTCTCTCCTTTATGCTCTCCAGTTTTTAGATGAGTAGGATTTGTGGTTAATGATTTCTTCCATGGCAACGGCTTCCTTTTAGGGCATTTCAATATGTATAATCTCAATTGAGTGTGATTATTTTTCAGTTAATAAATGAAGAGAAAAAGTTGCATTTTAAGAGAGTATTGTGGACTTATGGAAGCTGTTTCTAAAATAAATATGCTTTTAAATTCTTGTTGAAGAAATCAAACCTTTGTTGACTTACGTGAGTCATGCCATGCCATTTTTAGCACATTAATTGTAATAATAAACATTTATTGACTCCTTACTTGGTACAAGACCAGTGCACTTGGTTCTTTGGATTTATAATGCATAATTTTTAACAGCTCTGAGGCAGACTGTTATCATTCATCTTCTATAAAGAAGGAAACTGAGGTACACCAAGGTTAAGTAACTTGTTCAAGTTTACCCTGTTATTAAGATGTTGAACTGTGGTATGAACCCAGCCTAGGTGGTTTTAAAGTCCAGTAAGATTGCCTACTGAGAATAACCATCATTCAACTTAAGCGTGAGACTCCCAGTATAATGTTGAAAGAGTGGCGTCTCTCCAGCATGACTAACATTCTACAAAAATGAAATCTGCAGTTTCTTGGAGATCTTAGATAACCTGGAGAGTTGACTGTCTTTAATATATAGGGAATGTGTTCTTCTTGTTTCTATGTCTTGAATTTATAAAGGGTGATTTATTTTTCTTTCCAAAATTGTATTATGGCCTCTCAAATAGCAATGTGTTTTAAAATACTATTCATTTATGTTCTATTAAATTTTTTTTTAAAACTAAGTAGTGGTATGAGGGGGGATATGAACTAGAGTGGTTGTACTTTGCAATACAGTTGATTATTAGGAAACAGTTGCTGTCTTCATATGTATTACATTCGGGTAAAACGATTGCATTTTTTTTCTTTTGGCATCAGTTTGTTGGAGAAAAAAAGATTGCATTTTTATCTTCTAATTTAGACACTTTAAATGAATCTTTCATTTTTAAACTTCTTTAGTTTATTCCTCTACCATAGCACCCACTTTTTTCACTCATCTCAGGCCTTAACCTGTGACCTATTATTTGGCTCTTTCCTAATTTGTCATCCTTAATATTTTGACCTTATACTGAACTGCAGACAACCACTAGAGGTCTCCAGACCACACTTTAGAAAGCTCTGATTTTACAACCATACCCTAGTAAGTGGAACAGATACGTTCGGGGGGAGATTGGGTACTAATATTCCTCATTAAGTATTTGTGAAATGCTTCCTATATTCCAGGTTCTAGAACTATGCTATGTCCTGGCGGTAGACTTTTTTTTTTTTTAAGTAAGGACTTAGACCCTAAGAACCCTGTAGGCTAGTGGGGACACTAACATTTGAACGTGTGGTCACAAGATGTCACGTTAGGCACACCCACATCACATCCTTTTAGATCCTAATGACTGGAGTCTTTTAGATTTCTAAGTTTGTGAATGCCCCACTAATACTCTCTGTAGCGAGATCATTCCTGCTTTCTTGATGAGCCCTGATACTGCATCAATCTGGCAAGGAGCCATTCTCTGGGGGCAAATAGGATTATTTGGATGGGCTTTGGGGTTTTTTTGTTTGTTCGTTTTCTTTTTTTTTTTTTTTTTGAGACAGAGTCTCGCTCTGTCGCCCAGGCTGGAATGCAGTGGTGCGATCTCGGCTCACTGCAACCTCTGCCTCCCAGGTTCAAGCAATTCTCCTGCTTCAGCCTCCTGAGTAGCTGGGATTATAGGCGCCCACCATCATGCCTGTCTAATTTTTGTACTTTTAGTAGAGATGGGGTTTCACCATGTTAGCCAGACTGGTCTCAAACTCCTGACCTCAAGTGATCCGCCTGCCTTGGCCTCCCAAAGTGCTAGGATTATAGGCGTGAGCCACCGCGCCCGGCTGGGTTCTGGTGTTTTACTTTCTGATACCCTTCTCAGCAGCTCTGGCATCTGATCTTTAGGGAAGCACTTCATACAAAAGCCAGCCACTGCCTGTCTCAGTGAACAAGGCAGACCCCACAGAGATTTTAGACCTTCCATTTCCATTTTGCTTTATATCAGATAAATTTTAAAGAAAGGATCTATCTTCCTCTTGGATCTCTTGTCTGTTAGGGCTGTTTAAATAGACAGGTATCTCATAGAAACAGTCTTAGGGACATATTCTGATTAACCCATGCAAAGCACCTAGCACAGTGCCTGGCACAGAGAGGGCAGATGCTTAGTAGATGTCAAGAGTTGTCATAATTATTATGGAATTTAATTTAATTTTACTGCTGGAAGGGACTGTAGAGATAATTTAGTCCTGCCATCCATTTTACACAATAAATTTTAGTGCTCTTTTTCCTTCTCATATAGGCATCTAACTGTTAGGAGTTGTTCTCTTCAGTTATCCCATGTTAGGAAGGCCACAATTTTGATTTAGTCATTATCCGCTTAATGATTATACTTCTGTATGAGAATTTTTTTTTTTTTTTTTTTTTTTTTTTTTTTTTTTTTTGAGAACGAGTTTCGCTGTGTCGCCCAGGCTGGAGTGCAGTGGCGCGATCTCGGCTCACTGCAAGCTCCGCCTCCTGGGTTCACACCATTCTCCTGCCTCAGCCTCCCAAGTAGCTGTGACTACATGTATGTGCCTTCATGCCTGGCTACATACACATTTTAGTGGGAACATGAATAAATGAAAATGATCTTGATCATAATTGTATGCTATGCAGAAGATAAGGGGGGAATTATAGACAGACAGATATTATGCAGGGAAATTTAGTGATTTGTTATGTTTTTAAAGGATTTGAGTCTGATGTGGCATGTTAAAAAATTTAGGAATTAGCAAGAGGTTATGATGATGATCCAGGGAAAATATGATGATTCCTTAGACTAAGGTAATAATAGATGGAAAGAAAGGGACAGATTACAGGAATATACAGAGGTATAAATGATAGTTTGCTGATGAATTAGGTATCTAGGTATGATGGGGAGAGAAGTGTTGAGAATGACCCTGAGAACTCTGGCTTGAGTAACTGTGGCTGGAGATGCAATATGCTGAAATTGGGGAAGCTGGATGAGGAACAGGTTTGGGAAAGGGAAATCAAGAGAGAATATTGAACAAGATGGGCTGTGGATCTGGTAATTCTTACCTTCTGAAATACTTGAGGCATGTGAAGGAATACTTTACAATTGACATATGTGAGAAGCAATACACTGTTACATGTTATTTTTTTAAATAGGTCCTTTTTTCCCCCATTCCTTTGTTTTTCATTACGGTTTTTAACCTTACTTTGTTTTTTCCTGTCTCTGCCACTTACATGTAACACCAATCATAACTTCTCTCCGTGCAAGTATTTCAGTGAGATAGGAAAGGAATTAATGAATCAATCTTTCTGTGTGGGGTGTGGTTGGAAATAGCCACTCTAGGAATAAATATGCTGTGCTCTGCCCCCCAAACCTGGTTGAAAATAATTTCTTTAAAATCATCTATGAATGATTTTTGATATGGAACATTTCTTTAATTTTCTAAAAAGATTTCTTGGTTATACTGGTTCATAGGAACACACTCTCCTCAGATGATCAGGCACTTCGTTTTCTTTTTTTTTTTTTTTTTTTTTTTTTTGAGACAGAGTCTCACTCTGTCGCCCAGGCTGGAGTGCAGTGGCGCGATCTCGGCTCACTGCAAGCTCCGCCTCCCGGGTTCACGCCATTCTCCTGCCTCAGCCTCCCGAGTAGCTGGGACTACAGGTGCCCGCCACCACGCCCGGCTAATTTTTTGTGTTTTTAGTAGAGACGGGGTTTCACCGTGTTAGCCAGAATGGTCTCGATCTCCTGACCTCGTGATTCGCCCACCTTGGCCTCCCAAAGTGCTGGGATTACAGGCATGAGCCACCTCACCCAGTGCAGACACTTTATTTTCTAGATGAGAATGCTGAGCATCTCAGAGGTTGGCATTCACCCAAGGATGCAGATCTTGTAACTAGTTAAAAGTCGATACGTTAGAACAGTAGAACCTTAAGAATCAAAATTCTAGCCAATAATTCCTCCTATGAGACATACCATTTACTTATCAGTTTCTTTAATAAGAGAAATTCTTATGCATAATGAGAAATGAAATATATTTTATGGCTGGGCATGGTGGCTCACGCCTGTAATCCCAGCAGGTGTGAGATTTAGGAGGCTGAGGCAGGAGAATTGCTTGAGCTCAGGAGTTCGAGACCAGCCTGGGCAACATAGTGAGACTCTGTCTCTGTAAAATATCAAAAAATTGTCCAGGCATGATGGTGTGTACCTGTAATCCCAGCTACTCGGAAGGCTGAGGCAGGAGGATTGCTTGAACCCAGGAGGTCGAGGCTTCAGTGAGCCAAGTTCTCACCAGTGCACTCTAGCCTGGACAGCAGAGCAAGACTCTGTCTCAAAAGAAAAAAGAAAAAGAAATATTTTTACCAGAAATACATTTGATAAGGTAAAAATAGTTACATTATTTATGTAAAGACTTCATATTTAAAATTTGATAAGATTGGTACTTTAGTCCTCAGTTGAACAAACAGTTTAGCACCTAAAACATGTGCATTGTTCTAGACACTGGATATATGAGCATGACTAAGGGATAAACTCTGCTCCCACACAGCTGAATGGACCGCGGAAGACAAGCATATCAAGGAATAATGTTATCTTTATGTTATACTCAAGTCGCTATACAGCAGAAGATAAAATGGGGCTCACATGAAGGAGGAAATAGCTAGTTTAATCTGGAGATGTCAGGGAGGTATGTTAAGCTGTGTCAGCTGTAGACATTGGTTAGGTGCTCTTTGAACCCCTTCAAAAGAGTTCATTTTATTTTTATTTTTTAAGAAGTTCTTTTTTTTAATCCCAAAGCATTAATAAGATACTTATGTGCTAAGTGATGAATGTAGTTCTGAGATTAAATATAAAACATTTTTAAAATATTTCTAGTGGAAGTGGCAACAAAATCTCTCTCTCTCTCTCTCACACACACAACACACACACACACGAGACACAGACTCTCTTCCTCATTTTAACCTAAGTATTCTAGTTGCCATAACAACCTGATTGTGGTAGTGCATTTGCTGCTATGGTTGAGGTTGTGTCAGCAGTTCCATTATAAGCTGCAATTTTCAGGATCCTAAAATTCAATGTCACATTCACAGACGTGACATTTAAAATTCTATTTATTAATTTGATTTTGCCTCATGCTTAAATCTCCAAAAGGCATTGACCTCTCCCCCTGTGCTGAAAGAGGTTCGTGTATCTGGTTTGTAGGCTTCTGCTTTTGTTAATTTGTATTTTATTTCTAAAAGAAACCTCCATATCTGATCACGGTCCCTTATTTTATAAAGAGGAAGTTGAGGCTCTGAAGGGTCATCCGACAAGGCCCTTGCCTTGCCTTTTCACCCTTAGGCAAGTCATCCGACACGAATCCAGTAGTTATACACTACTGCACAGATGTTGGAGTTCAGTGGCATCTTCTGCTTAGTGATGTTTTTGATTTTTGGTTAAATCTCACCATGACATGCCTTTCATTTTTTTGCATATGTGTCTCTTTGTGTATTTGATATATATCCTTTCTGCTGTAATAGGATTCATTCTGTTGTCACATTCCATGTTGTAGAAATTGGTTTATATGTCTTTCTGATCTCCACTAAACGTTTCTCCAGGGTAGACACCATGCTTTACTCCTTATAATGTCTCCAGCATTTGCTGAGAAGGACCAGCTCTGCCTCCTCTTCTTCCTCGTTCTCATTCCAGTTCACCTGGTGTCTGACCTTTCTTGTTGCTTATTCTTAGTGCTTGAACCTAATGACCTGTCTTTAGAGGGGTTGGGGAGTGGGCACTGGTGTGGAGAGAGGAGGGGGCCTCCCTCTGCCCCTAGGTAGAGTCTGGGGGTTCAAGAGTGTGGTGCTCGGAGGGCTATGGCTATGACTGAAGTGTAGGGAGTAGTGAGAGAGGTTAAAGAGGCATTAAGGGGCCTGAAGGTAGACTTGGATTGGACTTCCTGCTGAGGAATCTGAACTTTGTTTAGTAGACAAGAGGGACCTATTGAAAGGTCATAAGCAGGGAAGTGATATGAAGAGATTACCTAAAACTGCTGCACATTCAGGTCCTTGAAGACTGAAATTCGTATTTAAAAAAGTATGGCATAAACAGGTAATTATTCTATCTAGTAGGAAAATGTAAGGTCAGAGAGGAGAGTAATTAATTCTGCCTTGGGTTTGATGACAGGAAGCTTTCACAAATGAGGTGATGTTTCAACTGGATACTAAAGGGTAGCTAGGATTGCACCATGCAGGGAAGTTGGGAAGATGGAATTTTAGACGTGAGAAGCAGCTTGAGTGAAGAATCAGAGGCAAGCATATGCTTGGCATATTGGGAAAATCTTGACCCTGCTGATGTTGATGTGGTGCCAGGTCTGAGGAGACCAATGGCTTGAGAGGAGACTGGATAGGATGGGCTGAAAGCAGGTCACCAAAGGTTTTTGGTGCCCCACTATGGAGTGAAGATTTTATGCTCTAGATAGAGGGGAGCTGTGAGCTTTAAAAAAGCAGCTAAAAGACACGAGCACACCTATGGCATAGAGAAATAGCTCTAGCAGTTTAGAGGATGAATTGGAAAATGAGAGCTGGATGCTATTCTACCAGACCAGGTAAAATAAACAAAGGTGCCTGTTGAACTAGGATGGTGGGATTAGAAAGAGTATAAATAGAGGATTAGGAATGAAGAAGAGGCATGTTTCAAAGGTTAATTTAGCAGATGTGATTGGCTGTATGGGGAAAAGTGTATAAAGAAGTTTTCTTTCTTTTCTTTTCCTTTTTTTTTTTTTCTTGAGATAGGGTCTTGCTGTCTTGCCCAGGCTGGAGTGCAGTGGCATGATCTGGGCTCACTGTAACCTCTGCCTCCTGAGTTCAAGTGATTCTCCTCCCTCAGCCACCTGAGTAGCTGGGATTACAGATGTGTGCTACCATGCCTGGCTGATTTTTTTGTTGTTGTTGTATTTTTAGTAGAGATGGGGTTTCGCCATGTTGGCCAGGCCAGTCTTGAACTCCTGGCCTTAAGCGATCCACCCACCTCTGCCTCCCAAAGGGCTGGGACTGCAGGCGTGAGCCACAGTGCATGGCGAGAAGAAGTTTTCTTATTATTCAAGCGTCTAGGTGAATTATTTTGCAATTTATCAAGGTAAGGAAAACAGGAGGAGAAGACAGATTTGGTTAAAGATAATATTTTGAAAAGTTCATCCACATTTTAAAATTTGGGGTATAATTTACATATAAAATGCTCAAATCTTAACAGTTTGATAAGCTTTGACAATTTATGTACACCTGTGTAACCACTTCTACAAACAAGTTATAGAATAGTGGTTCTTAATATTTAGTGTGCATTAGAAACACCTGGATGGCTTGACGGACCGTAAGTTGCTACTCCCACTCAGAGTTTCAGATTTAGTAGATCTGGGGTGAGGACTGAGAATTCAACTTTCTAACAATTCCCAAGTGCCACTGGGTTCAGGGACCACACTTTGGAAACTGCTGATATAAAATACCACTGTCACTCCAGAAAGGCCCTCTTCACCCTTTTTGCCTCTCTCCCCAGGCAATCACAGTTCTGATTTCTAGCACTGTGATTAGTTTGCCTATTCCTGGACTGCACAAATGGAATTATTCAGTATTCGCTTATGTCTGGCTTTTTTTTTTTTCATACAATATAATGATTTTGAGATTCCCCTATGTTGTTGCATGGGGTTTATTCCTTTTTACCCGCTGACTAGCATTCCATCATGTGACTAGATCACAATTTGTTTATCATTTCTCCTGTTGACAGACATTTGATTTAGTTTCAATTTTGGGATATTATAAATAAAACTTCCGTGAATATTAATATACAAGTCTTTTTGTGGTTATATGTTTTCATTTCTCTTGGGTAAATACGTAGGAGTAGGATTGTTGGGTCCTAGGGTAAATTTATGCTTAATTTTATAAGAAACTGCCAAAATAGTTTTCCATAGTGGTTGTAATGTAGTCAAATTGTGATTAAATTTTTATTGACTCTAGTGAAGATCCTAGACATTGACTAGACTGAAGGACTTTTTGTCAAAGAAGAAAGGTCTCTAATGGACAAGGAAGCTTGGCAGTGTTACCCTTTGGGATATACGTGTGGCTAAATAACAGTGACCGTGGAACTCTTCCAAATCCTAAGAGAATTGAAATCTATGTTTAGATTTAAAAAATGTAGTTCATTATTCATTCAAAGAACAGTTAATAAGCACTTACCATATATTAGCCATAGAAGGGCACGTGGCTCCCAGTACTGTTCCTGAGGAGCTCACAGGTAAAACAAATTATTAAACTTTAAGAAGGTGCAAGGCAGTGCCTTAAATCTAAACTATCTTACTCCTAGTTTATCTGAATGTTATTTTTCCAGAAATTCTAAATATCAGACAATGAGGACATAAACCAAAAAACCCAAAAAAAACTCCCGAACATTTCACATCACTGGGGAAAAAGATGGATTTGTCAGGAAAATGGTGTTGGTCCAAGTGGAGTTCACCATCTGGGAAAAAAATTGGTATTCAAACCTCGTATCAGGATGATGTCAACATGTGCCAAAGAGTTTAATGCAAAACAAAAACTTAATGTAATAAAAATATTAGAACAAATTATAGACATACTCTTTTCTAATGTCAGAATAGGGAAGGTGTTTTAAAATATTGGACAAAATCCAGAAATACAAGGCTGTTAAATCTGATTATCTAAAAGTGACGAATTTCTGCATGGCAAAACCCACCATAACCAAGGCCAAAAGATAAATGATTATGTGTGTGTGGGCAGGGGAGATAGGATGGTGACTCATTACAGAGAACTAGTTTCCAATATATATGATGTGTTTTAACAACCCTATTAAAACTGGGCAAAGGCTATGAGCAGACTGTTCACAGAAAATGAAATGCAAATGGCTCTTAAACATGTGAAAAGATGCTCAATGCACTCATAGGAGAGATGCAAATTAATTACACTGAAATACATATTTTCAGTTATCAGATTGACAGATCAGAAAGTTTGATTAGACTTTGCACTGGCAAGAGTGAGGATGCGCAGTGTTGGAGAAGAAGGGCATTTCAAGTTGAGGGGAATTGGAGGAGCGGGGAGATGGAAATGGGAAAGGTAGGGCCAGCACATTAGAGCAGGACAGGTGAGCTAATGTAGGGGCAGGCGTGTTGACTTTAGCAAGGAGCGACAGCTGGCGCTCTAGTGTCATGGGAGAAGCAGGGAAACTAGATAGCTACACGCAATAACTACAAATGCTGGTCACCGCGGAGGCAGACGGCCCTACAGATAACAGCCCGAGGGAGTCACTTACCCCAAAAGGTCACATTATTCCCAGCATTTTCCATTTAAGGAAGCATTAAAATAGAATTTTTAATGGAATGAAAATTTAACACTCTTAACAAATTATAGTTTAAAGATATATTCTTCAGTTGTCTTAAATTTAATTTTTGGAGAATATATATGAAGATGCTGAATACATGAAACACATCTCTACTGGTTTAGCTGCTTATTGCTGTTTGTAGCTTTTCTTATGGTGAATTACGTTACATCACTGAATGCTTAGGACAAAAATGTGCAGTCATGCTTGTGTCTCCCTTTGGTTGCAAAGGTAGCATAAGTAACTGATTCGGAGAGAGATTAACTATTAGTGTTTAATTTTGGAAAAGCAAGTAATGCATGTAATTTAACAGAATGGTGCTTTTCTTTTTAATTCCCATCCCCCCGACATTTCTTATCTTCCTATGACTTCTGCCTCATCACTCATTTTATTTTCAGAATTCTAAAATTCATAATACTCTTTAAAATGAAACTATCATTTTTCCTGACTAGCTTAGTATTGGAGGTAAATAGATAACTGCTTGAGATACCTTTTGGTCTAGGACGTTATAATTCTGTGTGGTACATTATAGTTTTAAGCGTTGTACGTTGTGGATTATGCCTGCAGATTTATACATATTAGGGGCAAATAGAGCACCAAATATTTAATGATATTCTTGTTTGCTTACATTCCTAAAGAAGAATGTAATTACATGTTCAAACCAACAAGTTAACTTGATTTACATTTTCCTTCTCACTCACAATTTGGTTGCTATCTAGATTTTTTTTTAAAATTCAACCCTATGCCCAAATATATTTCAATAGTTCCTTGAGTCACTAAGACAAAAGATTAAGGGAAAAAAGTACACCTAATAGAATACTTTGAATATTGACCAGCAAAGATTGTATAGTATTTTCTGACACTTAAGGTTATAGATTACATTTTAAAAAAATTAAAACAAAAAAGACAATACTGTGGTGTCAGATAGATAGTATTCTTTATGGTATCTGAAAAGCAAGCTTATTTTATATTGAATTCTTGTACAGATGGGCATTATCCAAAATGTCCTGTACTCACTCCAGTGCAAAGCTGTAGAAAGATAGCCATTTGGTACCTTCCAGTGGCCCTTTCAAGGACTTTTCTGGGTAGAAAATCTAATGATTGAGAAAATGTTGATATTGATAACTCAGATATTATTTATCTTAGTTAAGAAGAGTTGAGTTTGTGGGACTAGATGCAGATTGAAAAGTCTTTATTATACTTTAAGTTCTAGGGTACATGTGCACAACGTACAGATTTGTTACATATGTATACATGTGCCATGTTGGTGTGCTGCACCCATTAACTCGTCGTTTACATTAGGTATATCTCCTAATGCTATTCCCTCCCCCCTCCCCCCACCCCATGACAGGCCCTGGGGTGTGATGTTCCCCACCCTGTGTCCAAGTGTTCTCATTGTTCAATTCCCTCCTATGAGTGAGAACATATGGTGTTTGGTTTTCTGTCCTTGTGATAGTTTGCTCAGAATGATGGTTTCCAGCTTCATCCATGTCCCTGCAAAGGACATGAACTCATCCTTTTTTCTGGCTGCATAGTATTCCATGATGTATATGTGCCACATTTTCTTCATCCAGTCTATCATTGATGGACATTTGGGTTGGTTCCAAGTCTTTGCTATTGTGAATAGTGCCACAATAAACATACGTGTGCATGTGTCTTTATAGTAGCATGATTTATAATCCTTTGGGTATATACCCAGTAATGGGATCGCTGGGTCAAATGGTATTTCTAGTTCTAGATCCTTGAGGAATAGCCACACTGTCTTCCGCAATGGTTGAACTTGTTTACACTCCTGCCAACAGTGTAAAAGCGTTCCTATTTTTCCACATCCTCTCCAGCATCTGTTGTTTCCTGACTTTTTAATGATCGCCATTCTAACTGGCGTGAGATGGTATCTCATTGTGGTTTTGATTTGCATTTCTCTGATGACCAGTGATGATGAGCATTTTTTCATGTGTCTGTTGGCTGCATAAATGTCTTCTTTTGAGAAGTGTCTGTTCATATCCTTTGCCCACTTTTTGATGGGGTTGTTTGATTTTTTCTTGAAAATTTAAGTTCTCGAAAGTTTAAGTTCTTTGTAGATTCTGGATATTAGCCCTTTGCCAGATGGGTAAATTGCAAAAATTTTCTTCCATTGTATAGGTTGCCTGTTCACTCTGATGGTAGTTTCTTTTGCTGTGCAGAAGCCGTTTAGTTTAATTAGATCCCATTTGTCTGTTTTGGCTTTTGTTGCCATTGCTATTGGTGTTTTAGTCATGAAGTCCTTGCCTATGCTTATGTCCTGAATGGTAATGCCTAGGTTTTCTTTTAGGGTTTTTATGGTTTTAGGTCTAACATTTAAGTCTTTAATCCATCTTGAAATAATTTTTGTATAAAGTATAAGGAAGGGATCCAGTTTCAGCTTTCTACATATGGCTAGCCAGTTTTACCAGCACCATTTATTACATAGGGAATCCTTTCCCCATTGCTTGTTTTTGTCAGGTTTGTCAAAGATCAGATGGTTGTGGATGTGTGGTGTTATTTCTGAGGCCTCTGTTCTGTTCCATTGGTCTATATCTCTGTTTTGGTACCAGTACCATGCTGTTTTGGTTACTGTAGCCTTGTAGTATAGTTTGAAGTCAGGTAGCGTGATGCCTCCAGCTTTGTTCTTTTTGCATAGAATTGTCTTGGCAATGTGGGCTCTTTTTTGGTTCCATATGAACTTTAAAGTAGTTTTTTTTTTAATTCTGTGAAGAAAGTCATTGGTAGCTTGATGGGGATGGCATTGAATCTATAGATTACCTTGGGCAGTATGGTCATTTTCATGATATTGATTCTTCCTATCCATGAGCATGGAATGTTCTTCCACTTGTTTGTGTCCTCTTTATTTCGTAGAGCAGTGGTTTGTAGTTCTCCTTGAAGAGGTCCTTCACATCCCTTGTAAGTTGTATTCCTAGGTATTTTATTCTCTTTGTAGCATTTGTGAATGGGAGTTCACTCATGATTTGGCTCTCTTGTCTGTTATTGGTGTATAAGAATGCTTGTGATTTTTGCACACTGATTTTGTATCCTGAGACGAAAAGTCTTATTTTCTAATATAAATGTTGGGATGCTTAGGGATCTATGTGTTGTTGAAATGAAGTGTTTTTTTTTTTTTTTCTCTTTAGCCTCTTATGGACAAGGGTGTATGGCCTGTCCAACTTGGTGTTTTGGGCATATGTAGATGTCTTCGTATAGTGCCCTATTAGGCATTCAGACATACTTATTGGTTGATTGGTAAATTCTTGTCCATGCTGTTTTCCTCAGTTGGATAGTTTCAGTTCCACATCTAGTTCAACAATCTCAGAAGATTAGGTAAAGTTGTGTAGTTATTACAAAAAATGCATATTTAATATCTATTTTTTCATTTATGCTGTTTTGGGAGCCAGTTTTTAAAAAAGACGTAATACTCTTTCATTATTTATGCGGTTTCCTATCTTTTTGGAGAATCATTGTAATTTTATTGCCATTGAGTATGTTGGTATCTGACTCAGAAAGGGAAGAAATACTGAAATTACAGTGGATGAGACTTAATTTCTCATTTCCTGCAACCAAGTTACTACAGGTGTCCCAATTATGGATAAGCATCTATCTAGACAGATAAAGTAGGATAGATTTAGGAGTCATCTTCTAATAGTTTGGGGAATAGGTTGCAAGGTATATTGCTCTCTTTGCTAATGCTTTGCCTCCTCCAACTCCCTCTATCTATACCTTTGAACCTGGAGTGATTTTTTTTCCCCTTTTTGATGTGGAAGACAGGCTGACTTATCTTGCTATTGAAGATAATATCATTTCCACCTGTTTGTGAGCTGCTGTTATCTATATATCCACCTTGGCGCAGATTTATTTCTAAAGCTAGACCAGACAGAATTTTGTTCTAAAATATATCTTTTGTTACTGCAGCCACATAAACCCTGAATAATCTATACATCTTGCTATTGAAATCAAATGGATTTTTGAGCTCTAGAGCTCTGCTTACTTGGGTGGGGATGGTACATTGTGTATAGTAAGTATTTAGGAAATTAATGTTTGGCCTTGGTCTTATCCAGCTTTCCAGATGGAGTTGAGAGTGATTTCTCTGAGAAATAGAAGCATCTTCTCAGTAAAGATACATTTTTACTTTGAGTCTATTTATCAAACTTTCCTCTGTGCTAGTATGGTCTTTCCTAAACAATTTCTTCTTATCATTATTTTATATTCATTATATATATGGTATTGTGTTAATAGACATGGTTCTGTAACTTATAAAGTAGCCTTTACCTCCATCTTCTACCTTATTTGCCTTCAAGGAGACAGGTTTGACAAAAATGGAAGAGTGTGGGCTAAGGTATAATGAGATTTGTTAGAGGAGGGAAAGGGGAATGAAAGAAGGAATTTTTTTTTTTTGGATGGCAAATTGCATCTTTTTTTTTTTTTTATTATACTTTAAGTTCTAGGGTACATGTGCACAACGTGCAGGTTTGTTACATATGTATACATGTGCTGTGTTGGTTTGCTGCACCCATTAACTCGTCATTTACATTAGGTATTTCTCCTAATGCTATCCCTCCTCCCTCCCCCACCCCTTGACAGGCCCCGGTGTATGAAATGAAGGAATTTTTGAAGGCTGGTTTAGACTTTTTGGTTCTGGGAATAATGTCTAGAAGTATTAAATTGACATGGTCAAACTATTAATTGTTAATAAATTACTTTAGAAATACTGTGAGGAATGTTTTGAAGGAAGCGTACCTGAGAGACTAAAAAATACTTAACTTCCCTCCCACGCACAGGCCTTTATAAACGTTTTGGTGCTGCGCATAGGAATGCTACACAGGCTTTTTAACATCTGGCCTTGGCTGAAGTCTCCTGCCACCTCTCACAAGTTCACCCTTGTGGGTTTGTTTTCTTCCTCCCCCCACTCGCCTCTTCCCTCCTCTCCCCTTCCTCCCACCCTCTCTCCCTTCCTTTCCTTCCTTCTCTTTCTTTTCTTTCTTGACAGGGTATCACTCTATTGCCCAGGCTGCAGTGCAGTGGTGCAATCATAGCTCACTGCAGCCTCAGAGCTCCTGGGCTCAAGTGATCCTCCTGCCTCAGCCTCGCGAGTAGCTGGGACTACAAGCATCAGCCACCCTGCCTTGCTAATTATTATTATTTTCTGTAGAGGCAGGGTCTCATTATGTTGCCCAGGCTGGCTTTGAACTGCTGGCTTCAAGCTGTTCTCCTGCCTTGGCCTCCCAAAGTGCTGAGATTACAGGTGTGAGCCACTGAACCCAGCCAGAAGTTACTTTAGAAATACTCTGAAGAATGTTTTGAAGCAAGTGGAGCCAAGGAGACTAAAAATTATTTACCTCCCTCCCACATGCAGGCCTTTATAAAGCCTTTGGTGCTGTAGGTAGGAATGCCACACAGGCTCTTCAAGATCTTGCTTTGGCTTTAGTTTCCTTCCACCTCTCACAAGTTCACCCTTGTGGGTTTTTTCCTTGATGTCTTTCTTTTTTTCCTCTCAGCTTATTGAGGTATAGTTGACATATAAAAATTGTATCTATTTAAGGTGTACAATGTAATGATTTGATATTTGTATACACAGTGTAATGATCACCAATCAAATTAACACACCTTTCACTACACATGGTTGCCCTGTATGTGTGTGGTGAGAATACTAAGAACAACTCTTAGAAAATTGTAAGAGAGTAATATTAATTATAGTCACTATGCTGTTTGTTAGATCTCCAGAACTTACTCATAACTGAAAGTTTGTACCCTTTGACCAGCATCTCCCCATTTCCCTCACACTCCAGCCTCTGGCAACCACTGTTCTACTCTCTGCTTCTGTGGATTTGACTCTTAGTCCACATATAAGTGAGATCATACAATATTTGTCTTGCTGTGCCTGGCTTATTTCACTTATTATAATGTCCTCCAGGTTCATCCACATTGTTGCAAATAGCAGGCTTTCCTTCTTTTTTTATGGCTAAATAATATTCCATGGTATATATATATCACATTTTCTTTATCCATTCATCCCTTGATAGACACTTAGGTTGATTCTGTATCTTGGCTATCGTGAATAGTGCTGCAGTGAACATGGGAGTGCAGGTATCTTTTCGAGATACTGATTTCATTTTGGCCGTATACCCAGAAGTGGGATTGCTGGATCATATGGTAGTTCCCATTTTAATATTTTGAGGAACCTCCATCTGTTTCCCATAATAGCTGTACCAATTATCTTTTGGCTTATTTTTAAAAACAGCTTTATTGAGATATAATTTACATATCATTAAATTTACTCATTTTAAGAGTATAATTCAGTGATTTCTTCGTAAATTCAGAAAATCATGCAACATCTCCCCAGTCTAATTTTACAATGTTTCCATCACCCAGAAAAGAAACCTCGTGTCCATTTGCAGTCACTTCCCCTTCCCACACCCAGCCTCAGGCAACGACTAATCCACTTAAAAAATTTATGCATAATAATTATACATATTTATGGAATATACTTGATATTTTGATGCATACAATGAATAATGATCAAATCAGGGTAATTAGGATATCCATCACCTCAAACATTAAGAATTTCTTTGTATAGAGAACATCCCAAATCTTATAGATATTTTGAAATATAGCGTAAATTAACGATAACTATAGACCCCCTACTGTGCTGTTGAACATTAGACTTATTTGGCTGGGCGCGGTGGCTCACGCCTGTAATCCCAGCCGAGGCTGAGGCGGGCGGATCATGAGGTCAGGAGATTGAGACCATCCTGGCTAACACGGTGAAATCCTGTCTCTACTAAAAAAAATGCAAAAAATTAGCCGGGCGTGGTGGCGGGTGCCTGTAGTCCCAGCTACTCGGGAGGCTGAGGCAGGAGAATCGCCTGAACCTGGGAAGCGGAGGTTGCAGTGAGGCAAGATCACGCCATTGCACTCTAGCCTGGGCAACAAGGGCAAAACTCCGTCTCAAAAAAAGAAGAACTGTTTGTTGAAATGAGTTGAATTGAATTGTCATATTTAAAAACCTTCAAAAGTCAGCCAGGCACGGTGGCTCACGCCTGTAATCCCAGCACTTTGGGAGGCCAAGGTGGGCGGATCCCTTGAGGTCAGGAGTTTGAGACCAGCCTGGCCATCATGATGAATCCCCTGTCTCGATAAAAATACAAAAGTTAGCCAGACGTGGTGATGGGCACCTGTAATCACAGCTACTTGGGAGGCTGAGACAGGAGAATCACTTGAACCCAGGAGGTAGAGGTTCCAGTGAGCTGAGATTGTGCCACTGCACTCCAGCCTGGGCGACAGAGTGAGACTCTGTCTTAAAAACAAATAAACAAACACCTTCAAAAACCATACCTTATTTTATCCTTTATCCTGTGCATCCTTGGGTTCTCAAACTCCTGCTGTAGTGTTCGTGAGTGACACAGTGATGACTTCTTTGTCTTACATTTTTAGTATCTTTATTTAGGTATCTAAATATTTAGATATTTATTAAAAGATACTAACACTTATTAAAAAGTATTGTTACTTTATTTTTATGCTTCCTTGCATCTTTAAAATACTGATGATCTTTAGACACTTAGATATTTAAATTTTACTTTTAAAATATAAAAAATAGGCTGGGCGTGGTGGCTCACGCCTGTAATCCCAGCACTTTGGGAGGCCGAGCCGGGTGGATCACAAGGTCAGGAGTTCAAGACCAGCCTGGCCAAGATAGTGAAACCCCGTCTCTACTAAAAATACAAAAATCAGCTGGGCGTGGTGGCGGGTGCCTGTAATTCCAGCTACTCAGGAGGGCGAGGCAGAGAATTGCTTGAACTTGGGAGGCGGAGGTTGCAGTGAGCCGAGATCATGCCACTGCACTCCAGCCTGGGAGACAGAGCGAGACTCCATCTCAAAAAAAAAAAAAAGAAAAGAAAAATAGACATTGTTTGATACTCTCATAAATATGTTGGATGTTTTCAGAGATAGCATGTGGTCTCAGATGAAGATCTAATTGTATATATACTTGAGTGTGTTTACACTTACAGTTTGAAAAGATTTTTAATGCCATTCTTAAAAACCTTTAAAGCAGAATTGTTCATGTATTTTCTACCTAGCAGAAATCTATTGCTGTAATATTTTCCATCCATTACAGACATGGCATAGCCATAATTTTTGTTTCAAATGACTTTCAAAGGGAGTCTGAGGGATGATACCACTCAGTTAAATTGCTTATTTAATTACAGTTGACCCTCTGTATCTGAAGGTTCTGCATCCACAGATTCAGCCAACAGCAGATTAAAAATATTTTTAAAAACTCAAAAGATAAAAATAATATAAAAAAATAGTAAAACTATTTACATAGCATTTATGTTATATTAATTATTATAAGTAATCTAGAGGTGATTTGAAGTGTACAGGAGGATGTTGTATGTTATATCCAAATACTTCACCATTTTGTGTCAGGGACTTGAGCATCCACAGATTTTGGTATCCTCAGGGGTTCTGGAACCAACCTCTCCCTCCCTGGCCCCCTGCCTCCTATATGGTGGGATGACTGGATGTGGTCCCCAAACGCATCTACGTATTACAGATGTTTCTATTTTGCTTATCTTTTTCTTTCAGTCTCTCATGATGGTTTTTTACTTTTCCTATTCATTGGTTGGGGTTTACCTCTCAGTTTTCAAGGAATTAAAACACTAGGAGCACCCCGTTTGGCTTTTCTCTTCCTCATGCTGGGAGCATTCGTTGTTTGGTTTTTGCCCACACCAATCTGCAACAGAGGCATATGAGTCTGTCTGGAAGCCAGCATTTTCTGTCCGTGGTGTCCCAGAGTTAGATGGGAAAGGAGTCTTGGAGAGGCTGGAGTCTTGCGCTTGACTTTGGACACCCTCTACTTTATCTTCCTGTTTCCAGTGGAGCCCCCTCCACCTCTTCCACCAGTTATGCTTGGGGTCCCTGCATCCAGAGTTCCTCTAATTCCATGGCCCTAACCTGTCTACAGATGAGAACCACCTGGGGAAATTGTGAAACTGCTGACAACCAGCCACACCTCATACCAATCAAACTTCAAATCAGAAACTCTGGTGGGACTCTTGAGTGTTTTAAAGCTCTCCAGGTGAGTCCAGTGTGCAGCTGAGCAGAGGAATCATTGCTCAGATTGCTCCTCCTGTGACCGAGCCCGCACTACATCTGTGACTTCTCTGCTGCCCTTTTACTCTTGCCTAACCGCTCCCCGCAACCGCAGCTACTTTGCTGTACCCTCTTTAATTATGCGTCCATCCTGAGGTATGTGCACCTGCTGCTCTCTGTCTGGAGGGCTGTTTCCCTTGTCCTGTGCATCACTCACTTCTCCTTCCTTTTAGATCTCTGCTCTGTAGCAAAAACTGCCCCACGCTTCCTACCCACCGGCCTGCTTCCTCTTGCGCCATAGCAGTCATGACATCTGAGCTAACACAGATCCTCCTGCTTGTGGTTCCCCAATAGAATGTAAGTTCCATGAGGGCAGGACTAAGCTTTGTTCCCTTGGAGATTTCTGGGCATCTAGAACTGAGCCTGGCATCCAGGAATTGCTTGCCCGATTATCAGTTGAATGCATTTCTCTAGAGATTTTCTGCTGGTGTTGGAAGGAGTGTTGGTTATGTGATTTATTGTGTTGGACAGGAGATGAGGGGGAGTGACTAACTGCTCTTTCTGAGATTTTTCAGCCCTACCTCTGCCTCCTTTGCCTGAGCCTTTATTTTGGGCTGTTTTTCTAAGGTTCACATTACTAGGGCTGCCAAGTCAGTTTTGGCCACTGTCATATCTTCTCTTTGTCCTTACAGATTTATGCTTCCAGATATATATATCTTTAATACTTATTTGAGTATTTGGGAGGAAGTACAGGTAACATTTGTATTCCATCCACTCTGTTTAACCAGAAGCTGGGCCCTTCATTACTTCCTCCTCAGTTCACACACAGATTAATTTCTTCCATGAATTTATTGAATACTGACTATGTGCCAGACACTAAGAATAAAATATACAGTTCCTGCTCTCACTGAGGTTAGTAAACGGTGAATTTGGATGAAAAGAATCAGGAGTTCTTTTTATTATTCTTGCAATATTTCTGTAAGTTTGAAATTATTTAAAAATAAACATTTTCGGGCCAGGGGAGGTGGCTCACGCTTGTAATCCCAGCACTTTGGGAGGCCAAGGTGGGCGGATCATGAGGTCAGGAGATCGAGACTATCCTGGCCAACATAGCGAAACCCCGTCTCTACGAAAATACAAAAAAATTAGCCAGGCGTGGTGGTGTGCACCTGTAGTCCCAGCTACTCAGGAGGCTGAGGCAGGGGACTCGCTTGAACTCGGGAGGTGGAGGTTGCAGTGAGCTGAGATTGCGCGACTGCACTCCAGCCTGGTGACAGAGCGAGACTCCATTTCAAAAAAAAACCAAAACAAAACATTTTCTAAGAGTGCACCAAGCAGACCCACAAAATCATGAAGAGCTCCTGTGCCATGCCAGAGATCCTGAAGGCTCTGTGAACCATTAAAGGTTTTAAGCAGGGGAGTACTATAAATTTTGGAATTGAGAAAAATTAACTCTGAGTAGAAACTAGGATGGGTTCAGGGCATCAAGACTGGAGGAAGGCATACCAGGTAGGAGGCTTTGCAATAATCCAGAAATGATGAAGGCCTCAGATGAGACACTTACGGTGGAGAAAAGCAGCTTTTCCCATAATGCCCATTTTACCAGATTCTCTTGGAGGTAAAGCTGTTTCTGTGGTGACATAACCAGCCATTATTAAGGGAAGTGGGCTTGTTCTTATAAGCGAAATGTCTCTTGTGGTTGTACCCAGAGACAAAGTAGTAGGATCTATGACAAGATTGACATTGCAATAAATAAAGAGACCCACTAGAAAGTAGCTTGGGTTATTGCCATTCAGGGAACAGCTCTGTGTGATTACAGACATTGCTCAGAACTGAATTCATCTGGTCTGGTGGATGCAATGCTGGAATCTGTACTAATAAATTTTTTGTAGTTATCTCACCCATAAATTTTCTATTTCATTGGATAGCCTGTGCTCATTGCTGTGGAGAGTCCGTGCCTGGTATGCCAAGCTAACATGTACCTTAAGGACTTTCTATATATCTGCTTTAATGGAAAGGCATTTCTATCATTTTTACTTCAAGGTTTTCTCTTTTTACAAAAGAACTTTTGGTGGGTTTTTTTTTTTTCGAGACTGAGTCTCACTCTGTCGCCCAGGCTGGAGTGCAGGAGCGCGATCTCGGCTCACTGCAAGTTCCGCCTCCCGAGTTCATGCCATTCTCCTGCCTCAGCCTCCCGAGTAGCTGGGACTACAGGCGCCGGCCACCACGCCCGGCTAATTTTTTGTATTTTTAATAGAGACGGGGTTTCACCATGTTAGCCAGGATGGTCTTCATCTCCTGACCTCGTGATCCACCCGCCTCGGCCTCCCAAAGTGCTGGGATTACAGGCGTGAGCCGTGCCTGGCCTGGTTGAGTGTTTTTAAAAAAATTTATGTTGATTTCCATTCCACACGCAGGTATTGTTCTTTGTGCTTAACATGGAAACTTTGTCCAGAGAAACTTGTCTGGAGAAGTCCACTTTCCTCCTACAATTTAGCAGGTAATTAAGGAGAACTGTGAAATTGATCAATTCACTGGACACGTTATAGTTGCCGGCACTGAACTAGGTCTTGTGGGTTTCTCTGATCTGCTCAGGGACAGGGATCATGGCCTAATTAATTTCTATATTCTTCTTCAGTTACCACAGTATAGTTGCTTGTTTCATAAATGTTTGTTGAATTGAGCAGGGGATGTGAGAGAAGTAAAGGCGTTGTTCAGTGACCACATTCAGACTCGTGTGGGTCTTCTGGGCAACTTTATTCAGTAGGTTCCTGTTGGATGTTGGGAAAATATAGTACTATCAGTCTTACTTGAAGAGTTGAGACAAATGAATTAATCAAAAACATTTTTAAAAATTGTGACTAGGCCAGGTGTGGTGGTTCATGCGTGTAATCCTGGCCCTTTATGAGGCTGAGGAGAAAGAATCACTTGAGCCCAGGAGTTCGAGACCAGACAGGGCAACATAGCAAGACCCTGTTTCTAAAAATAAAGAAGTATATAAAATAAATTGTGATTAAAGAAAAACATATAATTTACCATGGTAACAACTTTTTTTTTTTTTTTTTTTTTTTTTTAAAGACGGAGTCTTGCTCTGTCACCCAGGCTGGAGTGCAGTAGTAGTCTTAAGTCACAGCAATCTCTGCCTCCTGAGTTCAAGTGACTCTTCTGCCGCAGCTTCCCAAGTAGCTGGGATTATAGGCGTGCGCCACCACACCTAGCTAATTTTTTGTATTTTAGTTTCACCATGTTGGCCAGGCTAGTCTCAAACTCCTGACCTCAAGTGATCCACCCGCCTTGGCCTTCCAAAGTGTTGGGATTACAGGCGTGTGCCCAGCCTATTGTAACAATTTTTAATTGTACAGTTCCATAGGGTTAAGTCTAGAATTTGTTCATCTTGCATATCAGAAACTCTGTATTATACACTATCTCCCTTGTTTGCCCTCCCTCCCAGCCCCTGACAGCCTTCATTGTACTTTCTATTTTTATGAATTTGACTACTTTAGATGCTTCATATAAATGGAATAATATAGTATTTGTCTTTTAGTGACTGGCTTATTTCACTTGGTAATAATGTCCTCAAGGTTCATCCATGTTGTAGCATGTGACAGGATTTCCTTCCTTTTGAAGGCTGAATAATGTTCCATAGTGTATATATACCACATTTTGTTTATCCATTCAACAGACACTTGGGTTGCCCCTACCTCTTGGCTATTGTGAATTGTGCTCCTATGAACATGAGTAGCCAAATACCTCTTCAAGATCCTGCTTCCAACTCTTTTGGATAAATATCCAGAAGCAGGATTGCTGGATCATATGGTAGCTCTATTTTGGATTTCTTGAGGAACTTCCTTACTGTTTTCTATAGCAGTTGCACCATTTTACAGCCCCAGTAACAGTGCACTTTCTTTATGTTCTTGCCAACATTCACTTTTATTTTTCTGTTAAAAAATGTGTTACGGTGTTGAATCTACATTCTGTATGAATGTTAAAGGTAAAACAGAAGGCTCCAAATAAATCATGATTTTTGTGGCAGATCCTCTAATGAAAGGAATATAGAACTTTTGATAAGTCCTGAATGATAAAAGAAATCCTCAGGATATTGTAATTGAGAAGAATTCATGCACATATATAGAGATAAAAAAACTTTGGCTGGGCACGGTGGCTCACGCCTGTAATCCCAGCACTTTGGGAGGCTGAGGTGGGTGGATCATGAAGTCAGGAGATCGAGACCATCCTGGCTAACACTGTGAAACCCCGTCTCTACTAAAAATACAAAAATATTAGCCGGGCATGGTGGCGGGTGCCTGTAGTCCCAGCTACTTGGGAGGCTGAGGCAGGAGAATGGCGTGAATCCGGGGGGCGGAGCTTGCAGTGAGCAGAGATCGCACCACTGCACTCCAGCCTGGGCAACAGAGCGAGACTCCATCTCAAAAGAAAAGAAAAAAAAAAGATAAAAAACTTCCTCTCAAAGCGGCATGTTACCAAGTACAACTTCATTTAAATACTTAGTACCACGGTTGTTGAGTAGACAGACGTCTTGAATTATGTCAATAATGTAAGACTTTCTGAAAGTGATACATTTTGAATGGGAGCTTGAAGGGAGATGGTGTGAACTGACAGCAAGAGGAGTGGGCATTAATATATAAAAAAATGTGATCTTAAAATTATACAAACATAGAATTTGACAACAGGAGCTAAGATTCAATGCTTTTTCTTCTCTATTTAGTAATAGCTGTAATTGGAAATAGTAACTGAGTTTATTTAATGAGGACAGATTAATTTTTTTGTGATTTTCATTGAGATTTGACAGTAAGTCTTCAAGTGCTGTAACGATTTGTGTCACACAATCCCTAGAAAGGATTCAAAGCTTACTTGATAAACACCATTTTGTTATCTAACCTCCTAGGACTGAGTGTTTTTGTTGTTTGTAATTTAGGGCAGGCTGTCCCTTTATTTTCTTTGTTGTTGACATGGCTACATGTACAAAAGAACACTTACTATCAAGAAAGCAAACACTGGAAAGCTGAAGTGTGTAAATAGCTAACAATGTGTTCTACTTGTACAAGTATTGCCTATCCTCTGCAAATCTAAGTCAACCTTCAAGCAATGACGTTTTCCATATGAATGAGGAGTGTAAGACTATTGTCCCATAAGTTCTATTTTTTTTTGTTTTTAATAGATTTTCTTCTTTCATAGGATATGTCTTAAGGCTTGTCCATCTTTAGTTTTTATTTCCCTTATTTTGCTGGTAATTTAAATTATTCTCACTTTGTATTTTAATTAACTTTTGCTTAAAAGTTTATTTTTGTTTTTAATGTAAATTGTGCGGTTCCCAAACTGAAACTAGAACAACCAGACAAGATATAAGTTATACTGTGACAGGATAATAGCAGTTTACATACTTGGACCAGACAGCTGGTGGTAGTTTCTGTCACATGTGACCATATTCTTTGATTGGTAGGTTTCAGTTGCGTGTGTCAGGAGGAAAGTCTTACTGTTCGTTTAACCTTAAATAGTTGGATGTTGGAAAATTAATATTTAGAAATAGATAAATGATTCTTTGAATGGTACAGTGTCAGAAGCAAAACAAAAAAAAAACAGTTTCAGTTTAGCTATGTGAATTTAATCTAATAACAAATTTTCAGCAAAAGATTTTACTCAAGTACCTTCCAAAGTGAGTTCCTTGGAATACCAGTTTTATAGGGTATTAGTAAACATTCTGTGAAGAAAGGGTGTTAACAGTCACATGGGTTGAGAAACCCTAGATTAAACAGTAGAAATCAGATTTCTTAACTCTGGGGCTTCTCAAAGCCTTTAATGTTTGAATGTTCATTGTGAATTGATTAGGAATGAGGGATAACCTGTAGTGTTTCTGAAACATTTGTAGAATTCTTTTTTCTTCGAGCATCTTGTAGAACTAATACTCTGTAAAGAAACCGTGGAACAATGGATTAGGAAGCATTTAGAGCAAGAGGTTTGTTGGAAGTTACAGGAGGTATGTATGGTTCAGATGAGGTTGAATCCCTATTCAGCCTAAGCGATAAGAATTTCATATCGTGGCTGGGTGTGGTGGCTCACATCTGTAATCCCAGCACTTTGGGAGGCCAAAGTGGGTGGATCACGTGGTCAAGAGTTTGAGACCAGCCTGGCCAACATGGTGAAACCCCATCTCTACTAAAAATACAAAAATTATCTGGGCGTGGTGTCAGGTGCCTGTTGTCCCAGCTACTCGGGAGGCTGAGGCAGGAGAATCGCTTGAACCCGAGAGGCGGAGGTTGCAGTGAGCTGAGATCGTGCCATTGCACTCCAGCCTGGGCAACAGAGCGAGACTCTGTCTCAAAAAAAAAAAGGAATTTCACATCTTGCAAAGACATTTCAACTAAACTTTATGTGTGCAACCTGCTTCCCAGTTTTATAGGTATGACCGGCATACTTTCATAGGTACTTGGCGACGCAGTACTGGGGATGAGCTGGCCTGCTAACTAGTAATTCATAATATTGTATTTGCACTTCACAACTTAGGGAAGAGCTGAAAGGTTGAGAAGAGGAAAAAGCAAATTTGTTTTATTGAAATATTTGGCATTACTCTATTTTGGAAAGTTAATAGCTGCCTTAATGATTTTTTAAGATTGTTAGAAGGAAACTGAGCTGCAGACTTACATTACTTGTTCAGTCCAAATTACACTTTCCCCATCTGTTTAACAAAAAATGCGTCATAGCTTAGGCTGCTATAACAAAATACTTAAACTGGGTGGCTTAAATGACAAAATTTATTTCTCATAATTCTGCAGGCTGGGAGGTTCAAGATGAAGGCACCGGCAGATTCCTCCTGCTGAGGGCCTGCTTCATGGTTCCTCGAGAGTATCTTTTTGCTCTGTCTTTACCTGGTAGAGAAAGGAAGCAAGCTCTCTCAGAACTAGTAGAAGGAATGTAAATATACTTAACACTACTGAACTGTAAACTTAAAAATGGTTGAGATGGTAAATTTAACGTTGTATGTTTTCTACCACAATAGAAAAAGTAAAAAGAGGGATATTAATTTCATTCATGAGGGCTTCTCCCTCATGACTTCTTCTAATCCTAACTACTTCCCGATGGCCCCATCTCCTAAGACCATTACATTAGGGGGTAGTGTTTCAACAAATGAGTTTTGGGGGAACACAAGCATTCAGTCTATAACAGAAGGCTTATAGAATTTTAGAGCTGTAGCAACGTTTAGCAATCATCCTATTTTTAAGATGAGAAAGCTAAACACGAGGGATAGTATGTAACTTGCTTTAATTCACAGCTATTTTGAAAGCAGGGTTTAGATTAGAATCCAGATCTCCTGGTTCGTAGTTTGATAATTTCCACTGCACTTTGCAACCCTCTATTGTGGCAGTGAGTTGTCTTTCTCTGTTGCTCATTATCTGTCTCTCTGTAAATATATTTTATTGTTTCTTTAGATTTTACCTCTGTAGGGGATTTTGCCTTTAGCATATTTTCTTCAGTTGTACGTGTTACTCCGTAAGTAACAAGCGATACTGATTTCTAGCCTATGCTCCTGTCTCCTAAAATGGTTCCATTTGATACTCTGGCAGTTTATGAATTGTAATTAATTAATGAAATTGGTTTAAATACTATTGAACACATTGTAAATTCAGTGACAATTTGTATAGAAGTGAAGAAGAGGGAAGACTGAGGTTCTTCCTCCCTCCCTGTGGTCTCAAGGCTTTAGTGACTGGTAGAATGGCAGTGCCGTTGAAAGAAATAGGTGTGGCCGGGCGTGGTGGCTCATGCCTGTAATCCCAGCACTTTGGGAGGCTGAAGCGGGCGAATCACGAAGTCAGGAGTTCGAGACCAGCCTGGCCAACATGGTGAAACCCTGTCTCTACTAAAAATACCAAAAATTAGCCGGGCGTAATGGTGGGCACCTGTAATCCCAGCTTCTTTGGAGGCTGAGACAGGAGAATTACTTGAACTCAGAAGGCAGAGGTTGCAGTGAGCCGAGATGGCGCCATTGCATTCCAGCCTCGGCAACAAGAGTGAAACTCTGCCCCCCGCCAATCCCCCACAAAAAAAAAGGAAGAAAGAAATAGGTGTATCTGATCCTGTCGGTTTGGTAGGGAGCATGATGTTTGTGGTTAGACATCTGGAGTTTTTAAATTTATAACTTTATCATTTATTCTGGTTACATAACTAATGCATTCTCTGTTTTAAAAATTTGACCAGTTTGGCATTTTGATGAATAAGGTGCTGCTAAGAGGTTAGGTATGAATGTCCAGCAAGTAGTTGAGATTTGTAGTTCTTTGTGTATTCTAGAATGAGTTGTTAATTTTTGGTTGGTTACATGTATGCAAATATTTTTCTCCCAGTCAATGGCCTGTTTTTTACTTTGTCTGTGGTGTCTGTTGTTGAACATAGGTTTTAAATTTTATTTTTTATTTTTATTTTTATTTTTTTCAAGACGGAGTCTTGCTCTGTCACCCAGGCTGGAGTGCAGTGGCGCGATCTCGGCTCACTGCAAGCTCCGCCTCCTGGGTTCACGCCATTCTCCTGCCTCAGCCTCCCTAGTAGCTGGTACTACAGGTGCCCACCACCACGCCCGGCTAATTTTTTGTATTTTTAGTAGAGACGGGGTTTCACCGTGTTAGCCAGGATGGTCTCGATCTCCTGACCTCGTGATCCGCCCACCTCGGCCTCCCAAAGTAATGGGATTACAGGCGTGAGCCACCGCGACTGGCCAGGTTTTAAATTTTATAGTAATCATATTTGTCCACATTTCCCTTTATTATTTCAGACCTGTTGCTCCAAGAAATCTTTCTTTCCCCCTAAGATATTATGATTATGATTCCTTTATTTTAAATAGTTTATGATTTTATGTTATGATTATTATTCCTTTATTTTAAATGGTTGATTTTTCATATTTAGTACTTTAATTGGAATTCTTTTTCTCTTTCTTTTTTTTTTTTTTTTTTTTTTTTTTGGTCAAGTAGGGATTTGTATTAGTTCAGGCTGCTGTAAATACCATATACTGGATGACTTAAACAACAGAAATTTATTTTCTCACAGTTCTGGAGACTGGAAGTCTATGATCAAGGTACCAGAAGGGTTGTTGTCTGGTGAGAGCTCTCTCATTTGGTTTGCAGACAGCTTACATTCTCCCTGTGCTCACAGGGCAGAAATAGTGAGGAAACTCTCTGGTGTCTTTTCTTATAAGGCCATTAATCCCATTGTGAAGGCCCTGTCCTCATGACTTGGTCTAAATCTGATTACCTCCCAAAGGCCCCATGTCTAAATACTATCACATTGGGGGGTTAGGGCTTCAACATATAAATTTTGGGGGGATACCATTTAGTCCGTAGAAGGATTTATTTTTTTTTTTTGAGATGGAGTCTCGCTCTGTCGCCCAGGCTGGAGTGCAGTGGCGTGATCTCGGCTCACTGCAAGCTCCGCCTCCCAGGTTCATGCCGTTCTCCTGCCTCAGCCTCCCGAGTAGCTGGGCCTACAGGCGCCTGCCACCACGCCCGGCTAATTTTTTGTATTTTTAGTAGAGATGGGTTTCACCGTGTTAGCCAGGATGGTCTCAATCTCCTGACCTCATGATCCGCCCGCCTCGGCCTCCCAAAGTGCTGGGATTACAGGCGTGAGCCACCGTGCCCGGCCCTGATTTAATTTTTAAAATGTTGCTAACAGTTGCCCCAGCATCTAATTGAATCAGCTGTCTTTTTCCCACTGATTTACAATGATAGAGTGTCTGTTTTTGGTCTTTTTTTTTTTTTTTTTTTGAGTTGAAGTCTCGCTCTGTCGCCCAGGCTGAAGGGCAGTGGCGCGATCTCGGCTCACTGCAAGCACCGCCTCCTGGGTTCACGCCATTCTCCTGCCTCAGCCTCCCGAGTGGCTGGGACTACAGGCGCCCGCCACCATGCCCGGCTAATTTTTTGCATTTTTAGTAGAGATGGGGTTTCACTGTGTTAGCCAGGATGGTCTCGATCTCCTGACCTCGTGATCCGCCCGCCTCGGCCTCCCAAAGTGTTGGGATTACAGGCGTGAGCCACTGCGCCTGGCCCTGTTTTTGGTCTTAATTTTGATCACTGCTTTGTCTTTAATTCTACCAATAGTACGGTCTTAATTATTAAAGTTATACAATAAATCTTAATATCTGAGATGGTAAAACTCCTAATTTGTTATTCTTCAAAATTGTCTTGGGTATTAGTGGCCCTTTCTTCTCTCATGTGAATTTTAGGAGAAGTTGATTAAATCACTCATGCACACACCACAGACACACACAAAACAAGACAAAAGTCCCCAAATGTATAGATTTTGTTTGTATTTACATTGTTATGAATGATCTGGGGAGAACTGACTTCTTTACAATATTGTGTTTTCTCAGCCATGATCATGGCAAATTTCCCCATTTATTTATTCTGTTCTTTTATATTGTAGAATAATATGTTGTTATTGTTTCCATGAGTCTTTGACATATTTTATTATATTCTCAGGTACTTTATAGTTTTTTTGGTATAACGCAAGGATTGCTTATCAATTATGCTTTCTAGTCATCAGAGGAACACATCTGATCCAGTAACCTTAGTGAACTCTCATATTAATCCTTGCAGTTTGTCTGCAGATGCTTTTGCATTTTTCCATGTAGTCTGCTGTGTTGTCTGTATGCAGAGTTAGTTTTGTTTCTCCCTTTCTACTACTGATCTTTTTCTTATCGATTTTGCATGATGCTGAATAGAGGCAGTGATAGAGGCCATCCTTGTTGTTTTTTTTTTCTTTAGTGGGAATGCCTTTAAAATCTCACCATGATATGTAATGTTTGCTGTTGGTTTTTATAGCTGTTACCAGTTTAAGAAAGTTCCCTTCCATTCGTATTTTTGCTTTTTTAAATCTTGAAATCGATTCATTTTATGATTGTTTTCTGGAAATTAAAAGGTTATTCTTTGGTGTATTTCTTGCCTTAAGTACACTATTACAAAACTAAATGAATGAGCCTATATGTAACTGAGGGTAACTTTAAAAAATTAAAATAATAAAGGAGTCCTCTCGGTCTTAAACATTTATAATCCAGTATAGAAAATTTGGAAAATAGTCAAAGCACATTAAAAGAAGTAAAAATTAGTCATAATCACCCTATTTAAGATGTTTTCTTCTGTTGATACCTTATGAAGTATAGAGATAGGCTGCCTCAATCTCTACTTTCCGCTAGGTTACCACTTAAACAATTCATACACATTGCTGCTACCTTTTTTCTCTTGCACTTTCCATGTAGTCAGCATACAAAAAGAAAGTAGACTAATGAAATATTTATCTATACACATATATAACCTTTATAGAAATCTCCAAGTGGGATCATGCCATATATATATACACACACATATATATACACATATATATACTCACACACATATATACATATATATACACATATATACACAAATATATATAGCAGCTTTTCTAATGCAACAATATTTAATTGACATTTTCTGAGTTCAAAAAAATGCTACTTAGATCCTTATGTGAATTACAAACCACATTACAAACATTCTCCAGTTTGGGACTATTGCAATAATTGTGAATACACATGTATATACATCTTCAACTACTTGTGCTAGCTAGCATTTTTGTGTGATAGAGTCCTAGAAAAAGGCCTGAGATGCCTCGAATTTTCCACGTCTTGAAAATCATTTTTATGACGACCTGTGGAAAGAGATGTTTTCAATTAAGTGTCTCAGGATTTTCAGTTTGTATATTGTGGTTCAAAATAGGAGAAAGTGGAGCCATCAGAATACATTAGTCATGTCTACACATCAGTCCCATGGACTCATAGCACTTGGATGGATCGTTCCACCCCGGGAAAGAGCCTTAGTGATCATCTGTTTGGATCCTTCTTTTCATAGATGAATAAGCTGAAAATCTGGAAGATTTTCAAAGTAAATAATACTTGAGACTTATAATATGCCAGGCAGTGTGCTATCTCCTTTACTTACATCGTTTCATTTAATTCTTGAAGTAGGAATTCTCATTTACCCTTCACAGTTGAGGAAACAGGTTAGAATTTAGGCAGACAACTTCCTCAAGGTCACACAATTGGAAAGTGATAGAGCTCAGGTTTGGAGACATATCTACCTGATTCTGTAGCCCATATACTTTTCACTAAGTTACTTCCATTCTGAGAGAGCGTAACCAGGATACAAGGTAAATACATGATACTCAGATTGTTTCTGTAATGCTTTGATTTCACGACGTGAAGAGTTAAACATAGTCCTCATCTACCACTTAGTCATCCTTCCTAGCAAGGACATTAGAGTGCTGCAGAGACTCCACTTCACAGAGTTTGCAGTGGAGGAAACTAGCCCTTATGTTTGTGTGGCTCAGGATAGCTGTCCAAGGTGAGATAGATCAGAATAAAAACACAAAACAAATGAGAAATTAACTTGGAAATAGATAACACTTTGTGTGATATTTCCCCTCCTCCCTTGCAAATTCTTTTCTCTTCTTTTGGTTGCTAGAAGAATTGCTTGGTCTCTAATTGCTGAAGATTTTGTTTTTTGAGACTAGGTTTCATTGTGTCACTCAGATTGGAGTACAGTGGCATATTCATAGCTTACTGCAGCCTCAAACTCCTGGGCTCAAGGAGTCCCCCACCTCAGCCTCCTGAGTAGCTGGGACTATGGATATGGCTAATTTTTTTTTTTTTTTGTAGAGATGGGGTCTTGCTATGTTGCCTAGGCTGGTCTTGAACTCCTGGCTTCAAGCCATCCTCCTGCCTTGACTTCCCAAATGCTAGAATTACAGGCATGAGCCACCACACCTGGTCCTGAAGATCTTTTTAATCATAATATCTTAATTTGAGTATATAATAGATTGAGCCTCAGCAATGAGAACAGAGGGATTTCTTGAGCAAAGAAAATTCCTGTTTCAAACCAGTCGTTTTTGTATGTGTCTGTGTGTGAGACAGAGTCTCATTCCATCACCCAAACCAGAGTGCAGTGGTGCAATCTTGGCTCACTGCAACCTCTGCCTCCCCAGTTCAAGCAATTCTTGTGCCTCAGCCACCTGAGTAGCTGGGATTACAGGTGTGTGTCACCACTCCTGGCTAATTTTTGTATTTTTAGCAGAGACAGGGTTTTGCCATGTTGGCCAGGCTGGTCTTGAACTCCCGGCCTCAGGTGATCTGCCTGCCTCATCCTCCCAAAGTGCTGGGATTATAGGCATGTGCCACTGCACCCGGCTGAGACTATTTTTCTAACTCAGTTTGTACAGGCCCTAGCATGGTGCGTGGGTATGAGAGAAAAAGAGACTGGAGCTCCAATGGAGGATGCCTCAGTTCTCTCTCTCTCTCTCTCTCTCTCTCTCTCTCTCTCTCTCTCTCTCTCTCTCTCTCTGTGTGTGTGTGTGTGTGTGTGTGTGTGTGTGTGATTGTTGGAGGCCAGGCCTGGCTTACTTCCTGAGCCTAATTCAATTGGAGTGTTTCCATAGAGAGGGGGAGATACCATCTAGTCCAGTTTAGCATCCACATTCATTTCTCTCCATCTCCATATGGAGCTGAACAGATCACTCAGGTCTAACCAAGTTCCCTGAGAGTTTTACAACCTTGTTACTGCTTTGGAAAGACCATTATACTCCAGCTTTGTGTAGAACAGAGAGAGACAAGGGCTGTCTTTTGAATATATTCCACTCTTATCTAACGACACAGAGTTGTCGTAACCTACCTATAATAATAACCTTTGTGATACTGGAGCTGCCAGCGTGTGAGGAGGGACATTCTTTCAGGTGTCCCTTCATCTTCATCTCTGATTAGTATATTCTGTTTGTAAAGGCAATGCTTGAGCCAGTAGCTTTCAAACATTTTTGAATGGGATCCAAATAGGAAATACAGTTTGTTTTGCTACCCTTCTCCCACATATACCAGAAACAAAAGATTCATGAAATAAATCTTGCATTTACTGCATGCAGTGTTGTGTTCTATTATTTATTTCATCTAAAAATGCTGACACCCACTATATTGATTTAACAAACCACTGATGTGTCAAGATCTACAATTTTTATTTATTTATTTATTTATTTATTTGTTTGTTTATTTTGTGATGGAGTCTTGCTCTTGTCACCCAGGCTGGAGTGCAATGGCACGATCTCGGCTCACTGCAACCTCCATCTCTAGGGTTCAAGCAATTCTCCTGCCTCAGCCTCCTGAGTAGCTGGGATTACAGGCGCCGGCCACCACACCTAGCTAATTTTTGTATTTTTAGTAGAGACAGGGTTTCATCATGTTGGCTAGGCTGGTCTTGAACTCCTGACCTCATGATCCCTCCACCTCAGCCTTCCAAAGTGCTGGGATTACAGGCGTGAGCCACCGCGCCCAGCCCAGACCTACAATTTAAAAGTAACGCTGGCTTAAGGAGACCATTTCTTATTCTTCTTCATAACTGTGTATTATTCTTGTTACAGTTTAACTTCCTCATAGAGTTAATCTTGCAAAAACGTGTACCTAGTAATGTCAGTGTACATAGAGTTGTCCTGGGAACTATGTCTGTCTTCATGGCACTGTCCACGGAGTACACACTTAGAACTGACAAGATCACTGTATGACTTGTTAACATGTGAATCACTGGTGGACATGGAGACTCTTGCTGTTTTGTTGATTTGGAAATGGTAGTTCTGAACTTGCCAAATTGGGTATATGTTATTTAGTATAAGTTACAAAAAAAGACCAAAGGTTTTCAGAATGTGTGTTTATTCTTCAAGGTTCTGCTCATTTCTTTTAGCATTGTAGTTTGATTGTAGTTTCTGATGCTGCTCTTAGTGGTCTGCAATCTTCACCTCATAAGATGCTCTAAATTTTCTGACTTTTACATGCTGGAAGTCTGTTCAAACCAGCCTTATAGAATGCTGGATAATACTGCTTATTGTGATTTACTTCCCTGGAGATCAAGCTCATCTTAGAATCAAGCCTTTCCACATGAATGTGAGGATTCTGGATGCTTTATTCTTTCTCTCATCTCTGTCTCTCTTCCATCAGGGGGATGGTTTTGACTGATGAGCTATTTTTCCCAATTGCAAATCAACTATACTTCTAGCTGTGAGAAAGGGATCTTTCTAATCAATTGGGTCTTGCCTTCTGCTTACTATGTGAATTCTAATGACCAAGCTCTTTATTTTTTTAAAAAAAGTAAAATAAGAGAATTTAAATTAATTACTTGATTTTGTTGTAACACTTTAATAAGTTTAGTGAAAATATTCAGGCCGGGCGCGGTGGCTCACGCCTGTAATCCCAGCACTTGGGAGGCCGAGGCGGGCAGATCACGAGGTCAGGAGATCAAGACCATCCTGGCTAACACAGTGAAACCCCGCCTCTACTAAAAATACAAAAAATTAGCTGGGTGTGGTGGCGGGTGCCTGTAGTCCCAGCAACTCTGGAGGCTGAGGCAGGAGAATGGCGTGAACCCAGGAGGCGGAGCTTGCAGTGAGCCGAGATTGTGCCACTGCACTCCAGCCCGGGTGACAGAGCAAGACTCCGTCTCAAAAAAAAAAAAAAAAAAAAAAAAAAAAAAAAAAAAAAAGAAAATATTCAGCATAGTTTCTTTTTGGCAAATAAATAAATTTAAAAGGTCCCTTAATTTGATGGTTATGTGTTGACTGAAACAAGTGCAAAACAAGTCCATACAAATGATCCTATAAATAGAATTAAATATTTAAATTTGTTATTGAAAGCTGCCTTTCTTAACAAGGGAGCATGGTTTCTAATTTAGACTATAGATAATTTCCTCATTGTTTGTGCCGTATCCATCGTTGGTAGTCATTCTAAAAGACAAAAGAAAAGTACTAACGTCTAATTATTCTAAGGGGTGTGTAAAAATATGGGATCTGCCCAGAGAATGTTTAGAAATCATGAAATCATTGTTACCCTGCAGTCACACCCCTTAGTAATCCTTAAGTTTTTTTTTTTTTTTTTTTTGAGACAGAGTCTCACTGTGTCGCCCAGGCTGAAGTACAGTGGTGTGATCTTGGCTCACTGCAAGCTCCGCCTCCCAGGTTCATGCCACTCTCCTGCCTCAGCCTCCCAAATAGCTGGGACTACAGGTGCCCGCCACCACACCCGGTTAATTTTTTGTATTTTTAGTAGAGATGGGGTTTCACCATGTTAGCCAGGATGGTTTCAATCTCCTGACCTCGTGATCCTCCTGCCTCGGCCTCCCAAAGTGCTGGGATTACAGGCGTGAGCCACCGCGCCCGGCCAGTTCTTAAGTTGTAACAGATTACTTTTCATTCTGAATTTCATATTGAACATGATAATCTTAATTTTGGATACAGACTATTCCCATAGCATTTTAGATTTCGTAAGAAAGTATATGTAGGCTGTTTTATGTGAAAAGAAGAGAGATTATTTAGCTCCATGTCTTTGAGAAAATAGTTATGGATTACAATTTATGAGTATTTTATACATGTTCACATTCTTTTGTATCATGTTTCTTTATGTCTAGGACCTGATGTTTACTTGGCTTAAACTGAACCTAAAATTAGTAGTTAGTTAATAAACTCTCTTTAAGGATTACATTTTTTTTTTTTTTGTCCTAGATGGACTCAAAATAATACTAGAGTAATGCTTTACTTCTTATCTTGGGTGACTAGATGTCAAGATGTCATCCCAAATCAGGTCCATAATAAAATCTCCTTGGGACATGGTTCTGCTCACTCTTAGAGTAGGAAACAATAGACCAGAAGGATGGAGAAAGATGGCAGAAGAAGATGTGTAAAGGGATGGAAGGTATTTGTTAATTTTTTTCTATTGCTTTGGAGACTTACCATGGCATGCTAGAACAGTTTCCTAATCTGTTCGTCAAGACACTGGTGCTTTTATAGGGCCCCTTTAGTATTTCTCCACTGGATGAATGATTTGTAGCACTTATGAAGAAAGGACTGGAGGAATATTTTTTTAAGCGGCGGTTATACCAGTTATAATTGAGCATACTTCTATTTCATCAGCCGGTTATCATAGACTTTTTATTCAGTTCCCTAGTAGTTTAATGCCTTATGCCCCTGTTTGTTCTGAATTAATTTCATTTCTTAAATATGTGAAGATTAAGCTGATCTGCTTCAATGTGTATTTAGGGACACTGTGTTTCCCATTTATCACCTGCTGCTTCTCTTTAGCAGTAAAATTAAATTGACATTTGTTAAAAGATGTTTTGATCTATCTTTGGAAAGGGTAGTAAAGAATAATTAGTCACAGTAATTTTCCCCCCATTTTGTGTGCAAATTTAGGTTGCTTGGTGAAATATTCTAATTTTTTAATGGTGATAGAGAATTCTTGCTTTAGTTTTGTGGTTTAAACAGTTGAAAGTCCGATGAATCCTTGAAGCATTAGTAATTTAGCAGCCTTGTAAACTAGCCTCTTTTACTTGGGTAGCTCACAAGGCTGGCACCAGCATCAGTCCTACAAAGTGGTTTACTCTTTTTCCCTCGGCCCAGAGGCTGGCCCTAGTCCTATCAGTTGAAAGACTGTCTACAGCTATGCAGTGTGGGCAACTCACTTGAAATTGTTACTCAAAATATGAAGTCAGGACTTGAGGAAGTATGACTTTAGCCTTCCTGGGTGACAGGGTTAACATTTATATGCCTCAGCGGATAACAGTCAGCATACTTACCATGGAGGGAATCAAATGTGTGTGGGAAGCAGAATGCCTCAAAGAACTGCTGAGATTCAGGTGCTAAGGTGATAAAACACGTACATTTTATATTGAACATAGTTTGGTATTCTAGGTCAGGCACCCCATTCTCCAACTCCATGGTTCTAAGGCCCCACCAAGAATAAATTTTCTATAAGCAGGAAGCAAGAGATACAACTGTTATGGAACTTAGTAAGAATTTTTATTCTGTTCCACATGACTGTCACTTTGAGTTTCTTGAGGCCGTTATGATTAGATGGGTACTACCTTGCTGGAGGTTCTCATCTCTAGAGTAGGAACATCTTAGGTAGTATTCCACAGTATTATTTAATACCATATCAGGGAAGGGGAGGAAGAAATTCTGCTTTATTTGTTATTATGTTGATTCTTGTCCATGAGGCAGGTGCCTTTTGAAGACACATCTGGACTGATTTTAGACCCAGGGCTACTGCATTAAAGGCCCTTCCTGCCTGGGAGCACCTCCCCATTAGTTTCTCTGTGACTCTTGGTACTTGTGCAGTCCCTCTGGGAAGGATGGCTGAGCTCCCTTTCTGTGTCAGCTTCTGGGTTCATGTGGCAATCAAGTCAGGATGGCTTACTCCATACATCCTTGCCCACCCTTGGATGCATAGAGCTCTATTTCCTCCTCTGCCTCCCCCATTCAGTTGCGTCTTGGAGAGCACTCTACTTGTTGACTGTTTCTCAACCTCAGCCTCAACCTCTTGTACTATTAATTAGTCCTCATAAGGCATTCTTCAGCCTTACGTCTGCTGTCCACAGTATCTCCTTACCTCTGATACTTCCAGGGCCACCTTTCCAGTAACTCTACAGCCCTCTCTGCCAGAGATTGATCCCTTGCTTTCTTTTAGCTTGCTGGCCAGGTTTCTGTTGTCAAATTTAGGAATCCCTTTCTCAAGTTTCTTTCATAATATGAACTGTAAGATTTCAGAGCTTTCAAGTTTTCTTTTGCAGGGACTAATCTTTCAATTTACAACAGTCAGTAACCAGTTTGTTTGTGTCTTTGTTGTAGTGGCTCATTATGAGTTTTATGTAACATTCTTTAATAGTAGTATTTTACTGCCTTACTCAACAGAGAGACTTCCATTTTGACAAGGTGTTGAAAAGAGCTGAATCTTTAGCCTACAGTTTTACCCACGTGGTGGTTGGAAAAGTTTCGCATGGATTAGCTTCTTTATACATTCCAAACCTGTTTCTTCTCCACTACCCACCTACTTCATCACCAGGCATAGTAGGACACACAGTAAGCTCTCCAGCCTGTACTGTTGTGTCCTGATGCTGAGTTGGCACAGTGGGCAGTGGGAATATTCCAGAAAGCTATTCCTATACCAAGAGGGCCAGCACTACAGAAACCACATTAAATATGTCCCCAACTCAAATTTCCCCTTATCTAGACCCTCCAAGGTTCCAGGGCCACACCAAAGCCACCCTACATGAGGAAAAGTGTGAAGTTTGAATGGAAAGAAAGTGTTCTTAACAGATTGCAGTTAAAATATCTTTCTTTTGCACATTCTACAAAAATATATGACCATGTAATACATTGCTAGGGCCTCCAAATTCTACAGAAACATGTGACCATGTGAATATGTGCCTTGGGCCTCCCAAGGCCTTGGAAGGGGCCTGTGCAAGTGAGGAGCCCTGAAGCTTGTTCTGTTAGCCTTGTTGTAAATTACCTCCAATCAGTCTGTATCTTCCAGTAGAGAAATATCAGAACATCATAGCAAAGTATGGTTAGAAACAGTGCTTTTTAGAGTGTTTTATACATATAGTTGGCACTGGAGAATCATTGAGATGAATTAACTATCATTATTATTGATAATTATTAACTATTATTATTATTGGTAATTAATTCATTTCAATGATTCAATGCAGACACTTTCCATTTACTGGGCACTGTTAAGAGCACTTAACATATCATCTCACTTAAGTCTTAGGAAGTTCAATTATTATTATTATTATTATTATTATTTTGAGATGGAGTCTCGCTCTGTCACCCAGGCTGGAGTGCAGTGGCATGATCTTGGCTCACTGCAAGCTCCACCTCTCGGGTTCAAGCCATTTTCCTGCCTCAGCCTCCCCAGTAGCTGGGACTACAGGCGCCCGCCACCACACCCGGCTAATTTTTTTGTATTTTTAGTAGAGATGGGGTTTCACCGTGTTAGCCAGGATGGTCTCAATCTCCTGACCTTGTGATCCGCCTGTCTCAGCCTCCCAAAGTGCTGGGATTACAGGCTATTATTTTCTTTTTAAAATTATTTTTATTTTATTTCTAGCTGGGTGTAGTGGCTCACTCCTGTAATCCTAGCAATTTGGGAGGCTGAGGCAGGCAGACCACCTGAGGTCAGGAGTTTGAAACCAGCCTTGCCAACATGGCAAAACCCTCTCTTTACTAAAAATTCAAAAATTAGCTGGGTGTGTTGGCACATGCCTGTAATCCCAGCTACTCGGGAGGCTGAGGTGGGAGAATCGCTTGAACCCAGGCAGTGGAGGTTTCAGTGAGCTGAGATTGTGCACTCCAGCCTGGGTGACAGAGTGAGACTCCATCTCAAAATAATAATAATAATTTCTAAGTTTTTTTGTAGAGACAGGGTCTGGTTATGTTGTCTAGGCTGGTTTTGAGCTCCTGCCCTCAAGCAATCCTCCTGTCTCAGCCTCCCCAAATGCTGGGATTATAGGCATGAGCCTCTGTGCCTAATCTTACTTTCATTTTAAAGAGGAGAAATCTGAGGCACGGAGATTCTAAATAACCTGTCAATAAATAGTAGCACTGGGGTCAAAGCTCAGACTCCACGGTTCACTTCCTGACCGCCCCTGCACTGCCTCTCAAATCCTAATAGAGCTGCCGTGATCCCAATCCTCACAAGGCCAGAAAGTGACCTTTCCAGCATGCTTAGTAGGGATGTATTTTGTTTTCCCTACTTTAGGAGAGTTAAGAAGAGAAAGATTTGTAGAAGAGAAGCTAGAATGAAAGGAGCCATAAATAGGGTTCTGGAGAAAACACAAAAATTGAGACAGGTTAGGCAGTGAGAGGGCAGGTTATTGAATAGCTGCTTAATTGCACTGTGTTTTCCAGACTCTGGGAAATACTTTTCACATTTTTGATTTTTTAGTCCATATATGCTTTATGGATATATAGAGGTGATTTGGTAATGTTCCCCTGCCATCTGAAAAACTATGTTGAAACCGTTAGCACAAATGAAAATGGCGTCTTGGAAAAACAGCACATACATGGTTGCTTCAAGGATATCGCCCAATACCTTCATTTGCGGAGAAGGCATAATTAAGAGAAAATAGCTTAAATAATACAGGAAGAGTCTGATGAAACATAAGGAATGTTTTCTTAATAATCATGTTAGAACAGTGCTCCAAAAAGGGAAGCATAGGATTTCAGTCTTTAAAGGTAAATAAAATATAATTATAAAAACTTTCCATCTCAAGTAGGTTCAGAGTTGACTTCTAGCCATGATTTGAAATTCTTTCTCCCACTAAAGAGAGTATCAGCATATAAATTAACCTTACTGTGGTACCTTGTTGGATAAAATTCTTTATAATGCACCTCATTCACTACAGTCTTACTAGTTAGTAGTATCAGCTCTCACCCGTGCTGATGGGCAGGAATTACTTTTAAGTGTCTTATGCAATTAACAGCCATTAACCGGCACACCTGTCTTAAAAGCACTGCCTATGGTTCTGAGGGTCCTAATACCATTGCAGTGCTGTCACCGCAGTGACTGGAGCACCAGGGAAACTATTGGCATTGGCATGGAATGGCCCTATTTGTCCCATTTCTTCAACCAAAGTGTCTTCACTAAAGTCTTTAGCCAGACTTCCTTCTTTGACCACCAATTTTATCTTAATTCTGTGGGTATCATATGAACAGTCCTGGTTTTATCTTATAGAAAGGAAGGTATCAGAGGGAGGTTGGGGTAGATGTCTCCCCATCTAATGCTAACATTAATCATTTATCCCTGGGACTTTGCAAAAAATGATGTTAGGTTGAGACAAAGTGGTACTTTTTCTTGTAATTGCTTTAGGGAATCATAGGGAGGAAGGTACAGGGGCTTGTGTGAAGCCATCATCAAGTTGCTTTATAATAAAAGCCAGAAGACATGTAAACACCAATATAGTTAACACAGAGTTTAATAAAGAATGAGTTTAAATTCTAATTTTGATATGAATAATTAAATATTTCCTAAAGCGAAATTTGGTAACATAAGGTTGTTTGTAGGTAAGGCAAAAGGAGTTCTAAAAATATGTTTAACCAGTCAGTTGCATTTATCAATCACAGTTGCAAACATAATTCATATTTTAAAATATATGTATATAATGAATTACATATATTATCTATTTAATTCAGAGTAGGTTCCAAATTTTCTCAATTATTTATTACCTATGTCTTTCTTCAAATAATGCCAGCAATTATGGGTCCTTGATAATAATGAAATATTCTACAGTTGAAGCAAGAAGGTACTCTGAAAGCTTACATCTCTATAAATTAATGCTTCAAATAATTTAATACTTCAAAATGCTTTGAAAAACTCCATGAACGTATTTGATAAAATAGTATAAGACAATCATAATGAAGCAGTTTAAAATGATGTGCTGGCCAGGTGTGGTGGCTCACGCCTATAATCCCAGCACTTTGAGAGGCTGTGGCAGGTGGATGGCTTGAGCCCAGGTGTTGAAGACCAGTCTGGGCAACATGGCAAAACCCTGTCTCTACAAAAAAATCAGGAAATTTAGCTCGGTTTGGTGGCACATGCCTATAGTTCAGAGGCTGAGGTGGAAACATCACCTGAACCTGGGAGGTCAAGACTGCGTCGTGCCAGGAAAAAAATAATAATTTTTTTTTTTTTTTGAGACAGTCTCGCTCTGTCACCTAGGCTGGAGTGCAGTGGCATGATCTCGGCTCACTGCAACCTCCACCTCCGGGGTTCAAATGATTCTTGTGCCTCAGCCTCCCGAGTAGGTGGGACTACAGGCATTTCTCTGCAGAGGACTACCGTACCCCTAGTCCTCTGAGTGCCTTGATTGCTTTAGGCACTCAACAAATAGTGGAGACAGAAATACTATGCATTAGTGGTCCCCAACCTTTTTGGCACCAGAGACTGGTTTCATGGAAGACAGTTTTTCTGTGGACCAGAAAAGGGGGGGATAGTTTAGGGATGATTCAAGCTCATTACATTTATTGTGCACTTTATTTCTATTATTATTACATTGTAATATATGGTGAAATAATTTTACAACTCATAATGTAGAATCAGTGGGAGCCCTGAGCTTGTTTTCCTGCAACTAGATAGTCACACCTGGGGGTGATGGGAGATAGTGACAGATCATCAGGCATTAGATTCTCATAAGGAGTAGCAACCTGGATCCCTCTTAGGTGCAGTTCACAATAGAGTTTGTGCTCTTGTGAGAATGGGGATGGGGAGTGGCTGTAAATACAGATGAAGCTTTGCTCACTCTCCCCTGCCTTGCCACTTACCTCCTGCTGTGTGGCCTGGTTCCTAACCCCTAGGGGTTGGGAACCCATGCTGTACATCATGGTGGGCAAACAACCACTTGAGGGCCAAATATGGCTCATTGCCAACTTTTATAAATAAAGTTTTATTAGAACACAGCTACACCCATTTATTTACTTATTGACTGATTGCCTTTGCACTATAGCAGCTAGTTGAGTAGTTACAACAGAGACTGTGTGACCCACAAAGTTAAAGTAATTACTATTTAACTATTTACTGAAAGTTTGCCCATCTCAGCTCTACGTTTGTAACTGCAGGCTCTCACAATTCCACGTCTTGTAATTTGGAAGTCACAGAATAAATCAAGTAATATGCTTTGAGGAATTAACTTACTACTCTTCATTAATGCATGTGCTTGACTATTGTAAGGTTACATATGATTATTAAAATTATAGGAGTTAAACATATGTTTCAAGGATAGAATACACAATTACTCCTTTTTGTAATTTGTAAAACAATGTTTGGCTAAATCTTACATTACTAGTTCTTTTTTCTACCTAATAAGGTTGTTTCATTGAAATGGAACAAAAGCATGGTAATTACCAAGCTTATCTCTCTCTCTCTCTTAGCTTATCCTATTTTAATGTAGTTTGCCTTAATCTTGTGAAAACTTTCTAATTATAGTATGAATTTGCATTCTTAAAATATGTGTTCTAAATCAGGTTAACTCATAAAGTATTATTTTAAGTTGATATTCATTAAGTGTATATATACACATATACATGAGAAACTGATTAGAATAGCTATAAAACAGATGTAAATTCAACATTTTCATTCATTCATTCCTGATAAAACTTTGATTGAACTTTTTACAGGGAATTGTGGATGTCCTAAGGATTGAGTCACAGACACCCTTCCTCACCCAAGAAAGAGCATAAGAAGTAAAGCAGAAAGCATATTTCATGAAATAAGCTGTAAGAAGAGAAGGCCTCTGAGATAATATAGAGAATTAGGTTGTCAAATCAGGAACTGGGTACCAGTGGCTCACACCTGTAATCACAGCACTTGTGATTAGAGGAGGCTGAGGTGGGAGGATCTGAAGCCAGGAGTCCAGACCAGCCTGGGCAACATAGTGAGACCCCATCTCTACAAAAAATAAAAATTAGCTGGGTGTGGTGGTACATGCCAGTAGTCCCAGCTGCTCAGGAGGCTGAGGCGGGAGCATCTCTTGAGCCCAGGGGTTGAGGCTGCAGTGAGTCATGATCATGCCATTGCATTCCAACTTGGGCAACAGAGTGAGACCCTGTCTCAAAAATAAGAGAAAAAAAAGTGTCAAATCACATTCACAAGAATCAGCCCTTAGCTTACATCAAGGTTTACTAATAATGTTCAGGAATACGAGTAGTCCTCAGGTACAGGATAGCCATCCATCCCTACTCTCCAGGTCCTCTCTAGCTGCACTAGGATGCTGTGGGCCCAGATTTAAGGTACAAGGGCTTAGAAGCAATGCCTGTGGTATGTTAGGAAGCTGTTTCCATTAGGAATCATTTTCGCTTTGTACTCCAGTGGTTGCATAACTTATGTGACATATTTTCCAAGGGGCTATACTCCCTATATTGAAAGATTCCAAATTTGTTAACCAGAAGTAATCCTAGACAGATTAGATACGTCCTGCTAAAATCCATCGATAGGGACTTTCTTACTAATAAACACCATTGGATTGTTTGTCAAGAGATCTGACACTAGTATGTTTACAAGGAGAATTGACCAGGTTAACTACCTCCTTTCTTTATTTACTAGGAGTGTTTCCATAGACCCCTCCCCACCCTCCGCTCCCTGCTCTTAAGGAGAAATGAACTGTAGGTTTGCTGCTAACCATTTTTTCCCAATCTCTCCCTCCAGCCTGAGCAGAGACAAGACAATAATAATATAGCCAGGTCAGTTAGCATGTGTGCTGAGTTTTCTTCTGTTCTCTTTTGTTAAAGTTTGAGATTTGTGGATGTGCTTACATTTTGAGTATGATTCTTGTCTCTTCAGAATAGGAAAGGAAGTGTCCAAATGAGCCTTTCTGATGCTCAAACCCTCATGATGTCATTGTTTTCTAAATATTCTTGTTGCCACTCTGTGGAATGTAGTTTAAATATCTTATCCCACCATCTCAAGGCAATGCACAGGCTGCTCCCAACTTACCTTTCCAACTTTCTTGGCTTCCATTTTCTTGAAGAATCCTCTTTGCCAACTATATATTGCTGCCTCTACCTCAAGTGTGCCTTCCTTATTTCTTTGACTTTTCCTAAGTTCCTTCTTCCAGGAATGCACTCTCTCTCACTCTCCTCCCTGTTCTCTCAATTCGAGATTAAATCTCACCTGTTCTGAAAAACTGTCTCAATTTGCAGCAGACTCTTTTTGGAATTAGTAGTTACTGTCTGTGTCTGTCACCTGGAACTTGCCTTTCTTCTTAATTAGATCATGAGCTCCTTCAGGGTGGGCACTATCTTAGGTGCTTAGGTGCAGTACTGAGAAGATTAATCTTTATCTACTAGGAGCTTGAGCTATGTGTTGTTAAAATACTTGAATACTGCTACTACTAACTAATAATAGTGATGAGAATGGAAATTTTGCTTTGTGGAAAAGCGTTAAACAGTTATCAAGGGCACACATAAATTTACCTATTGAAACACGAGGAAGGGCCAGGTGCGGTAGCTCACGCCAGTAATCCCAGCACTTTGGGAGGCTGAGGTGGGTGGCTTACTTGAGCTCCGGTGTTCCAAACTAGCCTGGGCAACATGGTGGAAACCCGTCTCTACCAAAAATACACAAATTAGCTGGGTGTGGTGGTGTGCGCCTGTGGTCCCAGCTGCTTGGGGGGCTGAGGCAGGAGTATCGCTTGAAAACCCAGGAGGCAGAAGCTGCAGTCAGCCGAGATTGCGAGATTGCACCACTGCACTCCAGCCTGGGCAACAGAGCAAGACTTCATCTAAAAAAAAAGGAAGTATATTTGGAAAAGTAATCATCAAACATGTAAGTGTCTTTTATGTACTTGCCACTGTGCCAGAGATCCAGAGATGAATCAGGTGTGGCCCTTGTCCTTAAGAGCACAGTCTCATGGCAAGACACATACATTTTTTCTTTGCGTTTTTAAAGTGTTTTGCTTTGAACATGGATTACTTTTGTTATCAGAAAAGGAGCATGTTCTTTTCGTTGAAAGATAAAAGTGTACTGGGGTTAAGATATAAGTCAGATTTAGGAATGAGACTGCTATCAAAAGGAATACCGTGATATTGACAACAAGTAGTGGGATTGAGTGAAATAAGCCAGCCTCAAAAAGACAAATACTGTATGATTCCGTGTATATGAAGTACTGAAGAAGTCAAATTGATAGAAGCAGTAGAATGGTGGTTGCTAGGGGTTGGGGAGATGGGGAAATGAGTTGTTTAATGAGTGTAGTTTCAGCTTTGCAAGGTGAAAAAGTCCTGGAGATTGGTTGCAGGACAATATGCATATACTTAATGCTACTGAACTGTTTCCACTTAAAAATGTTTAAGATGGCACATTTTATGTGATGTGTATTTTTACCACAATTAAGATTGTAGGACAAATCTGCATTGCATGGTTGACTCTAGCACCCTGTTGCATATAGAAGAAGAAATCTCATTAATCCAGGGTTAGGGTTTTGCTGGGCCAGTGTAGAATAAGGTAACAAGGGGTACTATTGAGGGTAGGTTCACGTGAGTAGTTAGTTCTGATGGAGGAGATGGATAGGGAAGGAATAAGAGGTTAGGAAGAGGTCTTAAAGAGTAGGCATACTGGGAAAATGCCAAAGACATAGGAGATTGTAATCAGACTAGGAAACAGAGGCTTGTGTGTATTCTGTGGAAGTGATACTTATCTACATTCATTATGAATGGAAATCTGTTGGATGGGAAGCTTCTTAATGGTTGGTTCAAATTTTTTTGTACTTCGTGTTAATTTAGGGAATGAGGCCAAATACCTGGAATGTGCTCAGTGAAATTATCAGTTAAATAATGTGTGTGTATTGTCACATATCTGGAAGTAGCATCCCCTACAGAAAATGCCTTTGGCTTGCTCTTCTTTTCCCTCTGTGCTCTTATTCTAAGCCACACATTTCTGAGGTGTTTGCTGAGTAGTGGACAGAATTCATATGGTTCATTCCCATACCCTTCTTGTTGTCTAAGGGGGATTGATATTCCACTGAGATTTGGGGATAAAATTATAGATATTGACTTCACCCTTGTAGATTCTGATTTCATTGCTTTTGGGTAGAACCTGGGCATTTCTACTTTTAATAAGCCCTTCAGATGATTCTGATATACACCAAAGTTGCATGACTGCTGTTTGAGAGATACCAATTTGTCTTTCTAAAGTTAGAATTGCCTTGCTAGATTTCCCTTTGCTGTATAACATCACTGTTATCTAATGTTTTTAGACGTTATTGAAATTTGGAGTATTGAAAAATAAATTCTGGGATTTATTTTTCTTCTGCTAAGAATATTTATGTTAGCAAGATATTAGTATGGATTTTTTTCTTAAAAACACAAAAGCACCTGTAATCTCAGCAATTTGGGAGGCCGAGGTGGGTGGATCACGAGGTCAGGCATTTGAGACCAGCCTGGCCAACAGAGTGAAACCCTGTGTCTACTAAAAATACAAAAAATTAGCCGGGCGTGATGGGCAGGTGCCTGTAATCCCAGCTACTCGGGAGGCTGAGGCAGGAGAATTGCTTGAACCTGGGAGGCGGAGGTTGCAGTGAGCTGAGATCACACCACTGCACTCCAGCCTGGGGGACAGTGTGAGACTCCATTTCAAAAAAAAAAAAAACAGAAAAGCAGAGGCATGGGCTATTTCATGTGTTTGATGACCAGATGGCAGTAGCATTAACCTCTCCTTAAAAAGGTAGATTAATTTCCTTCACATTGAGGAAATTCTGTTTAGTCAATTAAGACAACATCATTTAGAAGAAAAAGTTTAATTACAAAAAGGATGCTGTAGGCTGGGTGTGGTGGCTCTTGCCTATAATCCCAGCACTTCGGGAGGCTGAGGCGGGCAGATCACCTGAAGTCAGAAGTTCAAGACCGGCCTGGCCAACATGGAGAAACCCCCATCTCTGCTAAAAATACAAAAAATTAGCCAGGCTTGGTGGTGTGCGCAGGAGGCTGAGGCAGGAGAATCGCTTGAACCCGGGAGGCAGAGACTGCATGCAGTGAGCTGAGATCACGCCACTGCACTTCAATCTGGGTGACAGAGCAAGACTGTCTCACAAAAAAAAAAAAAAAAAAAAAAAAAAGCTGTAATTTAAGACTGGGAAGACACAACATCATCACATTTTATGAAATGCTTTTCTTTGACAAATTATAGCGATGTTCAACTAAATAAGCAAGATTTAGAAAACTATGGCTAGGTTCCTATTATTAGTTTGATTTTAAAAGTACATAGTAGGAGCTAAATGAGCTTAAAATTTATGGTTATTTAAAAGAAGCTTCAAGCAGTTTTAAAATGTTGATTAATTTTTTCCAGTCCTGCCAATAGCACTTGCTTTGCTTTGCTTAGATACGTATGAGAATCTGCTTTTATATCAGAAAGCTTAGAATGAAACAACTTATTTTTGTCTTTGTTGCATATTTCATTATGAAACAAAATAAAAAGTAGAAAAAAGTGAAATTAATGGTGCTAATGTATTTTATTGAACTGGATATATCCAAAATATTATTTCAACCTGTAATTAATAGAAAAATTACTTTTATTTTGTACTAAATCTTTGAAGAATCATATATTTTTCTTTTCTATTTCAATAAATTTTTAGGGAACAGGTGGTGTTTGCTTACATGAATAAGTTCTTCAGTGGTGATTTCTGAGTTTTTGGTGCACGCATCACCTGAGTAGTGTACACTGTACCCAGTGTGTAGTCTTATCCCTTACCCCCCTCCCACACTTACCCCTGAGTCTGCCTTTGCATCCTCATAACTTAGCTCCCACTTATGAGTGAGAACATATGACGTTTAGTTTTCCATTCCTGAGTTACTTCACTTAGAATAGTAATCTCCAATTCCATCCAGGTTGCTGTGAATGCCATTATTTCATTCCTTTTTATGGCTGAGTAGTATTCCATGGTGTGTGTGTATATATATGTATATTCCATGTGTGTATATATATGTAGTATTCCATTGTGTGTGTGTGTGTGTATACATACACATGTGTGATTGATATATATATATATATACACGTATGTGTGTGAATTATTCCGTGTGTATATATATGTAGTATCCCATGATGTATGTGTATATATATGTGTGTGTGTATATATGTGTGTATATATATAGTGTGTGTATATATATAGTAGTATTCCATGTGTGTGTGTGTGTGTGTGTATACACACACACACACACACACACACCACATTTTCTTTATCCATTCATTAATTGATGGGCATTTAGGCTGGTTCCATATTTTTGTATTGCAAATTGTGCTGCTACAAACGTATGTGCAAGTATCTTTTTTGTATGATTACTTTTCCTCTGGGTAGATACCCAGGAGTGGGATTGCTAGATCAAATGGTAGTTCTGCTTTGAGTTCTTTAAGGAATCTCCACACTGTTTTCCATAGTGGTTGATATGGTTTGACTGTGTCCCCACCCAAATCTCATCTTGAATTGTAGTTCCCATAAGCCCCATGTGTTGTGGGTTGTGGGAGAGACCCAGTGGGAGCTAATCTAATCATGGGGGCAGTTACCCACATGCTGTTCTCATGACAGTGAGTTCTCATGAGATCTGATGGTTTTATAAGGGGCTTTTCCCCTTTGTGTTGGGCACTGCTTGCTGCTGCGATGTGAAGAAGGGTGTGTTTGCTTCCCCTTCCACCATGTTTGTAAGTTTCCTGAGGCCTCCCCAACCCTATGGAACTGTGAGTCAATTAAACCTCTTTTTTTTTTTCTAAATTACCCAGTCTCACCAGTTTTTTATAGCAGCATGAGAACAGACTAATAACGATGGTTGTACTAGTTTACATTCACACCAGCAGTGTAAAAGTGTTCCCTTTTCACCACATCCATGCCAACATTTATTATTATTATTTTTTTATTATGGCCGTTCTTGCAGGAGTAATGTAGTATTGCATTGTGGTTTTGATTTGCATTTCCCTGATCATTAGTGATGTTGAGCATTTTTTCATATGTGTTTTGGCCATTTGTATATCTTCTTTTGAAAATTGTCTATTCATGTCCTTAGCCCACTTTTTGATGGGATTCTTTGTTTTTTTTCCTGCTGATTTAAGTTTCTTGTAAATTCCGGTTATTAGTCCTTTTGTCAGATGCATAGATTGCGAAGATTTTCCCCACTCTAGCCACCCAGCGGAGTTTCTGGGCTCTGGGCTGGTACTGGGGGGTGTCTGCACAGAGTCCTGTTATGTGATCTGTCTTCAGGTCACTTAGCTGTAGATACCAGCACTTGCTCCAGTAGAGGTGGCAGAGGAGTGAAATGGACTCTGTGAGGGTCCTTAGTTGTAGTTTTGTTTATTGCACAAGTTTTGTGTTGGTTGGCCTCTTGCCAGGAGGTGGTGCTTTCAAGAGGGCATCAGCTGTGGTAGTATAGGGAGGATCAGGTGGTGGGTGGGACCCTGGAGCTCCCAGGAGATTATGTCCTTTGTCTTGGGCTACGAGGGCAGGTAGAGAAAAACCATCAGATGGGAGCAGGGTTGGGCGTGTCTGAGCTCAGACTCTCCGTGGGTGGGGCTTGCTGCGGCTGCTGTGGGGGTGGAGGTGTGGCTCTCAGGCCAGTGGAGTTATGTTCCCAGGAGAATTATGGCTGCTTCAGCTGTGTCATGCAGGTCACCAGGAAGGTGGGGTAAAGCAAGCCCTTACCCAGCTCCCACGCTGCCCAAAAGGCCAGTCTCATTCCCACCATGCTTCTCCAACAGCACGGAGTTTATTTCCAGGCCGCGGGTGAGCAGGGCTGAGAACCTACCCCAGGCTACCAGCCTCTTGGCTGAGAAACCAAACAGGGCTTTCAGGTTTCAGGCCTCCCCACCTGCTGTGGCTTCTGTGCTGTGTCTGCACTCCTGATTCATCCCCTCTCCCGAGTTCTGTCCAGGAAAACTTTGAGTTCTATCGAAATTGTTACAAAGCTCAGCTGGAAGTTCCCTTCTCCTTGTGGTCTTTTCCCAGTTCCTCTGGTAGCCCTCCCCAAGGACCTCTGTGAGACAGTCAGAAATGGCTTTCCTGGGGACCAAGAGCCCACAGGGCTCTTCCCGCTGCTTCTTCTACTCCTGTATTTCACTTGACTCTCTAAATTTGTCTCAGCTCCAGGTAAGTCATATTCTTCTCTTGTGATCTGGACCTTCATGTTCCCCAGTGAGGGTGTGTGCTTGGGGGTGGATGATCCCCCTTTCACACTTTCACACTCTGGGCACGCAACAGTTTTTTGGTTGTCTCCTGTGGCCTACAGGAGCAATGCGCTTGCTTCCTTCAAAGAGTCTGTGGATTATCTTGGTTTTCCTTATATGTTCCTGCAGTAGTTCTTGGAGCAAAAGTTCACGATGTGAGTCTCCACATGCTGCTCTGAGTGGGAGCTGCAAGTTAGTCCTGCCTCCTATCTACCATTTTCCCCCATCTCCCCTCTTAAGTATTTTATACTTAAAACACATATCAAATTGCCCCAGACTTGGCCAGTTGGAAGCCCTTTTTAACTACTGCTGTATATTTGTGACATGTTCCCCATCATTTTTTGAGGGTACTTTCTTTCTGGTATGCATCTTGTCCCTGCTGTTTCCCAACCCTGAAATCAGTCATTTCTCTCAGGAATCCTGGTTCCTTTTAGTGCAAATGGTTTTAAAGACCAAGATACAGGTTCTAGGTGTGAGCATTGCACATGAGGTGCCTTTGCTAGATGGTGAGAGCTAAGGAATACATTTATGTGTACATATATGTACATATACTGATATGAACTACATGCATGCATACATGTATCTCTACCTACACTTTTAAAAAAAAATCATGAGTTCATACCAGTATTTCTAGTTCTCGTCCATCCCCACAGGGATCTTTCTTGCCTTCTCCTGCTCCATGTTTGTATATCCCTTTCATGATGAGAACCTTGTCACTCAGCAGTATCAATGCATTCAAGTGTGTGTTCAATCCTATAACTCATCTAGTATGGTTTCCCTATATGCCTGTTAAAAAGGAATTTATATTTTCTTCTAGTACTTGAGCTTCATATTTTATATTTAGATCCTGGAGGCATTTGGAGTTTATTCCTCTGTATTGTGTGAGGAATGGGTCCAATTTTATCTTTCTCCAAATTGCTATACGGTTGTACCAGTCCTATGTATTAAAAAGGTCATCTTTGTGATTTGAGATGTACTTTTATCATAGGTTAGGTACAGGTCTATTTCTGGACTTACTTCTTTGGCATCTGTGCGCATACGTGCTACACACTGTTTTAATCACAGGCTTTTAATGTGTTTTAGTATTTCTCATGGCTCTTCCTTTTCAGTGTGTTCCTAGCTGCTACTGTATGTTTATTTTTACATTCAAACTTTATAAAGAAAAACTATAAAACCACTGTAAAAGAGCTCATAGCTATTGGGGGGGGGTTATATTAAATTTATACATTAACTTAGAACTGACATTCCACTCCTCCCATTCCTCAAATGTAAGCACCTTCTATGGGTATAATTCTATTCATCTGCTCCTCCCTGCTCTTTGTGCTATTGTTAACTTCTACGTATGCTGTGAACCTGACTTTACAATGTTGTTATTTTTGCTTACATGATCAGTTGTCTTTTAAAGAAATTATGGAAGAACAATGATATTTTATATCCACATATTTCCCATTTTCAGCCCTTTTCATGGATTTCTGTAGATCTGAGTTTCCGCCTGGTTATATCCATTGATATTGTTGAGATATCCTTAACCAAGAATAAGGAATGGTCTTTTCATTGGTTCAAGGCTACTTTTGTATTCTTGTATAATGAGAAGTGGTGGGAGAGGACATTCTTACCTTGCTCTTGACTTTATGGGAAAAATATTAAATATCCTAAGACTAGTTATATTCTTTATCATTTGATTATGACTCAGAGGGCTGGTTTTCAGTTTTACAGGAAATGTACAAACTTCAATGACTTAAGGTAATTTGTATGAGTTACTGGCATTAGATCTCATCCTAGGCTCACTGTACTTGCTACACTCAGCCCGGATGCTAGTCACCCTCACCATGGGTCTTAGGAAATACTGCAAGGTAATTTTAATATTAGATGAAGCAAAACATAATTAGGAATGTAAATCTGCTCAAAGCCCCTTATGTTCTGTAATGAGCTCCCCAGTCCCAAATTAATGATGTTTTGGTTGTCTCTATTATCCTCCTCATTAATAGAGGAATTTTAATGTTGAGAATTTGTATTATTTGGACCTGTATGTATATATCTACTCCTTTTAATACCAATTAGTTTAAAAGTTTAACATTTGGTTTCAGCCCTTGTTTGAACGTAGGCATGGTCACGGGGTTTGAGTTAAAGCCTCTTAATTGAATACAATTCCTCTGCATTCTTTTTTTAAAAAATTATGCCAGCTGGGCACAGTGGCACATGCCTGTAATCCCTACACTTTGGGAGGCCGAGGCGGGTGAATCACCTGAGGTTGGGAGTTCGAGACCAGCCTGACCAACATGGAGAAACCCCATCTCTACGAAAAATACAAAATTAGCTGGGTGTGGTGGTGCATGCCTGTAATCCCAGCTACTTGGGAGGCTGAGGCAGGAGAATCACTCGAACCCAGGAGGCGGAGGTTGTGGTGAGCCGAGATCGCGCCATTGCACTCCAGCCTAGGCAACAAGAGCGAAACTCTGTCTCAAAAAAAAAAAAAAAAAATTATGCCTTTTACATGATAATCTTTAAACAACATAGCCAGTTTATAAGTGTTGGATTAGATTTACTAATGAAAATTCTAGCCAAATGTGGATTTTAGTTACTGGCTTATAGGGACTCAGTTTTTTCCTTTTGCCACCAATGGGAGTGTAATGGGCATGAGTGTCATATGTCACCAGTCTTGTGACAATTGATTTGTTCAATTAGCAGTGAAAGACAAGCTCATCCCTAAAAAGAGAACATACAGAGCTAAGATTAGAACAGCTCAGCATTTCAGTTGGGCAGAACCTCAACTGAAGTATCCTCTTTGAGAGGGATTAAGTTACACATTGATGGAAATCCATGCTTGGTGATGTTTTGTATTGTACTTTGCCCTTTGACCAAGAATTGTCCTTAACATTATAGGTAGTAACTTTATGAGGAACCTCATTTAGATAATTAATTAGATTTTCTATAAATATTTTACATAGTTGAGGTTATTTCATACTCTTTCCTCTTAGAACTTGTCTCCATGTTTAAATGTTCCATAACTGATAATTTTTTAATATTAAGCAGACACTCCATATTGCATAGGATGCCTTCCAACTGTGGTCTGTCATCATTGCAAATAGTCAGTAGGCAGCCAACGTGTAGGGAGCACTAATATTTATGCCTCTTCTAAAGAACATACGTTTGTTCTTTCCCTTAAACTTAACAGTTCTATGAAGTAGATAGTGTTACATCTTATTTTACAGATGAGAAAGTTGAGATTAATTGACTTTACTAAGGTCACAGAGTTAATAAGTTGTGAAGCTGAGTTAAACATATCTCTTTGATTTCTATTACCTCATGCTGTTTCCAAAGATCCATAGATAATTTACATCATGCAGGGAATATATAGATGACACAAATCTTCCTTGAAGCCTGGGGTTCCCTCTCTCCTTGCTTATTCAAATACTGTTATTGGGAGATCCAACATAAAAATAGTGAACTGACTTGCAGTTCATACCTTCTTCTTTCTCTCTCTGGAAGTTCTTCTGTATGCTAACACCTCTCTATCAGAAGCAAAGGAACGGTATAAGTCATTAGCTAGTTGCTAGCCTGTAATTGCTACTTCAATTTTCTGTGTAGTTTATAACAAATCAGATTTTTATGTTTTTTTATATTGCCAGTTAGACAAATATACACAATGACTTTTTAATGCTTAAATAATATATGCTTTTATGTTTAGAGCTCTGTATTATTAACCATTGTATTTTGCTTTTTAACAGTCTCAGTTCGTGGCTCAGAAATTCTTATTTAAATATCATGACCCTGGGAGAGCCCAGCATATCAAATGTAATTTGTGCTTTTAACGAAGAGTTATTTCCCAATTTGCTGTATTAAATAAGATGTATACCTCTTTTTCCGGGCATTGCATTATTTCTAAGTTACTGTGAAAGAAAAGTATATAATGCCATGTGAACAGGGTATGTAAAGTATTTTATCCTTCAAAGGTATGTTAGCAAAAAAGGAGGGGGGCAGGGAACAAAGCTAAACACAGATGAGAATAGCTAGTGATGCCCTTGATTTTGTTGTGCGTGCTCTGGATATCTTTCTCCTTTGTTCCTCAAGGGGTGTCTGGCACCAGCTTTGATCTGCTGCCTTCACAGTGGTATCTGGTCAGTAGAACAAGTTTCAACCATGTGTTTTGCTTGACTCCTACTTAATATGGTATTGGCAGCGGTGGTTTTGATACTGTGAGTGATGAGAAGAGGTGGTGGTGCTGGAGTTGGTCTTGAGAGGAATAAGGAACATTTATTCTGCTTTGATGAACATTTTTGAGAGGGTATTTTAATGGGTTGGCTTCTATGCAGTTTAGTTTTTTAGAACTGTCCTCACTGTTTTAGCTTCTCTCCCAACCCAATGTTGAGTCACAATGATTCATCGGTTTAAAACTGTTTTTCTTCCAAAGCAGTTGAATAGAGAATATTTATGATCTTGACGTCTCCTAAGATATTATTTGTCCATTTTGTATATGGGAAAATGGATGAATGGAGAGTTGAGTGATAACTAGTCAGCAGTGGCAGTAGAACTGGGATGCCCCTTAACTCTCCGTTGGGAGCTGCCATGATCACTGTTGGCTAGACTCAGGAAACTCCCATTTCTTTTCAGGTCAGTCCCTACCAGAGTGTCCGTTGGCCCATCTGCAGAATGTTCCTGTTATTCCAGCCTCACCAATGTGTCCCATTAGACAGATCTCCTTCTAGCATCATGAGTAATGCCCATTGGGTGAGTTGGGCATTTTATGAGGTGCATTCTCTCTCCCTGTCACTTTTTAAGATCCTAGAGCACAAATTCCCACTAGTACTTTGTGAGAGAGGAAGACCTTGTATAGCATCACTTTGGCTATAGGATAATTACATGACAGATACTGGCGCAGCTATCTTCACGTCCCAATTTCTTCCACACACTTTTGCCTTTGTGGCCTGAGTTCTTAACAGCACCAGGCACAATGCTGTGCAGGTATTGAGTATGTGGTAAATGTGTTTGCTTTGTATTATTTTTGTTTCCCTTTTTTCTTTCCTGTTAGTGATTTCTGAACAGACATCTTACTAGTTGTCCAGCAAAATTCACAGCCACCTCACACCTTCCCCTCTTGTTTTTTCACACTTCTTTTAGCTCCCCATTGAAAGATCTCAGAGAAATGAAAGGAATATATGTCTTACAGGGAAGCCAAGGAGACTCATTTTTAACAAGTACTACCTTGCTTACTAAGCAATTTTTTTTTTTTTTTTTTGAGATGGAGTCTCGCTCTGTCACCCAGGCTGGGGCTGGAGTGCAGCGGTGCGATCTCAGCTCACTGCAACCTCCACCTCCCGGGTTCAAGTGATTCTTCTGCCTCAGCCTCCCGAGTAGCTAAGATTACAGGTGTCCACCACCAAGCCCAGCTAATTTTTTGTATTTGTATTTTGTGTAATTTTTTGTATTTGGCCAGGCTGGTCTCAAACTCCTGACCTCAGGTGATCCACCCGCCTCGGCCTCCCAAAGTGTTGGGATTACAGACATGAGCCACCGTGCCCGGCCAGCAAATGTTTTTAATGCTTAAAAAAGGTGCTACATAAATGCAAAGTTGTGGCAGTTATAATTTTATATACCTGATAAAATTTATACCTTGTAAAATTACAATAATTGTAGCCATTCCAAAATTGTTTTGATTTTAAACATTTGAAAAGTGAAATACTTAGGTGGTTTTTTAACTGGTAGCTTGGTGTAGGGGTAGGAATGGAGCTGACACCTTTAGCATCTAACCAGGATTCTTTTACTTCGAAAGCTGAATTGCTAATTCCAAAGAACATTGTGTTGACAGTGCCTGCAATTAAGAAGCCATCACCTTTGTGTTATGACAGTTTTCTTCCTTACTACAAGCATTATTGTTACCTGGAATAAAAGATTCCTGCTTTTTTGTTCACATCTTGAGCTGGTTATGAGTATTAACCCATGTCACTGTTGGTACATTTATAGAGTATAAAATCACTCTATAATTGCAAATGGGCAAATAGGTTATTCCCATGAGAACTCTTAGGTTTTTTTGTTTGTTTGTTTTTTCTCCCTGCACATTTTACTTTTGTCTCTTTCTCTGAATTGCCAGCCTGTGCCACACTTGGGTGTTGGAAGTAAAGGTGCTTTTGCTTTCCTGAGAAACCTGGGTTCTACAAAATCACATGTTAAAATAACAGGGCTTAAGGGAAAAATAAGGGTAGAAGCTGGCTATTGAGAGTTTATTCCTCTTTGTAACCAGAACACTAAGAAACTCAAGCACCAAAACAAAACAAAAACCAACTTGTACTTGGGGAGATGTTTGAGGGACAGCCCAGGCAGGCAGCTCAGAGTGGTAGAAAACCACTACAGGGGGTATTAAAAATGTACAGAAACACTTCAGTGCATCTCTGAAGCAGCTTCAGAATTCAGCAAAAATCATGTGAAGGAAACTGCCCAGATCTCAGGTCTCCAGCTTTGTCGCTCTAGACCACCCCAGGTGACTGCTCCTGTCTTTGCTGGTTTGTCTTTTCTCCTGCAGACTTCTGTATGAATCAAGCCCCAGCCCTCTTGTAGTTTCTCCATTAACTGAATTATTTGTCTTTTTAAAATATTGATTTATACACAATAGCAAAGAAGTAAAAACAACCTAAGTGTTTATTCATGGATAAATGAATAAATGTGATACAGTGGATTATTACTCAGACTTCAGAAAGGAAATTCGGAAACATGCGACAACAAGGATGAACCTTGCTGAGACAAATAAGCCAGTCAGAAAAAAAAGAAAAATACTGTATGATTCTACTTATATGAGTCACCCAGAATGGTCAGATTCACAGAGACAGAAAATAGAATGGTAGTTGCCAGGGTTCGGGGTGAGTTCTCATGGGAATAACCTATTTGCCCATTTGCAATTATAGAGTGATTTTATACTCTATAAATGTACCAACAGTGACATGGGTTAATACTCATAACCAGCTCAAGATGTGAACAAAAAAGCAGGAATCTTTTATTCCAGGTAACAATAATGCTTGTAGTAAGGAAGAAAACTGTCATAACACAAAGGTGATGGCTTCTTAATTGCAGGCACTGTCAACACAATGTTCTTTGGAATTAGCAATTCAGCTTTCGAAGTAAAAGAATCCTGGTTATGTGTAATGGGTAAGGAGTTTTAGTTTGGGATGATAAATGAGTTCTAGGGACAGATAGTGGTGATAGTTACACAATAATGTGAATGTACTTAATGCCACCGGACTGTATACTTAGAAGTGACTAAAATCGTAAATTTTATGTATATCTTATCACAATACAAATTTTTTAATAAGTGATTTGTAAAATATACAATGTAAATGAAAAATAGCCTTTTATCTGATGTGTTGCAAGTATTTCTCCTGCATTGTCATTTGTCTTTTGACTTTCCTAAATTTTTGGACATAGAGATGCTTTACATTTTTATGTAGTTAGATGCATTTTGTATTGTGTTTATAAAGGTCTTCTTCACTCCAAGATTATAAAAGATAATACATTTCACCCATTTTTTTCTTCTAGCACTCTTAACTTTTTTATGTTGAAATCTTTACTCCATATAGTTTTTTTTTTTTTTTTAGTGCTGGGAATTTTGTGGATTAGGACAGCAGGGGTATTTCTAGTGCTTTATTGTTTTCAAGGTTTATTAGGACTTTAGAGAAACAACCTCTGTTCTCTGATTCTTACATACTGCTGAATTTTAACTTGTCTACAGTTGTCAGAATGGAGAGGTGAGGGGAATAAAAGGCAGATAGCAACATGAAATCTAGCTTCCAAGGCTGTGATACATTATGAATACTTTGCAACAGTCTGGCCTGAAATATGGCTACATTTCCTTCCTTCCTGATGAGCTGACTTAGCAACAAAAATCTTTTAAACCAGTGAAAAATATGGAACAGAAGGCTGGCAATGTCCCTTAGAAACAATGTCTCATTCAAAAAGCATAATCCCATGTGGAAGCAAAATGACTGATGTTGATACCCCAGCCTTTCCTCTGAGATACTCCTTGAAATTCCCAGAGCAAAACATAGCTGACCTCAGGTTCCTGCCCTTGAGACATAACATTGCCTGAGAGAGAGGAAAAGGGACAGCCTCTGTGTCCCATCATTTGAGGTCTCGGCTGTAAGGAGAGGCCCAGTTAACTTGGTGCCTAGTAGGTGTCAGAAAACAACTGGAGTTGGGCGAGCAGGGTCTATCCTGCTGATATTTGAGATATTATCATATTGGACAAGATGTGGTCCAGATGCTAGTATGAGGAGGCATTCCAAGTCTATAATTATTTTTCTTTTCATTCGTGGTTTGGTAGAAAAAGCTGTGGGCCGTCAGGTAGAAGAACTTGGTTGTAATCCTTGTTCTACCACTCATTGTTTGACATTGGAAAGCCTGTTAACCAATTTGTGTACACCCCCTTCCCCCCCACACCCCTTTTTAAAAACTAGATGAATACATTTTAAAAATTGTGTTAAAATATACATAAGATTTACCACTTTAATCATCTTTAAGTGTACAGTTGAGTGGTATTAGGTGTATTCACACTGCTATGCAACCATCATCATCATCATCCATATCCAGAGTTTTTTTCATTTTCCTAAACTGAAATTCTATGCCCATTAAACAATAACTTGCCATTGTCTTCTCTCCACCACCCCTGGCAACCACCATGTTACTTTCTGTCTCTATGAGTCTGACTACTCTAGGTAACTCATATAAGCAGAATCATATAGCATTTGTCTGTTTTTGTGACTGGTTTATTCACTTAGCATAATGTCTTCAAGGTTCAATAAAAATTAAAAATAGAATTATGTATTTCGAGAATTCCACTTATTATATAGCCCAAAGAATTGAAAGCAGGGACTGGAACAGATATTTGTACATCCAACTTTATAGCAGAGCATTATTCACAATTGCCAAAAGGTGAAAGCAAACTCAAGTGTCCATAGAGAAATAAATGGATGAACAACTTGTGGCATCTATGTACAGTGGCATATCATTCAGTATTTTAAAAGGTGCTTCTCATGTTTTATATCTCTAAAACTAGGTGGTTGAACCAGTTAATCTCTGAAGCCCCTCTAGTATCTTGTGTAATACACTGGTATGGAGGGCTTGTGGGTCCTATTGGTGCATGTTTCATTTCCTCTTTGTTGTTTGCCTTCCCTACCCCTCCCTCCCTCCACCCATTCCACATACACAGAAGCTCAAGCACACACAATTCACTCCAGCTCTGTTCAGTAAGTTGGGAGAAACGTAGACCTGTTCTTAGGTAACCAAGTAGCTTTAAGCTTGACCTTTTTTTAGTAGGGCAATGATGTTAATAAAATGCAATTTAACAACTTAATGCATGCCTTCATGGCTATATGGACAGCAATTCATGTATAGGAGGTACTGAGAAAATCTAGAAATAGAAGAAAGACAGTGTCCTAGAAATATAGGGAAGACAGTAGGTAACAGGTATGCTAAACATAAGATGCATGGTGTTTCAGTGCATTTGGTTGAATTGGGTGGGTGTCTGGGAGTGAATTTTACCTTTTTTTTTTTTTTTTTCTTTCCCGAAACAAGGTCTCAATTTGTCATACAGGCTGGAGTGCAATGGCACGGTCTTGGCTCACTGCAACTTCCACCTCTGGAGCTCAAGCAAACCTCCCACTTCAGCCTCCCTCTGGGACCACAGGTGCATGCCAGCACTCCTGGCTAATTTTTTGTATTTTTTGTAGAGAAGGGGTTTCGCCATGTTTCCCAGGCTGATATAAACTCCTGAGCTCAAGCAATAGGCCCACCTCGGCCTCCCAAAATGCTGGGATTCCAGGTGTGAACCCTGGCGTCCAGCCAATTTTATCTTCCTTTGGAAGAAAATAATCCCTGGAGAAGATTAGTTTGGTTTGGCATTGAGGGATAGGCAGATTGTGAGGGCTGGACTTTCAAAGTTTATTGAGCATCTAATACATGTCAGATACTGGGCAAGCTCTTTTATGTATATTATCTCTCACCCTACAGATAGCCTTATAGAATGGGTGTTATTATCCTTATTTTTCCAATGAGAGAATTGAAGCTTAGATAATTTAAGAAACTTCTCCAAGGTTTCACAGCAAGTAAGTAGTGAACAGCAGTTTAAACTCAGTTTTTTCTGACCCCAAAGCCTGTGGGTTTTTTTGTTTGTTTGTTTTGTTTTGACACCTAATTAGTTTAAACACCTAATTAGTTGGGAAACAAAAGTAGTTTTTTTTTTTTTTTTTTTTTTTTGGAGACGGAGTCTTGCTCTGTCGCCCAGGCTGGAGTGCGACGGCGCAATCTCAGCTCACTGCAACCTCCACCTCCCAGGTTCAAGTGATTCTCCTGCCTCAGCCTCCTGAGTAGCTGGGATTACAGACGTGTGCCACAACACCCGGCCAATTTTTGTATTTTTAGTAGAGACGAGGTTTCACCGTGTTGGCCAGGCTGATCTCAATCTCCTGACCTGAGGTGATCCACCCGCCTCGGCCTCCCAAAGTACTGGGATTACAGGCGTGAGCCACCACGCCCAACCAAAAGTAGTTATCTTTTAACAGATTTTTAAAATATAATTAAATATAACCAAACTTCATTATAAAGAACAACAGATATACATATATATGTGTGTGCATGTGTGTGCAAGCGTGCATATTCGTGTGTGTGTGTATATATATATATATATATATATTTTTTTTTTTTTAAAGAAACAGTCTCGGCCAAGGCAGGTGGATTACCTGAGGTCAGGAGTTCGAGACCAGCCTGGCCAACATGGTGAAACTCCGTCTCTACTAAAAATACAAAAAATTAGCCAGGCGTGGTGGCGGGCACCTGTAATCCCAGCTACTCGGGAGGCTGAGGCAGGAGAATCGTTTGAACCCGGGAGGCAGAGGTTGCAGTGACCTGAGATCATACCACTGCACTCCAGCCTGGGCGACAAGAGCAAAACTCTGTCTCAAACAAAACAAAACACAGTCTTACTCTGTTGCCTAGGCTTCAGTGCAGTGGCACGATCATAGCTCACTGCAGTTTCGAACTCCTGGGCTCAAGTGGTTCTCCTGCCTCAGTCTCCCAAGTAGTTGGGACTGTAGGTGTGTACCATCATGCCTGGCTAATTTTTAAATATTTTGTAGAGACAGGGTATCACTACATTGCCCAGGTAGGTCTCAAATTCCTGGCTTCCAGCAATACTCCTGTCTTGGCCTCCCAAAATGCTGGGATTACAGGTGTGAGCTACTGCACCTGGCCTACAAATATGTGTTAATATATATGCATATACAGTCATGCACTGCATAATGATGTTTTGGTCAATCATGGACCACATATACGACAGTGGTCCCATAAAATTTTAATACCATACTTTTACCATACCTATTCTATGTTATATATGTTCAGAAACACAAATACTTACCATTGTGTTATAGTTGCCTGCAGTATTCAGTACAGTAACATGCTGAACAGGCTTGTAGCCTAGAAACAATAGGCTACACCATGTAGCCTAGGTAGGCCATGCCATCTCGGTTTGTTAGTACATTCTCTGATGTTTGCACAATGACAAATCACCTAATGATGAATTTCTCAAAATGTATCCCTATTGTTATGTGATGCATGACTGTATATACACATATACAATATATATTCACTTATAAACAAGTATGTTCTTTTATATATACCATGTTTTCTATTTTTCATTCTTTTCAGATTCAGTTAAGATCTATACAATGCAAAGTGTTAATATTGTTATATTTTTCCTAAACACATCTCCTTACTAGGATCCCATGTGTGCTTTGAGGAAACTTGTAGTTAATGAGATTATGTAATGCCAAAGCATGTAAAATTAGTCTAAGGGAGACCAAGATGCTGTATCAATCAGGGTCTTAGTTGCAAGCTGCAGAAACTGACTTAGGCAAATTTAAGCAGAGAAGGAATTTATTGAAAGTATTTTGGGCAGCTTACAACCTCTCTGGGAGCGCCCAGGGACTGTGTTCAAAAACTAGAAGGAAGGCTAGTATAGGGCCTCACATTGCAGAGCTGACTGAAGACCTGCTGTTGCTGCACACATGAGCACTGCAATTTGTGCCATCCATGTCAGTGTTACTGTCACTGGGCAGTGGACACTGCTACTGCCTCTGTCCTTTTATAAACTGTTTGTAGTTGCCACCACATAATACTAAGAATGGATTCTGCATAATCCCTCATTCTCATCCCTAGTTTTTGATTCAAATACTGCGGGTGAGTATTTATGATCAATGTGGCCTCATTTACGTGCCGATGTCTAGAGCAAGAGATGCTGGAAAAGAAGTATCTAGAATTTTCTGCTTTGATAGTAGGAGAGGGGCTCTGTTTTATAAGGTGAGGGATGCTAAGGATTAGGAAGGGGATTCAGATCCTGGCGGCCAAAAGAATGACAAGTGGCTCCATTAGATGGCATTTGCTTTAGCAGTTGTGAAGGGTGGAGGGTAAATTGATCATCAAACTATAGGAGAGACTGCTAAAGATAAACACACAGGATTAATGGATAAATTAATTAGTTTAATTAAGCTACAGAATTTATTCCTAAGAATTTTTTATGATATCAAAAATGGGATTGTTGTCTTGATTTCTTTTTCAACTAGGCTGTTTTATTTGTGCGTAGGAATGCACTGATTTTTGTGTGTTGATTTTGTATATTGCAACTTTACTGAGTTCATTTATTCTAACAGGTTGTTACTATGTGGAATCTTTGGGGTTTTCTACGTATAAAATCATGTCATCTCCAGATAGAGATAAAGGCATTGATTTGGATGCCTTTTCTTTCTTGTTTGATTGCCTTTGCTAGTATTTCCAGTACTATGTTGAATAGAAATGGGCATCCCTGCCTTGTACTGGATCTTAGTGGAATAGTTTTCATTTGTTTCCTGTTGATTATGATGTTAGTTGTATGTTTTTCATGAGTGACCTTTATTATGTTGAGGAACTTTTCTTGTATGCTTAAACTGTGAAGAGTTTTTATTGAGAAAGAATATTTAACTTTGTCAAAGGCTTTGTCTGCATCCATTGAGATGATCATGGGGTTTTTAAATCTTTCATTCTGTTAATGTGGTGTATCACATTGATTTTGTGTGTGTTAAACTAGCCATGCATACCAGGAATAAATCTCACTTGTTGGTGATGTCATCAACAAAAATAAAACACTTAGGAATAAATTTGAAGGAGGTAAAACATTTGTACACTAAAAACAATAAAACGTTGAAATAAAGAGGATGCAAATAAATGGAAAATACCCTGTGCTCATAGATGGCCTTGGCAATGACTTTTTGGATCACACCTAAAGTTCAAGCTACAAAAGCAAAGATAAATAAATACATGAACTATATCAAATTAGGCTTCTGCACAGCAAAACAAACAAAACAAAAAACCAGTCAACAAAATGGAAAGGCAACCTATGGGCTAGGAAAAAGTATTCACAGACTACATATCTGATAAGAGGTTACATTTTTAAGTTTTTAGAAATTTTAAGAACTGTTAGAACTCAGTGGCAGAAAAACAATCTGTTTAAAAAGTAGACAAAGGACCTGAATAGACATTTCTCCAAAAAAGACATAAAAATGGCCAACAGATATATGAAAAGGTGTTCAACATTACTAATCATTGGGGAAACACAAATTAAAACTACCATGAGATACCACCTCATGTTCATTAGGATGGCTGTTATAAAAAAGTCAAGATGTAAATGTTGGTGAGGTGTTGAGAAAAGGGAACCCTGGCACACTGTTGGTGGGAATGTGGATTGGTATAGCCATTATGGAAAACAGTATGGAGGTTCCTAAATAAACTAAAAATAGAACTGCCATATGACCTAGTAATCTTTCTTCTGGATATATACCCAAAGGACATGAAATTGAAATTGCCATCTTGTAAAGATATCTGTACTCTATGTTCATTTCAGTATTATTCACAAGAGCGAAGATATGGAGACAATGTGAGTGTCCATCAGTGGGCAAATAGATAAAACGTGTGTGCGTGTGTATGCACGTGTCGGTATTTCATTGTATGTGGACTTCTAGTGTGTGAATATCTAGTCCTTGTTGGCATGATACCTTTTGAAAGGTAAGGTAGAGTCTTTTTCTTTTCTTTTTTGAGGTGGAGTCTTGCTCTGTCGCCCAGGCTGGAGTGCAGTGGTGCGATCTCCGCTCACTGCAAGCTCCGCCTCCCGGGTTCACACCATTCTCCTGCCTCAGCCTCCCAAGTAGCTGTGACTACAGGCGCCTACCACCACACCCAGCCAAGTTTTTTGTATTTTTAGTAGAGACGGGGTTTCACCATGTTAGCCAGGATGGTCTCAATCTCCTGACCTCGTGATGTGCCTGCCTTGGCCTCCCAAAGTCCTGGGATTACAGGCATGAGCCACCGTGCCTGGCCAGTGTAAGGTAGAATCTTTTTCTAAGATGGAGTTACTTACATCAAGGGTGCTCTATAGACATTTCCTTCTTTCTAGCCCCAGCCCAAGGAATCTTTGAAGGAAAGGTAGAAGATACGTCTCAAGGTTACTACTGAAGAAAACACAAAAAACTGTTCGTTGGCAGTTAATAGTTGTCTGGGTATTGCTATTTATGAAATAGAATAATTAAGACTTTAAATTAAATTTGATTTAAACTTGTCACCTATAGATAAATGTCAAGTTTTAGACCTTAAGGTAATTATTGTATGGTTGAAAATAAATACAGCACCAATGATATTTTACTTGACCTATTTTGCTATGCGATCAGTTTTTTTTTTGTATTTAAAAATTACTAAATTGGCTAGGCATGGTGGCTCACACCTATAATCCAAGCACTTTGAGAGGCTGAGGTGGGCAGAGCTCTTGAGCCCAGGAGTTTGAACCAGCCTGGGCAACATGGCAAAACCATGTCTCTACAAAAACTACCAAAATCAACTGGGCGTGGTGGCTCATGCCTGTAGTCCCAGCTGTTTGGGAGGCTGAGGTGGAAGGACCGCTTGAGCCTGGGAGGTTGAGGCTGCAGTAAGCTGTGATCATGCCACTGCACTCCAGCCTGGGTGCCAGAAAATAACTTTGTCTCAAAAAAAAAAAAAAAAATGTTCTCCCAAAACTCTATCCACTTTCCCGCACTAAGTAGAGTGACTGTAATCTCACACAGTTGAGAACATTTAGACATAATGTGGCTTTGTGGGAGAGGTGACCTTCTAGATTCTGAAGGGTTTCAAGGACTCATTTCCAATAGAACAACTATAATTGCAGTATCCTAGAAAAGGGCTTAGAGAGAAGAAGAGGAAAGAAAAAAAAGGTGATTCATAAATACAGATGTAGACACTAGGACAATAATACATGCGATAATTGTGACCTTGGCATTCTTACTGTGAATTTCCATTGAATTGCTGTAAGTTAGATTCTCTGTTCTGTTTACTTCTTTGCACATGACTTTATACTTGTGTGTGAAAAAAAAAAAAACTGAACTGTGATTTGAGGATCCTTAGCTTTTAATCTAAAAGAATGAGTTGGTACGACCTCTGGAACATACTTCTGGAAGGAAGAATTACCTAAGAGAATGGTTTTTCTGCTAGTCAGAAATCTAAGTTTTGTATGCTAGCTTGCAAGTTAAGGATAGAAAAGGCTTTCCCTGGCCGGGTGCGGTGGCTCATGCCTGTCATCTCAGCACTTTGGGAGGCCAAGGCAGGTGGATCACGAGGTCAAGAGACTGAGACCATCCTGGCCAACATGGTGAAACCCTGTCTCTACTAAAAATAAAAAATCAGCTGGGCTTGGTGACGGGCGCCTGTAGTTCCAGCTACTCGGGAGGCTGAGCAGGAGAATGGCATGAACCCGGGAGGCGGAGGTTGCGGTGAGCTGAGATGGCGCCACTGCACTCCAGCCTGGATGACAGAGCAACACTCCGTCTCAAAAAAAAAAAAAAAAAAAAAAAAAAAGGTTTTCCCTGAAGCAAATAAATGTAAACACTTTGAATCAATGTTGCATTTTCAAGAGAAAACTATTTCAGCAGATGAACAAAATAGATTAAACACAATAGCAAAATCTTTGAGGACCCTCCAGCTGTTTCTAGTTCTACTACCATATGGTAGCTGGATCAATGAAGAAAATTCAGTTTGAGCATCAGTAATTGCTACCTGGGTGATGTGAACAAGTTCAAAGAACTGCACTTGAAAGTGTCCTGTCAACAGTGTATGAGCCTCTTCACTGTGTCATAGGGGCAGAGGTGAGTACCACAGTTAACTCTCTCAGTGGTCCCCAAAAGTCTGCTGAATGAAGTACAGAATCCTTATTTAGGCATGTGACCACCTTCTATCTGGTCCCCACCTACCTTTCCAGTATATCACACTTAGAGCTAATGCTTTTATCAAATTGGACTCCTTCCTGGTATCATCACCCTTTCCTACCTCTGTCTTACAACACTATAATATTTCCCCCTTTACTCGGAATGTCCTACTCTTCTCCTTTATATCTCTTAACCCAAATTATACTCCTCTTCAGGACCATTTCAAATACTATTTTTGAATACCATGAAGTCCTCTGTTAATCCCCCTGGGACTTCTGAACCATAGCACTTTATATGTCTTTTTGTGGCATTTGTCATGTTTTTGTCTTGTTTCATAGCTATTTTTGTGTGTTGTGGGTTGAATTGTGCCCTCCTAAAAGATATGTTCAAGTCCTAAACTTCAGTCCTTGTGAATGTGACATTATTTGTAAATATGGTCTTGGCAAATGTGATCAAGTGAAGATGAGGTCACACAAGATGAGGGTGTGTCCCAGTTCAATGACTAGTGTCAAAAGGAGAGAGAAATTTGGACAGAGACACAGGGAAGAAGGCCATGGGACCACAGAATCAGTGATTGGAGTGATGCAACTACAAACTGGAATGTCAGGGGTTGCTAGCAAGGCTAGATGCTAGGAAGATGAGGGGAAGCTCCTCCCCTAGAGCCTTCAGAGACAGCATGGCCTTGCCAGCATGTTGATTTCAGACTTCTAACCTCCAGAACTGGGAGAATAAGTTTCTGTTGTTTTAAGCCACTCACTTTGTGGTCCTGTACAAGGCTGCCCTAGGAAACGCATATAGTGTGTTGATCTAATCTCTAGTCCTCCCCAGGCAATGTATTATAAGTTGGTAAAGAGCTTGGGCTGTTTTTTACTCATCATTATCTCCTTAGCAGTGACTGAGTCATTCAGCTGTTTTGTTTTGTTTTGAGACGGAGTCTCGCACTGTTGCCCAGGCTGGAGTGCAGTGGTGCGATCTCGGCTCACTGCAAGCTTTGCCTCCCTGGTTCACGCCATTCTCCTGCCTCAGCCTCCAGAGTAGCTGGGACTACAGGTGCCCACCACCACGCCCAGCTAATTTTTTGTATTTTTAGTAGAAATGGGGTTTCACCGTGTTAGCCAGGATGGTCTCGATCTCCTGACCTTGTGATCCGCCCCCTTCGACCTCCCAAAGTGCTGGGATTACAGGCGTGAGCTACCACGCCCGGCCCATTCAGCTATTTTTTGCTTTGCTTTTTTAGATACAGAGTCTTTGTCACCCAGGCTGGAGTGCAGTGGCACAATCATAACTTGCTTTAACCTAAAACTCCTTGGCTCAAGCCACCCTCCTACCTCAGCCTCTCAAGTAGCTAAGACTGTAGGTGCACACCACCATGGCTGCATACATATATTTTTGATTTTTAGTAGAGATAAGGTCGTCTTATGTTGCCCAGACTGGTCTTGAACTTTTGGCCTCAAGCAATCCTCCTGCCTCAGCCTCCCAAAGTGCTGGGATTATAGGCATGAGCCACCAGGCCTGGCAGCTGTTGTTTAAAAAAATAAATTCATGGCCGGGCGCGGTGGCTTATGCCTGTAATCCTAGCACTTTGGGAAGCTGAGGCAGGCAGATCGCCTGAGGTCAGGGGTTCAAGACCAGCCTGGCCAACATGGTGAAACCCTGTCTCTACTAAAAATACAAAAATTAGCCAGGCATGGTGGAGGCTGAGGCAGGAGAATTGCTTGCACCTGGGAGGTGGAGCTTGCAGTGAGCCAAGATCATGCCACTGCACTCTAGCCTGGGCGATAGAGTGTGAGTCCATCTCAAAATAAATAAATTAATTAATTAATTTATGTTTATTGAGGTATAATTTATGTTGAGCAAAATTCAGCCTTTTTAGGTATACAGTTTTTACAAATGTAAGTAGTCTGTGACCACCACCAACACATAGAACATTTTTATCATCCCAGAAAGTTCCCTATGTACCTTCCCAGTCCTTTCCTGGCAACTATAGATTTGTGGATTTTGTCATTTTTAGAATGTTATGTAATGGAACCCTATAGTATGTAGCCTTTTATGTCTGGCTTCTTTCACATTGCATAATGCATTGGCGATTCATCTATGTTGTTGCACTTACTGGAAGTCTGTTCCTTTTTACTACTCATTCAGCTGATTTTTGAGTGTCATTGCACGCTAGCTATTGTGCTAATGTCCTGCAGATGGATTAATGAATAGGGTGGGCACAATATCTACCTTTTGGGTTTTATATGTCAGGTAATAACAATAGAGTATCATAAGTGTTGTGATGGTATCAAGTACAGTGTATTATATAGGAGTACAGAGGAGGAACATTTAACAGATTTGAAGGATCTTAAAAGGCTTCCTAGAGGAACTGATGTTTAACTTGAGACTCAAGGATGAATGATTAGGCTCCAGGCAGATGATGAGAGGGATGGATGCAGGCTTATACCAGCTTCAGAGTTGATTGTTAAAAATTCAGGAACTCTGCAAGTTAGTGGCTAAATTTTTGACAGATTGAAATTGGCCGTGGTGGGTGTGCTTAGACCATGGATATTGTTAAACACATCAAATGAGGACTCTCTCCCAGCCCCTAAACAGTTCTCCTGGACACCACTGGATGGACAAGTATTATAACCAGGAGAGATAATTAACATGAATGCAAGAAAGAACATGGCATTTTTGAAGAACTGAAATTCAGTACAGTTGAAGTATAGAGTGTAAGGGAGAGAACTGACGCCTGGAGAATTCGATGGGTGCCAGATTGTATTGGGTGATGTAAGCTATGCTAACAAGCCGTAATGTCCTTTTCTGCTAATTTCATATCTGTGTCAGTTCTGGCATTATTTTGATTGACTGATCATTCTCCTCTTTAGGGGGCCATTATTTTCCTGCGTCTGTGCATGCCATGTAATTTTTGATGGCATATCAGAAATTGCTTTTACCTTGTTGAGTGCAGTCATAATTTTGTATTCCTATAAATACTATGTAGTTTTTATTCTGGGGTATAATTAAGTTACTTGGAAACAGTTTAATCTCTTTAGGTCTTGCTTTTAATATTTGTTAGGTGAGACCAGAGCAATGTTTCGTGTGGCGTTAATTATTCTCTACTACAGCAAGACCCTTTTGAATTCTCTACCCAATGCCTCAGGAATTCTCTACCCACTGCCTTATGCGTTAGGAGGCATGAATTAGGGGGCAGACTTTGTGACTGTTTCAGGTAGGAGGGTACATTTGATCCCTAGCCTCCATCATGGCTGGATATAAAAGTTATTATACCTTATCTAAAATTAGTGGAGGGCAGTTATAGAGAGGTTTAACTAAGAGTCTGGCAGGATCAGATTTGTATTTTTAAAAGATCATTTTGAATATAATACAGATAATGGGTTGTTCTATTTATCTGGTGGAGTTGGTGGGGCCTTCAGAATACTATATTGGAGGTAGGTAAACCAGTTAGAATACAACTGCAGCGATTCAGTTAAGAAGTAGTTATGACTGGGCTGGGTGTGGTGGCTCATGCCTGTAATTCCAGCACTTTGGGAGGCTGAGGTGGGAAGAACACTTGAGCCAGGAATTCGAGACCACTCTGGGCAACATAGGGAGACCTCATCTCTTCAAAAAATAAAAAAGTTAGCTGGGCATGGTGGTGAATACCTGTAGTCCCAGCTATTCAAGAGGCTGAGGTGGCAGGATTACTTGAGCCTGGGAGATTGAGGCTGCAGCGAGCTATGATTGCACCACTGCACTCCATACTGGGTAATAGAGTGGGGCCCTGTCTCTTAAAAAAAAAAAAAAGAAATATAGTTGCATTGAAAACAGTGTCTGAGTTGTTCAAAAAGTATCTCTGAAGTAGAAAATATAAACCATTGCAGAAGAACAGTGAAAAAAATAGTAGGTTAAGCTTCAAAGATAAAAAAATCAGCCCAAATCTGATTTAAAAAATACATTGTCATACTAGAGAGTAAGTTTGTTTGAATTCAGAAGGGTGCCCACCAGTGGTAGAATCCAAACACCTACAGATGGGTATGGAAGAGCTATGACACTAAGCACTAGAGGAAAGTTGAAGATGGAAACGTTCTTTCAATAAAAGAACATTCTGGGATCTTGCTATGCTATAGAATCGGTATCCAAAAGGTAGTGCAAAGTTTAATTTCCAGATGGCACCTTTTAATCACATAGATGACATCCAGCAATTGCCATCTAAGGATATACAAGTTAGGAAAAAGTTGTGTGGAAACAGAGCTTTAAAAGCAATTAAAACAGCATTCTATTATTATTATTATTATTATTATTGTTATTATTTTTTTTTTTTTGAGATGGTGTCTCACTCTGTCGCCCAGGCTGGAGTGCAGTGACGTGATCTCCGCTCACTGCAAGCTCCGTCTCCCGGGTTCACGCCATTCTCCTGCCTCAGCCTGCTGAGTAGCTGGGACTACAGGTACACGCTGCCATGCCCACCTAATTTTTTGTATTTCTGTAGAGATGGGGTTTTACCGTGTTGCCCAGGTTAGTCTTGAATTCCTGAGCTCAGGCAGTCCCCCTGCCTCGGCCTCCCAAAGTGCTAGTGAGCCACTGTGCCCGGCCGATGATTTTTTTTTTTTTTTTTTAAGAGAAAAACCCTATCCACCCCAACTGCCTGTGTTCTTCTACTTTATTAAACTTTTAGTTACATTTTTAGTATTAGCTGTCAGTGGTTTCAGTTTCATTTACCAGAAAAGAGGAGTAAGATCCTAATGAAGGCCTGTCAGTGCCTTCCTGTTATGTAGCTGCAGTATCCAGTGCGTGTTCTTTCTGGAGATTGGGCAGAGTTCAGTGGCTCCTTCCTGGTTCTGCACTTTTGGTGCTGGTAGTGCTATTTAAAATTCTTGGCATCAGTCAGGCGCAGTAGCTCACACCTTTAATCCCAGAACTTTAGGAGTCCGAAGTGGGCAGATCACCTAAGGTCAAGAGTTTGAGATCAGCCTGGCCAACATAGCGAAACCCCATCTCTACTAAAAATACAAAAATTAGCCGGGTGTGGTTGTGCTGACTTGTAGTCCCAGCTACTGGAGAGGCTGAGGCAGGAGAATCACTTGAGCCCAGGAGGTGGAGGTTGCAGTGAGCCGAGATCACGCCATTGCACTCCAGCCTGGGCAACAGAGCTAGACTCTGTCTCAAAAAAAAAAAAAAAATCTTGGCATCAAGGTTGCTCCTCCTTCTCATTCTTTTCTGTTTGAAAAGCCTTGAGTTGGAACTTGGTGTCACTGATGAATTGATGGAACACCGTGACCACACTCTATTCCAACTGCTTCTTTGATTTATTGCACATTTGGTCTGAGCCAGAAGTAGCTAATCAGAGGGGCTGCATAAGCACAGCAGGGAACCCAGAGAGTGCACACCCCTTTCTGCTTTTCCTATCACCAGCTTTAAGATGCTTCAGGTAGAGTTCACTTTGCTAGTAGTGGTGATGCCAGTTTTTATTCAGGAAAGAAAGTCCAAAAAGAACAAAAGTAAATTTCAAAAGAATTCACATTATGCATTGCAAACAATAGTTTAAAAACAGAATATTCAGGAAAATACTACTTTGCTTGTTTCTTTTTTTCCACCCAAGCTGGAGTACTGGGGTGTGCTCATACCTCACTGTAGCCCCCAACTCCTGGGCTCAAGCTATCTTCACAGGTAGCAGGGATTACAGGTGTGAGCCACCACGCCCTGCAAATACTACTTTCTGATATAAGCAAGGCTGGTGTTTGTATGAATTTCTTCCTACATGTTAAAATTTCTGTGGAGATACAGCCAATATCATACTGAATGGGCAAAAACTGGAAGCATTCCCTTTGAAAACTGGCACAAGACAAGGATGCCCTCTGTCACCACTCCTATTCAACATAGTGTTGGAAGTTCTGGCTGGTGTAATCAGGCAGGAGAAAGAAATAAAGGGTATTCAGTTAGGAAAAGAAGAAGTCAAATTGTCCCTGTTTGCAGATGACATGATCGTATATTTAGAAAACCCCATTGTCTCAGCCCAAAATCTCCTTAAGCTGATGAGCAACTTCAGCAAAGTCTCAGGATACAAAATCAATGTGCAGAAATCACAGGCATTCCTATATACCAATAACAGACAGAGAGCCAAATCATGAGTGAACTCCCATTCACAATTGCTACAAAGAGAATAAAATACCTAGGAATCCAAATTACAAGGGATGTGAAGGACCTCTTCAAGGAGAACTACAAACCACTGCTCAACAAACTAAAAGAGGACACAAACAAATGGAGGAACGTTCCATGCCCACGGGTAGGAAGAATCAGTATTGTGAAAATGGCCATACTGCCCAAGGTAATTTATAGATTCAGTGCCATCCCCATCAAGCTACCAATGACTTTCTTCACAGAATTAAAAAAAAAAACTACTTTAAAGTTCATATGGAACCAAAAAAGAGCCCACATTGCCAAGACAATTCTAAGTAAAAAGAACAAAGCTGGAGGCATCACGCTACCTGACTTCAAACTATACTACAAGGCTACCAAACAGCATGGTGCTGGTACCAAAACAGAGATACAGACCAATGGAACAGAACAAAGCCCTCAGAAATAACACCACACATCTACAACCATCTGATCTTTGACAAACCTGACGAAAACAAGCAATGGGGAAAGGATTCCCTATTTAATAAATGGTGCTGGTAAAACTGGCTAGCCATATGTAGAAAGCTGAAACTGGATCCCTTCCTTACACTTTATACAGAAATTAATTCACGATGGATTAAAGACTTAACTGTTAGACCTAAAACCATAAAAACCCTAGAAGAAAACCTAGGCAATACCATTCAGGACATAGGCATGGGCAAGGACTTCATGGCTAAAATGCCAAAAGCAATGGCAACAAAAGCCAAAATAGATGAATGGGATCTAATTAAACCAAAGAGCTTCTGCACAGCAAAAGAAACTACCATCAGAGTGAACAGGCAACCTACAGAATCGGAGAAAATTTTTGCAATCTACCCATCTGACAAAGGGCTAATATCCAGAATCTACAAATAACTCAAACAAATTTACAAGAAAAAAACAACCCCATCAAAAAGTGGGCAAAGGATATGAACAGACACTTCTCGAAAGAAGACATTTATGCAGCCAACAGACACACGAAAAAATGCTCATCATCACTGGTCATCAGAGAAATGCAAATCAAAACCACAATGAGATACCATCTCATGACAGTTAGAATGGCGATCATTAAGAAGTCAGGAAACAACAGATGCTGGAGAAGATGTGGAGAAATAGGAATGCTTTTACTTTGTTGGTGGGAGTGTAAATTGGTTCCACCATTGTGGAAGACAGTGTGGTGATTCCTCAAGGATCTAGAACTAGAAATACCATTTGACCCAGCCATCCCACTACTGGGTATATACCCAAAGGATTATAAATCATTCTACTATAAAGACACATGCACACCTATTTTTATTGTGGCACTGTTCACAATAGCAAAGACTTGGAACCAACCCAAATGTCCATCATTGATAGACTGGATTGAGAAAATGTGGCACATATACACCATGGAATACTATGCAGCCATAAAAAGGATGAGTTCATGTTCTTTGCAGGGACATGAATGAAGCTGGAAACCATCATTCTCAGCAGACTATCACAGAAAACCAAACACCACATGTTCTTATTCACAGGTGGGAACTGAACAATGAGAACACTTGGACACAGACAGGGAGGGGAACATCATACACCAGGGCCCGTCAGGGGGTGGGGGACTGGGGGAGGGATAGCATTAGGAGAAATACCTAATGTAAATGACGAGTTAATGGGTGCAACAAACCAACATGGCACATGTATACCTATATATCAAACCTGCACGTTGTGCACATGTGCCCTAGAACTTAAAGTATAATAAAAACAAACCATTAAAAAATAGTTAATACAATATAAAACAAAATTTCTGTGGGGATAAATTTCTAAAGCTTGCTTATTACCAACAAGGGGAATGTTTAAAAGCCAGACATTTTAGTATATCTTTTAGGATTTTTTTTTTTTCCAGACAGAGTCTCACTCTGTTGCTGGAGTGCAGTGGTGTGATCTCGGCTCACTGCAACCTTCGCCCCCTGGCCTCAAGCAATCCTCTCATCTCAGCCTCTCAAGTAGCTGGGACTACACATGTGCACCACCACGCTCCGCTAATTCTTTAAATTTTTGGTAGTGATGAGTTCTCACTATGTTGCCCAGGCTGGCCTCAAATTTCAGGGCTCTCATGATCCTCTTCAGCCTCCCAAAGTGCTGGGATTACAGCTGTGAGCCACCATGCTTGGCCAGTTTTACCTTTGTAATGGTCATGTTCATAGCTCATCAGCTAGTAAGTTTGCACTGTTCACTTGTCTTGGATAGTGGTAATTGCTGGAATATTACATTTTGAGATCCATCCTTAGTTTCTTTTCATCTTTCTCCCTTTTTGAGAGTGGTTTAAGAAAATTCTAATTGAAGATCTCTGCCATTTTTTTCTCCTTCCCACTTGTTCTTATTTGAGTTATTTGATTTACTAGAAATTTCTGGTTGCAAACAGAATTCTGTATTTTACATTTTTGCCCTATACTTTTGGCAAGCTTCATGAAAGTAACATGATTTCCCCCCTTATTTCTCTGTTTCCTTATCCCCTTTATGGCACATAGACTACTGATGTTCATTTGTTGATTTTGTTTAGCCTTGTATTCTTGTTCGTTTGCTCATTTATTCTTGCATGCATATATTTACGCATTATTATTTCCCTCCTTCCTAAATGCACATTTACTAACTGCCTACTGTGTGCCAGGCACCGCACCAGTCACAAGAGTAGTAATAAAAACTGGGCTCTGACAGTTAACAGTGCTTTACTGAAGATGTGTACATTGCAGAAATCATGTTGGCTTTGTGTGGAGCTAGGCAGCATCGAGCCCCAACTAAGATAAGATCACTATATACCTCAGACTACTGAACATATAATGTGTATTATCCCTTGAGGAAGTAAAAAAACCAGAAAACCAAAAAATGTTTTGCATCAATGAACAAAAACCTAGACACTATCAGTGATGCACAAACATCTCCAGAGAAGATCAGTTTGGCACGTCGGAGAGGGAACTCGCCTTGACACCTTGTGGCCACTTGGTTTTCTGTGAAGTTTGGAATCGGTAGAATGTAGGGTTTGTATCTACCTTGCCGTACCTTGACCCCATTGGTGGAGAGCACATTTGTTTGCACATCATTTTCAGGACCAAGCTTCGAGTCTCCCCTCTAATGGTATGCCCGATTTTCTATAAATGTATGCTGTGACAAGAAGCCACAGCTGCTCCGTTAGTCTCAAAGGACATGACCTGAAAAAGAATAAAAATCAGATTGCACATATTTGCTCTAATTTTTGACAGGAAGGCTAAACAAAACATTTAAAAATTCAAATTACTCTGTATGTCATTTGCCCATTTAAATCACAGCTCTGTAGAATACTGTTTTTCAAAACTAAAAATAAAAGAAAACCTAATGAGATGAGAAGGCAAGTTGGATGCGTATTTTTTTTTGTGCAGAAACATATTTCATGTCCATTGGGTTGAATAGGAGGGGGAAGAGGCAGAGAAACAGATAACTTAAGATTTACATTGTAGTGTCAGACAGGTGTATTCAAGGGACATTATGGACGTCCTAATTAGTCTAATATTATTTTAGAGTTTTCAGCTAAGCTCATAGTGTGCACAAAAACAAACAGAACAGACTCACAAGCCAACAGTGGGGAGAGCAATAAAAGCAAGAAATCTGCTGGATACTTACAGAAATGATCTTGGCATTGGTGGGAAAAGGTTTTGTTATACTGACAGAGATTAAAAGACTAGCATTATTTGAATAATGTGGTTTTAGAGTTTTTGAATTTATATGTCATTTAAAGTCTTTGTAGTACAGCAGTCAAAAAAGATGCCCATTTTTATGATTTTGTTAATAGATTTTTCATGTTTGTATTTAGAAATCTGGAAGATGTTCAAAATATTAAATGATAATTTTCTGAAAGATATTTTCAAGTATATACAAATTAAAATAATAATTTTAAAATATCTGTAAGACGTACATCTCACCTGAGTTATATGAAAATAGCAAAAAAGAATTCCAGGCTGGGTGTGGTGGCTCATGCCTGTAATCCCAGCACTTTGGGAGGCCGAGGCAGGTGGATCACGAGGTCAAGAAATTGAGACCATCCTGGCCAACTTTAGCTGGGCGTGGTGGCATGCGCCTGTAGTCCTAGCTACTTGGGGAGGCTAAGGCAGGAGAATCACTTGAACCAGGGAGTCGGAGGTTGTAGTGAGCCAAGATCGCGCCACTGCACTCCAGTCTGGTGACAGAGTGAGACTCCATCTCACACACACACACACAAAAAAAGAATTCCAAAAGTATTTTCCATAGGCAATTTAAAATTAATATTAATCACACTGGATATAAATAAATATTAAATATATTGACTATAAAACATTAACAATAATTTGATTGGAGTTACATTGACTATAAACATTAATATTGACATCTTTACAGTTGTAAAGTTTCATCCAGGAATGTTCCACTTTTCCATTTATACCTCTGTCCTTATCTTTACCTTGTTCACATTTTATGCTCTAGTAACAGCAAATTGCTTGCACATCCCACAGTACCTGCATTTTCTCCTTTCTGATTTTGGCCCTTCTTTTAGTTACCATCTCCTTCTGGCTTTTTGCCTGGGCAGCTCTTTGTTTTCCGTCGGATCAGGTGTCACTTCTCCTAGGAAGCCTCACTGACTCTGCCCCAACCTGGATTCACTATGCCCCCCTTCCCCCTGCCACACACACACACAATGCTCCCATAAGACTTTGTGTCTGTCATTGCATGTTCTGTAACTGCTTATTTATGTGATCCTTAACTCATTAGGGTATGGCACTAATCTATTTAATTTTATATTTTCAGCACTTAATACAGTATCTGGCTCTTAACAAATTTTTGTTAAATGAATAATCAAGGATCTTTCTGTGTAGCTTTATATTTTTTTTCATATAGGTCTCACCCATTCTTAAGGTTTTGTTGCTGTCACGGAGGGGTTACTTTTTTCTCCTTAAAGTTATTACTTGTTTATATTGGTAGTATGTGGGAAAGTTCTTTCTCATCTGCTCTCCCTGAGGGTGAACTAGGTGTGGTTGCAAGATTGCTGATGGTGTTGTTGGGCTTTCAACTCCAGGCATTGGACCCGGAAGCTTTGATTATTTGTATGGTGGTTTTCACCAACAAAGTTAACTAATACTCAACATTTTAGGTGTCAGACAAGTTATTAGTAAGACACATAAGCTTCTTGGTGGACCAAATCTTTTCTAAATAAATTAGTATCACGAGCATATCATTGTGTGTATAAAATAATAAAGGGAGAGAATGTGACCCCCTCTAAGTCCTTGAGGAAAGAATTCAGATTTCCTTTAAGTTTCTTTTTTTCTGTTTCATGTAGTCTTCTCTTGTCTTGTTCAACTCAGAGTCTGTCTGAGAATAAGGAGAGCAGGAGTGTATCTTCTATATTTATGTTATTAACATACAATAGTGTTTGGCACATAGTTGTGCTAAAATGTATGAAAAATGAAAATTAATAAATAGAATCATCACTCCTGAAGTCATTCCCATTTTCCCCTAGAAAGGTAGTAAACAATATTTATTTTGGTAAAAGCTGTTACATTCTGCTGGAAACTAGAATTTTACCCCATAATTACCCTATGTTAGAACTGAAAAAAATGTTGAAAGGCACATTGTCTAAAATTCCAGTTTGAGAAGTCTGAATATTACAAGTTTTCAAAATGGTTGGGAGACAACTCATGGTTTAGTGAGCACAATCCCTCCCCTAGAAGCTGACCCTTATTAACTAGCTATTTCTCAAGTAGTTTGGTCCCATAACTTGTCACAGAGAGTATTTGCTTCCTAACCCCATAGTCATTCTCCCTTTTTCTCTGTGGTAATAGAACCTCTGATTCTTATCTGGACTCATGGCCACCCGAAAAAAATTATCTTACATACTTTGTGGTTTGATAGAACTATGATGTATTTCTTATACTTACAATATAGCTCTGTCCAAAAGAGAAATGAGTGCAAATGTTCTATTGTAGTTTCTAGAAAACCTTAATTGATAGATGCTGCATGCCTTCTGCCCCCTTTTCTTCAACTATTTTTCCATCTCGCTGCCTGGAATTTTGATGGGATAGCAGGAGCTCTGGTTCTCATATTGGACTGTGGCAAGAAGGGCCTCCCCAGGCATGGCAGAGCAATAGGGGGAGCCTGGGCCACCATACCAGCCTTTGACTGCTGGACTCTGTACTTCATTTAGTTGACAAATGTATTAGTCAATTCTCACACTGCTCTAAGGACATACCCAAGACTGGATAATTTATAAAGGAAAGAGGTTTAATTGACTCACAGTTCTGCAGAGCTGCGGAAGCCTCAGGAAACTTACAGTCATGGTGGAAGGGGAAGTAGACATGTTCTTCTTCACAAGGTGGCAGGAGAGAGAAGAATGAGAGCTGAGTGAAGGGGGAAGCCCCTTATAAAACCATCAACTCTCCTTTGGGAGGCTGAGGTGGGCGGATCACGAGGTTAGGAGATCGAGACCATCCTGGCTAACATGGTGAAACCCCATCTCTACTAAAAATACAAAAAAATTAGCCGAGTGTGGTGGCACATGCCTGTAGTCCCAGCTCTTTGGGAGGGTGAGGCAGGAGACTCACTTGAACCTGGGAGGCGGAGGTTGCAGTGAGCTGAGATAGTGCCAGTACACTCCAGCCTGGGCGACAGAGCGAGACTCCATCTCAAAACAAAAAACCATCAAATCTTGTCAGAACTTACTATCATGCGAATAGCATGGGGAGACCGCCCCCCATGATTCCGTTATCTCCCACTGGGTCCCTTTCATGACTCGTGGGGATTATGGGAACTACAATTCAAGATGAGATTTGGGTGGGGACAGAGCCAAACCATATCAACAGAGATAGAATCTTTTATCTTGTTTGGGCCGTGATATACAGGTACAGGTCTTTGTTACATGCAGCCAGAGCTTATCCTGACACACTATACTACAGATCAGTTCTAAGATCTTATGACTTCATTGCCCATCCAAAGACTGATCTTTGTATTCCCTTATTTATTCAGCTTTGTCAAGTCATCTACTCTCATCTTGGAGTTCTGTGCCAGGGTTTGATGCTGGCCTTGTTCTGAAGGTGATTGATCTGACAATTTTTACTAGGTCATATACAGTGGTACAGGGTTAACAGAATAGTCACCAACTGTTTTGGGGAAAACAGCTGGGTTCTAAATTCCAGAATGTCATCATCCTTTTCTCATAAAGCCTAGAATCCCTTTAAGGTACCTTAGTGTATTTGGCATTTCCTTCAACATAATCCATGCAGATGGGGAAGCAGCTTTTTAATGGCATTGGGAAGATAGGCACAACCTATTATGTAGTGCTCAGTGTGGATGTTCGATGCTCAGGGGCTTTTTGGGCCCTACACTTGGTGAGAAAGCTAATTATAAGTCACTGTTGAGCAGGAGGAGAGATTTTTATTATTATTCTCTTGTTCATTTAGCTCAGCCTAACTTTTAAAATAATCACCGTAGTGACTTGCATAGTCTTCCTCACAAAGACAAAGTGTTAGGTGTCGCTTGTTTTAGGGTAAATATTGAGGTGAAGGACATCACATCTGCATCTACAAAGGCTGAATCATGGAAGCTAGAAATTGGAAGTGGTGAAGAATTTTTATGTCCTGTAGGCTGAGCTGTGGATTTTCCCTGGATTGATCTGTGTCAGCGTGGAGACTTAGGATCCACCTTGACCCTCCAAATATGTCATCTTTCATAGATGAGATTAGAGAAGTTCAGAGAAATGAAAGAGGACATTTTATTTTTGGTAGCAGCCATTGCGGTGACTATTGGACATTCTCTCCTCCTCTGTGAAGATTGGGGTCTTCTCAGCCTTTGTCGACCTATAAAGTTCATTTGTGACTTTTCAGTAACTTGGTGTCCTGGTTGAGGACATGTTCTGCAGGGGCTGTGGGATAGATAAAGGAAGATGATCATGATGAAGAGGAGCCAGGAAAATGGAGCTTAAAATGAAGTACTTATGCAGAATTGGTGACACATTCCTCTGCTTTCTAGAGTTGGTTTCCTAAAGGAGACACCACAAAGATTCAGGTCAATTATATGATTTGAAAGATCCAAATAGCCAGGATGAATGAGTTATGGGAATTGCTACTATCAAATGATCAGAATTGGGTGGTAGGCTTGGGAAGATTTTCCATCTTTCACATTCACTCTTCACATATGCCTGATCTGTATTGTTCATTCTGAAAGTCTTTGCAGGTTTCCTTCTGCCTGAGTAAAGATTGTTCCTTGTAATCTCTGAACTCTCACTGGATAGCTTTGTTAAGTACTTTTGCTTGACTGAAAGCCCTTTTTTTGTTGATAGGGCTGAAAGGGTAAGCTTAAAATTGGCAGCTGTATTATCTATGACTAGATGGTAAGCTTTTTGAAAGCATATTAGTACTGAGGAGTTCTAGCAAGTTTAATGTCCACTTTGCCACTGACCATAAGACATGTGTTAGGCCAGTTTGGGAAGTTAGGCAGAGTGAAAATCCTGGATATTATAAACACAGTGATGGAATTGGTACGACACCTTTATTTCACTAATACTATCATTATTAGAATACTTAGAGTTCTGTAAGACAGACTATTTTTAAAAGTACTATAGGCATAATTTTAGGAAATTCCTGAGGTGATTTCCTAAAAAGAGGAATTCTTTATTTCTTAGTTTGGACTTCCATATCTTCAAACATGTCAACAAATCAAATATTAGTATGTCAACTATCATAAAATATTTCCTGAGCATTTGCTTTTGTTCTGGGGAACTCAAGATAGCCAAGAGGCCTAGCAGAAACAGTGGAAAAAAGAGCTTTACTACTTAATAATTTATTATTGTAAATGCTCTCTGGGCATGGTGGCATGCATCTGTATTTCTAGCTACTTGGGAGGGGAGGCTGAGGTGGGAGGATCCCTTGAGCCCAGGAGTTTGAGAAAAATCGATGCCAGGTTGTCTTTTGGAGAAGCAAAGTTAAAAAATAAAATAACAAATGCTGTGAGCCAAGAGTCTAGGTGTCTAGCCATTAAATGGCTGTGTGGTCTTGGTTAGAACATTGAACTTTCTAGAGCTAAGGTTCTTCACAGCTCTATAAAGTGAGGGTTAGAATGAATGATGTCTGCAGTTCCAACTTTTGAAGTCTCTGAATATTTTGTCTCAAATACATTCTGAGAAGGTCCCTGCCCTCAAGAAAATTGAGCTTTTTCTCTAGATTTTCTTCCATTTTGTTTCGTTCCAAAAGGAAAAATCCTTGTTGTTTACAAAGGATGATTCAACTGGAAAATGTATTGTGTCAAAAGGAAAAGTTTCCTTCAATCCCACATTCTGAGAGATAATCATTTTAAAAATAGGTATTAATTATTTTGACTAATTTCTATGCATAAATTAGTATTTTTTGTGATATACATACTTATATATCTTTATATCTATATATGTATCATTCATACTATACTGAAGCGTGCTTTTCTCATGTAGCAGTTGAGATAATGGGTATCTTTCTGTGTCAGTACATACAGACCTACCAAATGGAGTGCCACTGATTGAATATTGTGGTTCACCAAAACACATTTTGGCCAAATGATCAATATTTAGCTGAAGTTAAAGCTAAATATCATTGTTGTAAAATGGACTACTGGGATACAAGAAAAAAACTCAAATTAAAGACTATATTAAAATTTTAGTAGCCAGATTTAGACAAATGGGCATACTGATTTCTGACCACCGTCAGCTTTTTGGTTATTCCTGTAGTCACCATACACTACACTACACATTTGCAATACTAAAGTTGCTACCTTTTAACTGAGGTGTCTAGAGGAACAAGATGTTGTTTGGCTGGCTCTGCCAGAATAGAGTACTGATGATGGTAAAGTTGTTCCTCAGCAACTACGCTTGTCTTCTCAAATAGTAACTGACTAGGTAAGAACTTGATCTCCTTATCAGCCCCTACCCTTGGAGATTTGTTTTATGGTCATGAGTTTAATGAAGCAATCCTAGAAATTGAAGCATTGTATACTGCTTGAAACATTCTTTCTGAATATTTTCAGAAGCATGTGTAAGATTGCTGCTAT